>NC_000005.10:112231019-112534049 GCF_000001405.40 Homo sapiens
TTAGAATAAAAATGATGAATACACACCACTGTTTAAAATATATAAATAGTCATGAATGCTTAAAGATATCACTACAAGAATATTCACTTTAGAGCTATTTATGGTTTTCAAATTTTGAAACAGCTTAAATATCCAAGAATTAAAGATTGGTTGAATTGTCACATCTCTATATCTATACAGCAGAAAATCATACAGATATTAAAATGGCATTGTTTAGGAACATTTAAACATATCCATGAGGTATTATTAAGTAAGAAAAGCAAGTTGAAAACCCATGATTGTACCACTTGTGTGAAAAAGATATACAATTGACCAAAAGGCTGTATAATACAGTGCTACTACAAGTAGAATGGAGTTGAATATAAAAGTTTTTTTCTTTCTTTTTGGGAGAGAAGATTCTAAGTTTTCTAAATTTTATAAAATAAGCATGTGTTTTTGTAATAATAAAAGCATAATACATTCCACATTTTAAAAAGATCCACCTGGCCGGGCGCGGTGGCTCACGCCTGTAATCCCAGCACTTTGGGAGGCCGAGGCGGGTGGATCATGAGGTCAGGAGATCGAGACCATCCTGGCTAACAAGGTGAAACCCCGTCTCTACTAAAAATACAAAAAAGTAGCCGGGCGCGGTGGCGGGCGCCTGTAGTCCCAGCTACTCGGGAGGCTGAGGCAGGAGAATGGCGTGAACCCGGGAGGCGGAGCTTGCAGTGAGCCGAGATTGCGCCACTGCAGTCCGCAGTCCGGCCTGGGCGACAGAGCTAGACTCCGTCTCAAAAAAAAAAAAAAAAAAAAAAAAAGGATCCACCTGCCAGGCACAGTGGCTCACACCTGTAATCCTAACACTTCTGGAGGTCAAGATGTAAGGATTGCTTGAGGCTGGGAGTCTGAGACCAGCCTAAACACAGCAAGACCCCATCTCTACAAAAAATAAAAGATTAAAAAAACATTAGCCGGGCGTGGTGGCGTATGCCTGTAATCCCAGCTACACAGAAGGCTGAGGTGGGAGGATTGCTTGAGCCATAAGTTCAAAGCTACTGTGAGCTATGGCCACAACACTGCATTCCAGACTGGGTGACAAGGTGAAACCTTGTCTCAAAAAAAAAAAAAAAAGAGAGAGAGAGAGAGAGAGAGATCCACCTGATGCTGGGAGGCTGTCCTCCAAAAAGGCTGGGCTGTGCATTAGGGGGACCAGCTTACAACAAATCCTAGACATCCTTTGTCCTCTGATGCCCATGTGTAAGTAATACATAAGCTTCATGTAACTTGTTGCATATGAGCGTGTTCTCTCTCAATGGACTCAAACAAGTCAGTAACCAATGCCCAGTAAACCTACTCCACAGTAGTTTTAGCCAAACTGCCTTTCACGTCTTAGTTTCCTCATTACCTGAAGGGAGGCAAAATAATAGTGATGTGGCAAGGTAATCTATTGCAAATTTAGTCATGTTTTATTCTTGTCAGTGTAGAACCACCAGAAAGAACTTTATTTCCTTCCAGCCCAACAAGAGGAGGGGAACTAGAGTGAGACTTAATTTGACTTTAGAAGCAGTAAGTCAGGTGACATTCTCACACACAGGAATGGTAAAATAAACTCATACACTTTTCTTCACAGGCTTGACAAAAGGATTAAATGAAATGATAGATGTCATAATGCTAGGTCAATTTTCACACAATGTTCCAATGTTAATATTGTTACTAAAAATTTCATTTACTTCCTATAATGTGCTAGACCCAGGAGACCTGGGCTCCTGTCCCAGCCACACCTCTGAATAACTGCTAGAAGCACATCTTCCTCATCTGTAAAATGGTATGTACTCTTTCCCTTGCCCCACCTCACAGGGTGAGGCTCAAACAAGATAATATCTGTGAAAGGACACTGGAGAGTGTTAGACAAGGGTGATCTATAAGCAAGCCACAAACTAACGTCAGCAATATTACTTCACAGTAAAATTCTGTGAGCAATGAGCACTGAACATGGATTAAAGCTGCTTGATTAGGTGGTTTTATTAAAGACACAGTGTCTTCATTAAAAAAAAATCTGAATAACCCAAATATCCATCAACAGTAGAATGAATAAATTGTCAAACACAAGAATACTCACAGCAAGAAAAAGGAATGTGCTTTAGTACACACTGTATATAATGTTGGCAGGAAGAATCAAGACACAAAAAAAGACATACTATGATCCATTCATCTAATGTTAAAAACAGGCAAAATAAACTAATTTGTTCAGGAAACTGACAAATTATAATGAAAAGAAAGGAATGAAATTACCACAAAGTCAAACAGAAGTTTCCTCTAACTGAGGGGAGGAAATGGTGAGAACACTTATCAGAGAAATGCCCATGTGGCACTTTTGGGATGCAGGCTAGATTAAACTTTGTATGTGTCTACACACATATGTATACATGTATGTATATGTCCATAAGTATGGATATTTTATTTATATACTTTCTATATGTGTATTATGTTACACAATAAAAGACCAATAATAACAAAGAACCAACTGGATTCTGTACAAATGAAGCTCAAATTAAGTTACCTCAATAGTGCTCCTTTTTTTTAATTTGTATTTTTAATAGATAGGGGCCTCACTTTGTTGCTCAGGCTATACTCAAACTCCCAGGCTCAAGCGATACTTCTGCCCTAGCCTCTTGAGTAGCTAGGACGACAGCCTTACCATCATGCCCAGAAGTGCTGTTTTTTGTTGTTTGTTTGTTTTTTTCAAGACTCTTGCTAAGAGTTTTTTCAATTTCAACTCAAATACATCAAATTAAGAAATTACTCAGTTTAGCATTTTGTCTTGTGTGGTTTTTGTTGTTTGTTTTAAGAAACAGGGTCTCAGTCTATCACCCAGGCTGGAGTGTAGTGGCATGATCATAGCTCACTGTAACCCTGAATTCCTGGGCTCCAGCCATCCTCCTGCTTCAGCCTCCCAAAGCACTGACATTACAGGTATGAGCCATTGTGCCCAGCCAAGATTTTATGTAAAATAAAACCCCTTCAAAAAGAACGTATGGGGCCAGGCATGGTGGTTCATGCCTGTAATCCTAGCACTTTGGGAGGCTGAAGAGAGATGATCACTTGAGCCCAAGAGTTTGAGACCAGCCTGGGCAACATAGTGAGACCCTATCTCAATAAAATAAAATAATATAAAATAAATAAAATTAAAATAAAATAAAATAAAATAAAATATAAATAAAATAAAATAAAATAAAAATAAAATAACCAGGCATGGTAGTATGTGCCTATAGTCTCAGCTACCTGAGGTCAGAACATCACTTGGGCCCAGGAGGTCAAGGCAGCAGTGAGCTATAATCATGCCACTGCAATCCAGCCTGGTGACACAGCAAGATCCTAACTCAAAAAAGAAAAAAAAAGAAAGTACAGTCATTAAGCAGGCCATGGTGATTCAAGATGACTATATGTCTTCTTAAAATTACTGTCTGCTTGAACATTTCCAAGATCAAATTAAAATTTCTAATATTAGAAAATTTTAATATTGGAAATTTCAATAGAAAGACTGTAGAGTTATAGACATCACCTGAGTATATCTTACACTACCAGCCTAAAGGAAAACAAGGTTACATAGATAACTCAGGGGAACCATGACTTACCAGCTGGCTGTGTTTGTGCTATTCGCTTAGGGTAAGTCTTGCTTCGACTTCTTGTCACATTCTGATCAGGCCGGGGAAGCTGAATAGAAAGATCTCGGCTCATTTGCAAAGCTGTCCTGCCACTTGAGAGTGCAACATTTTGATTAGCAAAGGTAAAACCACACAGCCACAAAATTAAACAACAGGTCATTCAGAACATCTGCCAAATATGGAGAGAAGAAAAAACACACAGACTCCCTGGTTTTTAATTGATTCTCATTGCAATATTGATCAAGGGAGTGGTTATTAAATTCTAGGAGGAGATTTACATTAGATAGAAGGAAAATCTTTCAGAGGAGGAAACAGGAAGAAAGAATTTATTAAAGGAGGAATTAGATTTCAGTAGAATGATGGGCTAGAAATAAAGGTTGCTGACAGTCTTTAAGGTCACTAAATAATAAAGAAATTAAGTTGGGCTAAACTGTGGGAAGGCAATGATTCCACATGAGCTCCATGTTGTACTCACACAGCAGGTTGTAAACCATCCCCCACAAGACCACTCGGTATGATTTTATTCTGGACTCTGTCATGGCACAATTAGCCATTTACTATGCCCACCCTGCCTGGGCCAGATCAAGTGTCCAGGAAGACTGAAGGCAGGCCTAGAACCCCATGCAAAGCACTGCTGCTCTATACATTCCATGCAGATTCCAGGGCAGGTTTCCCTGGGGCTGGGCCAAACTTCTCAAGTAATTTTCCCAAGGAATCATGTGATTTAGTTTGCTGGATTTCAGTGAACATTCACCTTACTAACAATTTATTCCACAACTGCTGAATTTGAGCAACTGAATGACCCTGGCTTTCATGCAGGTAAATATCATTTAGGTACAGGAAAAACGCATTTCTACAAGTCTAGTTTGATTCACCACAAGTACAGCCATCTATGGGAGGAAAAAAGTCTTTTAATGGCCCCAAATCCTATTCATCTTACATTTACAGGATAAACACAGGTGAGTGTTTCCCCAAAAAACAGATTTAACAGACTTAAAATTCATCTTTCACATGCTTCTGTGGAAGTTTCTCCTCCTTACTACTTCCTCTACCTTTATTAAAAATGAAGATGCCTACAAAACTTATAAAAATGACTCTGCATCAGGCTAAGTTGGGACGTGTGGTATCAGCTACCAGGGGAATAAAGATGCCAGGGCGCATCCATGATTGTTCTTCATGTTCAGTAACAGTTCATGGAAATTCGGGAGGGGAGAGGAGCAAACTGACAGATTTTCTTTTGCTTGAAATGTAACTTCTTCTAAAAAGGTACACAGGATAACATAGATTTCCAAAAAGCTAAAAATCCCCATAAAGTGAAAAGTTTCATTATTATAAATGGTCTGGAGTATGAAGATAAGGCCTACTTTCAACAGACTATTAACAGAAAGACCTGGGCACTGTACACTTCACTCACAGAGGAAAAAATGTTCCCCCTAAAAATATAACCCAATATGTGAACCACTGAGGCATTTCACAGTCAGATTTTTTTTATTATTCAAATTTTTCTCATGGTTTCTCTCTAGGAACAAAAGAGAAATGAGAAAATCATATCCTAAGATTAATAAGACCAAGGACCAGAAGCGTAAAGTGATCTGCCATAGGCTATACAGGACCCAGCACTAGAACAAGCTTTCTGACCTCCTGCTGGTCAGTATGGCATAGGCTGATGGCATGGGAGAAGGAACAGCACATGTAGCTGTTGGGTTTGAAGTTGCAAGCCCTGTTTAAAGCAAAGCTCTGCCTTTCCCCAGCTAAGTGGTCTTCAGAAAGTTATTTGTAAAAATCCTTGCAGCCTCATTTTCCTCATTTATATTTCTACTTGTTCTTACAATTTCCTGGCAGAAGTATTCTTATATAGCATCCTATTTCCTTGTAGCAGAAAGTAATTGACAAGTATGGAGATTTACAGTGTAAGGTGATGAAAGTCCCTGCACATGTTTGGTGGCTCTCTGTTACGACAGGACACAGTTTTATTTCTGTGATCACCCACTTCCCTGCTGCCTCTGGCATAAATACAGCCCTTTGCATGCTGAGTGGCACTGCCAGCAGCCCCTTCAGCCTCTAAGTGAGACAGAAAGAAAAGAACGAGAGTAGAAATACTCAGGTTCAAAACCCCAGCTTTGCCACTTACTGATTAGGGACGCTTACTTTACTTTTGGAGGCTCCAATTTCTCATCTATATAAAGGGGGATATGAAACCTCTTTGGCAGGTCATTGTGTGGATTAAATAAAGCTGCACATGTGAAAGCAACTGACACAAAGGAGGTTCTTAGGAGAACTTGGTCTCTCTTCCATGCTTCATAGAATGTGAAATCTCATGACAGCTCCTGTGAGTTGAGTCCTACAGTGAGGATCTGGGTTCCCAGGGGAGTTTCTAAGCCTTCTTTCTCAATTCTCAAGTGTAAATTCTACACAACTCATTAATCAAAACTAGGAGCACCCCACAACTTAATGACAGGTAAAGGCAAGGTTAATTTGTAAGGGGCTCAGAGAAGATAGCAATGTATAACAAAATGTTTAATCAAAGATTTCTATTTCAGATTATTGGTCCCTGGTAATAAAACAACAGTAACAACAACAACAAAAAGTACTGGAACATCAGATTTCAGCTCAGCCTTTCCTCACAAATTTAATTTTTAATCTTCATTTTCCCATATCACTAAAAAAAGTCCGATTTTTCCCTTAAGTAAGCACTAGTTTTCCCAAAAAGTGCTACCGTCCTTGGCATTTTGCAAGCCTTAAAATGCAAGACAGAGTAAAGACTAGAACTCTTGTCTTCCTCCATCACATATATGTATGGTGCACAACCACAAAGACACTAACACATCACTATAAACACATACACAATTACACACACAAACACACCCAGATACCTGCATTCATACACTGCAGCCACCTGTTAAGCTGTTCTTTATACCCTATTCTTTAAAAGCCTGCAGGGTGAAAGGAAGAGAATGTGTTTCCAGAGCTCTGCTTTCATTCCAGGATGTCTCCGGAATGTCTCAAGAAAGGGGCAGGCATATTGTGCTGGTTAAAGTCTGGTTGCTTGCCCTCTTTTGACAATAAACAGTCTGTGTGCTAATGAACCCCCAGCAATCAGAGACCCATCCCTGCCTAACCTCTGGGCATCGTCTTTCTTCCAAGGATGGTGTAATGTTAGTGTCTCCTACATATAGACATGTAGATTTAAGAT
The DNA here is from genome assembly GCF_000001405.40 of Homo sapiens. Lineage (NCBI taxonomy): Eukaryota > Metazoa > Chordata > Mammalia > Primates > Hominidae > Homo > Homo sapiens. The sequence continues at coordinate 112,237,857 of NC_000005.10, forward strand.
TCATTAAGACTTACTAGGCAGTTAACATCAGCCACAAAATTGGAACAGATTTAGCATGGCCTCCAATTTTGCAAAGGTTACTTTTAATCACTTCCTTGGAAGAAATGATACTTAATATGCAAAATCCAATAACTTCCTAATAATAATTCCCAGTAGCCACAACATTTGCATTTCAATAAATTTGAGAAATAAAGTATGGCTAAATTTGTGGAAGCCAACAACAGCGTATGTTAAAGAGGATAATTACAATTTTAATAGTATGAACATTAAGACAGATGTCTTTCTACCAGCTCCTTTTCAGGGACAAGGAGACATTCTCTCTATAATCCTGGTGATGTTTTATGCCACAACTGGAAGAACAGTCCAAGTACTGACTATTACCTGCTCTTCTCAATATAAATGTAAACAATACTTCCTTAAATTCTTCATAATTGTATCACTGTCTACAGAAGAACAGTGAAAACCTAAAGGTTAAACATTAACATATCAATGAATACCTTCATGTAAATTCCAAGAATATCTATAATACAATGACACTTAAGTATTTTTATTCATGCAATGAGCAAATTTTCAACTAAATAATATATAAAGATGAATGCACTGAACGTTTAATATTCATTACTCTTTTACTGATAATCTTTAATCTCAAATTCAAGACCCAAAAAGTGCATTATAAAAGAGAAGAATTAAAATCTAGCATAGAGGACTATTGTCCTGAAAATGCTTGCCTTGGCTTTTTTTGTACCTCTTAAGGAAGCATTTCATTCAGTGATGTCTCCAATGGAACTGACAAAAGTGTCCCATCTCTGTGACACTAGGTGGCATCTCCCCACCCTGCTTGGGTTTTACAAGGCCTGGGGACCTCCCTCACTGTTTGAATAATACTATAGCTCTTTGAAGGCAGAAGTGGGTAGATCTGATTCTTTGTATCTCTAGGTACCTAATACTATGCCTTGCACATCACAGGCTCTCTCCATTGAACAGAATGAATTGAAACAAGACAAATTCTTTTTCAAAATATAGAACCCACTCTCATTTTTAATGCTGGTATCAGAAAAAGACATAAGCGCCTGCCTAGCTGCATGACAATCAGGCTTTTTCCACAACAGGCTAACAGTTTGCCTAATGGTTATAAACATGAGCTCTGCAGCTAGAGCGCCAGGGGATGGATCCCACTTCCCCGCTTCCTAGCTGGATTACCTGGAGAAGGGACTTGACCTCTTTGAGCCTTAGGGTCCTCATACATTAATGGGGCTAATATTACAGAAGATTGATAACTAAATGAAGCAATGAATGGAAAACATGTATCACAGTACACAGCACTTAGTAACTGCTCAATAAAGTTGAGATATAATTGCTAGCATTACTACATGCAGGCTTCATGTTGCAGAAAAAACAAGGTTTGATGCACAATATAAAAAGTATAGATTGTATTAAAATAGGGGATCAACTGAATGTCTTAAAAACACAATTAGTTACTATTCAGAATCTACATTGTTTCATAATCACAAAACACACATAATTAAAAATAAGTGATAACTGTGTCAAAATGAATTTCTGAAGATAATAAACTTTACTATGATCTAAAAGCCCACAACATAGCTAATGCAGACACTAAATATAATTAAATCTGGAAAATCATGTTTGTTGAGAAAGTTTTAATAAACTGTTATGCTTACAAAACACATTGGCAATGCAAGAAAAAAGAAAAAAATAAATAAATAACTTCACTGAGCATGTATGACAGCTGAATTAAGTATTTATTTACAAACACATCCCCCCAAGGAAAAAAATGTCATTTACCTGTAGCGGTGCTTATAACGTATGGATCCAAACTTGCTGAGTTTTCTTGACAGTGAATTGGATTCATTTTCTGGCATTCTAATCAATTTTTAAAAGAAAATCAGACAAAGACTCAATGTTATAGGCATTCTGGGCCACCCCCTTCTCCTAACACAAACTTTATAAAGGACTCCAGCCACTTTATAAGAATACTTCTCCAACATCATGCAATTCATACTCCATGAGGATGAAACAGGGAAGAACTCAATTTTGTTTCCATTTAAAAAACAAAACCAAAAAATAAAGCTTAATGTATCACCAGCTAAATTTTTGTTTTATCTTTACAACATAAAGATGTGAAACAAAGAAAAAAGTATCCCCACAATCCAAAGGTCATTTCTCTAGTTTCATCTGACCGGACCTCCCAGGAGGACTGCATGCAGTTGCCAGCACCTTATTCATCAAGACATTCCCTTTCCTCGTTTCCCAGGATACAACACACTCTTCTGACTGCTCCTTCTCATACTCTAGACTGGCTCATCCTGCCCTCTAATGTCGGGAGGGCCACCAAGCTCAGTCCTTGGAGTTCTGCTTCTCTCTCCACTGTTTCCACTGGTGACCTCATCCAGCCACTTCTGTAAATAACTACTTAAGTGACTTCATCAACTTTGGTCTTTCCAGTGAGCCTTGTACACCTAACTGACTTACCACATTTCTACCTAGATGGCTGATAGGCTTTTCAAATTAATTATGCACAGAACACTCCATTTCCACCAATACTACATAGGTGCTAGCAATGGCTGCATGTTTTACATAAACCTAAAAAATATTACCTCGATCCTTTCTTGCAGTATCAAAGATATAACTGTATCTATGTGTATAAGTGCCTATGTGTATATATATCTACACATACATGAATGTGTGCATGTTTGTATTAATATAATCCAGAGAATTAGGAATTGAGAAAATTAATAAAAGGGAAACAATTCCAAATTTCTGTTTTAGACAGAATTCTTTTTATAAAAATAAATGCCATTTTCATTTATTAAGACAACAAACAAAATTTTTACATCAATTTACCTAAAAAATGTATGATGTTCCACACTGCACTTCCAGAGGTGCTTGCAAGCAGTTTTACTCCGAGCTTCAAAAAAGAATGAGGTTTCGTTACACTAAGAGAGAAAGAGAGACAGAATATGAATAATGACCAGGGAAGGAAGATAGCATTCTTCAAATAACAGCCCCCTTTAAGTAACAAAAATTCAAGCAGAGAGATTATTGATAATATATAAATAATAACTGTCTCTTGGTAACTATTTTTGGAGAGGTGCATTAAAATCACCTTCCATCGATTAAAATTTTATAAATTACACTTAAATCTTAAAGCACCTTTATTACCTACTTTTACATTGCCCCATGACAATAGATAGTTTGGACGGTAGAAGTGAAATACTACAAAATCTCCCTCATAAATGGCCACTAATACAGGAAAAGCACGGACCATGTGAAAATCAACTCCCAGTAAAAAAAAGATGCCCACAAATCCAGTCCTTAAGTGTATTACTTTCAGGGATGAACAAGTCACACATAAAGCAATGAGTAAAGAATCTCAAGCCAAGAACCACCAGGAGTGACCACCCCAGCAGCATAATCTGGGAAAATTAAATAATGCCTCTGATGCCATGTCTCTCCATCCTGCATCAAGTCACTGAGTGGATCAAATTCAACAATATGCATACATAAAATATCATATAATAGGTGTATAATACATGCTAATTATTTTAATCCAGTAGTTATTTGATTCTCTATATTTAATAAGTAAGAAATAAAACAACATTGAAGGTACAAATCAGCCCTCTATATCCACAGGTTCCACATACACAAGTTAGCCAAACTTGAATCAAAAATATTCAGAAAAAATAATACAAATTTAAAAAGCAATAGAGCATAACAACTATTTACATAGCACTTAGATTAGGAATCATAAGTAATCTAAAAATGACTTAAAGTATATGGGAGAATGTGTGTAGGTTATATGCAAATACCATGCCATTTATATAAGGAATTTGAGCATTCTCGGATTTGGGAGGAAGGTTTCTGAAACCAATACCCTGTGGATGCTGAGGAACAACTGTACAAGCATACCTTGGAGATACTATAGGTTCAGCTGCAGACTACTGCAATAAAGTGAATATTGCAATAAAGTGAGTTGCACATATTTTTTGGCTTCCTAGAGCAGGTAAAAGTTGCTTACATTACACTGTAGTCTATTAAGTATATAACAGCATTAGGTCTTAAAAAAACATATATACTATAATTTAAAAATACTTCATTGGTGAAAAATGGTAAAAGTCATCTGAGCCTTCAGGAAGTCATAATCTTTTGGTTGGTGGAAGGTACTGCCTCAATGTTGATGGCTACTGACTGACCAGGGTGGTAGTTGCTGAAGGTTAGAGTGGCTATATCAATTTCTTAAAATGAGACAACAATGAAGCTTTCTGTGTTAATGGACTCTTCCATTGAAGAAAGATTTCTCTGCAGCACGTGATATTGTTTGATAGCATTTGACCCACAGTAGAACTTCTTTCAAACTTGGAGTTAATCTTCTCAAACCCTACCACTACTTTATCAATTAAGTTTGTGTAATATTTTAAATCCTTTGTTGTCATTTTAAAAATGTTCACAGCATCTTCACCAGGAGTAGATTCCAACTCAAGAACCACTTTTGTTCATTCATAAGAAGCAACTCCTTATTCCTTCAAGTTTTATCATGGGATTGCAGCAATTAAGTTATACCATCAGGCTTCACTTCTAATTCTAGTTTTCTTGCTATTTCTACCGCATCTGCAGTTACTTCCTTCACTGAAGTCTTGGACCCCTCAAAGTCATCGTGGGGGTAGAAATCATCTTCTTTCAAACTCCTGCTAATCAGAATAATTTGACCTCCTGCCATAAATCATAAATTATCTTAGGGGCATCCAGAATGGTGAATATTTTCCAGAAGTTTTTCACTTTGTTTGTCCAGATCCATTAGAGAAATCATTATCTATCGCATCTATAGTTTGTAGAAAGTATTTCTTAATACTTGAAAGTTGAAGTTACCTCTTGATCCATGGGTTGCAGAACAGATACTGTGATAGCAGGCTTGAAAGCAACATTAATCTCCTTGTACATCTCCATGATAGCTCTAGAGTAACTAGGTGCACTGTCAATGAATAGTAATATTTTGAAAGGAATCCTTTTTTTTCTGAGCAGTAGATATCAACATTGGGCTTAATATATTCACTAAGCCGGCCCAGGAGTGGTGGCTCATGCCTGTAATCCCAGCACTTTGGGGAGCTGAGGCAGGCGGATCACCTGAGGTCAGGAGTTCAAGACCAGCCTGGCCAACATGGCGAAACCACATCTCTACTAAAAATACAGAAATTAGCTGGGCATGGTGGCAGGCGCCTGTAATCCCAGCTATTTCGGAGGCTGAGACAGGAGAATGGCTTGAATCCGGGAGGCAGAGGTTGCAGTGAGCCGAGATCGTGCCACTGCATTCCAGCCTGGGTGATAAGAATGAGACTCTGTCTCGAAAATATATATATATATATCTATGTATATATACACACACACACATATATATATGTGTGTGTATATATATATATATATTTTGTTTGTTTGTTTGTTTCCTAAGCCATGCTGTAAATAGGTGTGCTGTCATCCAGGCTTTGTTTTTCCATTTATAGAGCACAGAGTACAGTTAGCATCATTTGTATAGAACCCAGAATTTTCTGAATGGTAAATGAATATTGGCTTCAACTTAAAGTCACCAGCTGCAGTAGCACCTAAAGAGACAGTCACCCTGTCCTCGGAAGCTTTAATGCAGGCATTGACTTCTCGTTATAGCTATGAAAGTCCTAGATGGCATCTTCTTCCAACAGAAGAAGGTTGTTTTGTCTCCACTGAAAATCTGTTGTTTAGTGTAGCCACTTTCATCAATAATCTTAGCTAGATCTTCTGGATTACTTGCTGCAGCTTCTAAATCAGTACTTGCTGCTTCACCTTGTACTTTTTATGTTATCGAGATGGCTACTGTCCTTCAACCTAATGAACCAACCTCTGCTAGCTTCCTACTTTTATTCTGCAGTTTCCTCACCTCTCTTAGACTTCACAGAATTGAAGAGAGTTAGAGCCTTTCTCTGGATTACAGACTTTGGTTTAAGGAAATGCTGCAGCTTGTTGGATCTTCTATCCAGACCATTCGAACTTTCTCCAAATTAGCAGTAAGACTGTTTTGTTTCTTATTATTTTTGTGTTCACTACAGTAGCTCTCCAAATTTCCTTCAAGAATTTTTTCTTTGCATTCACAACTTGGCTAACTGGCACAAGAGGCCTAGCTTTCAGCCTATCTCACCCTTTAAGATGACTTCCTCACTAAGCTTAATCATTTCTAGCATTTGATTTCAAATCACAGATGCACAACTATTCCTTTCAGTTGAACCCTTAGAGGTTATTGTAGGGTTATTAACTGACCTAGTTTCAATATTACTGTTTCTTGGAAACTAGGGAGGCCTAAGGACAGGGAGAGAGACAGGGAATGGCCAGTCTGTGGAGCAGTCAGAACACATGCATCATTTATCAATTAAGATCGCTATCTTACATAGATGCAGTTTGTGGCACCCCAAATCAATTGCAACAGTAACATCAAAGATCACTGATCACAGATCACTATTGAAGTGGCTACACTGTCTGGGGTATATACCTTGGGGTTCATTGTCACGCATTGAGAAAGAATTCAGGTGGGTTAAGGGGTGGAAAGTTTAATAGAGAGAAGAAAGGAGGGAGGAGGGCAGCTCCCTGAGAAAGAGAAAGAGACGTCTGAAAAAGGCTGGGAGGCCATGGACCACAGCAGATTTTATAGGCAGGCTGCAGAAGGCGGTGTCTGATTTATATAGGGCTCACAGATTGGTTTCATCAGATATGATGTCTACATAGTGTGCGGGGAAGGCTGGTCACCCTACCGTAATCTTCTTATGCAAATAGGCTTTCCAGTTGATCTGCGCCATCTTGTCTGCTCCTTTATAGTATGTGTGGCTGGCAGAGAAGGGAAGATGGACCCACCATTTTGAAAATGTCTAGTCCTTAGTTCCTGCTGGCACCCACCTGTGCAAGCTCCTAGCTTGCAGGGTGCTCTTTGTTAGAAAATGATTCAGGACTGCTTTTCATTAGAAAGTAGAGCCTTATCAAGCGCCCGTGCCCTTGTTATCTACCTAATTCCTTCTTAGCTCCTGTATCATTATAACGTATGTAATAATAATGAAAAAGTTTGAAATACTATTGCAAGAATTACCAAAATGTGACACAGTGACACGAAGTGAGCATGTGCTTTTGGAAAAATGCTACCAACAGATTGACAGGGTTGCCACAAATCTTCAATTTGTAAAAAAAACACAGTATCTGCAAAGCACAATAAAGTGAAGTGCAAAAAAAAAAAAAAGATATGCCTGTAATTCTAATTTTGCAGAAAATACTATTTATATTTTAAGTAACTGAACAGAAAACTAAGCAAAACACAATATGAATGCTAACACAATAAACCACAAGCTCTGTGAAGTTATATACTTGCTAATTTAATTTCAAAGCTACAAACCAAACTCAAGTCTCAAATGCAGCAAATGCCTCTGAAATGAGGTTTCTACGGACTCATAAACATAAAACAATCAATGCAAAAGAATAATTGAAATGATTTGTCTCCTACTTTTAATAAGGACAGAATATTTATATGTATAAAATTTCTCCCAAGTCCAACTTGAATGATGCTGCCCAACTTAGGAGTTTATTTGTAAGATGAAGAGATGTGATGGAAACAAAGCCAACATGCACACATTACAGCAAGGCTATCTGTAATTCCAAAACCTTGTCTGGTAAAAAAAGAAAGGAACATTTTCAGGTTTCTGGCTCGGGTGCTACTAAAATATAGCAAGTGGAAAAAATGGGCATTTGGATGACAAGGGAATAGACAATAAGTTCAGGTTGAAATATTCTGATTTTGAGGTCCCATGGGACACCTAGAGGGCCAAAGGATGCAGGTCAGAGAGCCAGAGAGAGGGCACATCTACTCACACAGGTGATCTCACCAAGTGAACAAGACTGCTCAGGGAGAGTGCGCAGAATGGATGAAGGTGGAATCACTGCAAAGACGCTCCTGAAGGTGGAGTGAGAGAGGTCCAAACATACCAGAAAAGAGTGTCAGAGAGGCTGGGAAGAGAGAGTGCAACTCTCAAGTGACCCAGAAAAGTCAAATCGAGTTTGAAAGGAGGTTACCACATTTCACGGTAAGAAATCTTCCGAGGCCTTTGTGAAAGGGATAGGGATTATACAATTAGAGGTGAGGAAGAAAAGTCAATGAATTCAGAAAGTGTTTTCCTTAGCAGCAAAAGAAACTGGTGGCAGAGCTGGGAAAGGGGACACACAGAAAATCACAGAAGCTCCTCCGGGCAGGGAGGGAAAGCCCAGGCTTTTGTCAGAAGATAGGAGCCCTTAGGGAGAAATTTTTTTTTCTTTTAGTTTTCTTTTTTTAAATATCCAGTCATGCGTTGTATAAGGATGTCTTGGTCAATGATGGATCGCATATACAACAGCGGTTCCTTAAGATTATAAAACGTATTTTAACTGTGCCTTTTCTGTGTTTAGATGTGTTTGGATACATAAATACTTACCATAGTGTTCCAATTGCCTGCAGTATTCAGTACAGTAACATGCTGTACAGGTTGGCAGCCTGAGAGCAATAGGCTATACTGTATAGCCTAGGTATTGTGAAAGGAAATTAAATTTGGGGACCCCAAACTCATTTAGCTAAAGGGAAAATTCAAGCTGGGAACTGGGTCACGCAAACCTGCCTCTCCTTTTTGGTTCCTAAATAAGATTGCTACAAGATGAAAAGCTACATGCCTCCCCCATATTTTTCTCATAAGGAAATTCCTAGTGAGCTGTTAAAACTTTACCATGGCAATGCAAACTGATAGCTTTATCTTTACAGGTACAGTCACCCCAGACACAAACGCATATCTGACTCTTCCCTTACCCTATTTTGTCTGTGTTATCTGATGTAAAATACAGATTCTCCACATTTTTCCTCTGCCCCTTTGTGTCATCCTATGTAAAAAAAATGTAGATTCACTGAGGCAGACAAAGGCATGAATGACTATTTTTCCCTACCCCCCTCTTACATGAAAACAGTGTGCTTCTCAACTCCCATCTTTTGCCCTTTAGATGTAGAGCTCTCAAAATCATCTTTGGAGAAAGGCATAGACCTGTCTCCCTGGCATGTCCTTAACTTTAGCAAATAAATCTCCTAAAATGATTGAGACTTGTCTCGTTATTTTCCTCGACTGACAATGTGTAGTAGGCTAGACCAGCCAGGTTTGTGTAAAAATATTCTATGATGTATACACAATGACAAAATCGCCTAACGACTTGTTTCTCAGAACATATCCCTGTCATTGACACATGATTGTATAACATGCACATGGTATAAATGCCCAAGTTTTCAAAGTGGGTATACAATGACAACTCAATCTCCCTCCCACCACTGTCCAATTACCTTCCCCAGAGGCAATCACTACTGTTAAGGGGTGGGTGTTTTTAAGGGCACTGAATTATTCCAAAATAGAATGTACAAGTTATTCATTTAAAATAAGTCTGCTTGTGACTGCATTCTATCAAGATAAATTGTTAAGGTAAAGATCAGACCAGGACAGGCTACCCCTGCCCCTCTACCACTATGTCCTTCCTCACTACGTGGACCCGCCATTTCCCTGTGCCTTTCAACAATGGAAGTACTGTGTGTGGCAGGACATACTGAGAATTACCACCTACTAGAAATGATGGCTGAGAATGACTTCTCTGTGACATAGACATTTTTACATTTTTAGCAAAATCATCCAAAATGAGGTATAATTTAAGTACTTAAATAAAAATATCAAAACTTATTTAATTACATGCTTCCAAAGACTTCCAAGACTTTTGGAATTCGCTGATATAATACAGGTCCTGAATTCTTACAAATGATGGAATTGGGGGTTTGAGTCAGGTTTACCATGAGTCTTCCAAAAGTCTTGGAAGGAGAAACAAAGTATTCCGTCTTAAAATAAAACATAGTCTTCTCTAAATCTCAAACTTTTCTTAGTCTGGTTTTGAACTATTTCTTCAGGTATGTGACTGTATCCTTTTACTTTTCAAGTACAGACCTTATCACAGGATACCTAACTTTTAATACTTTTTTAAAAAAACTACCATCACTTAAGGAAAGGATAAAAGATATTTCAAATCCAACCAGAATTGAGTTTTTCTCAAGTTTCCTTGGGTACAAATATATTAAAGGATCAAAAGTGCCTCCCCACTGGCTTCCTAATTATTTCTGCCAAGTACAAATGACAAGTATGAACTCACTCTCCACTTATAGTGAGCTTTAGGACAAGCTGCCTATTTTTTATCCTGTTCCTGGCAGAGTGATCCAAATACTAAAAGGAGGCTTAACATAATTGAAACAGGAGCCAGGTATTCTGAATAAATTCTGTGTACTTTTGCCATGTAGAGTAACTGCTGGCATGAATTCCACTGCCATGGCATTTCAAATATCTCTTTCTACCACTCTCACTTACCAAACCTCTTCCAGATAAACATGGCCAATTAGCACATTTCTACTCATTCACACAGATGAACAGCTGCTTAATTAAAGAAGTTCATTCCAATCTCCTACTAAAATACTTTATCCAAGAATCCAATGCTTGCTTTTTGTAAAATTACTCAAACACCTTTACAGCTTTGGTCATTTCATACCAGAAGCAAAGCTATTCTCTGAATCTATTTCTTTTTACTTCATAAACGAATCAAGATTGAGTCACTTCTAAGTCCAATATCATGTGGATATTACTGCTCCATGGGTCTCTAGAGTAAACCTGACTCAAACCCCCAATTCCATCATTTGTAAGAATTCAGGACCTGTATTATATCAGCAAATTTCCAACCTAACTCCCTCTGGTCTTCCCAGTTTCTTTTCCCATTTTGGCTGGCTATGTCTCTCTTGGCAAGCTTAAAGAAAGAAATCTACTTTCGCCTAGCTTCTTCTAAGGGTACTGGGATTACTGACAGGATCAGTGAAGGGCTCACGTTGCCAGCAGCACACCCACTTTTTCTGCCTGGGCCTAGTCCCATTTCAGTGCCTCTCCCAAGCCTGTATTCTTGACACAAGAATGCAATCCTGTACTCTTGACAGGCTCCTCCCTGTTTTTGTTTTGGGAAACAGCCACAACTGGACAGTCTACCTTCCCCAGGCTCCCTAAAATTATGGGTATGAATACCTTTCTTAATCCCATTATATACCTGGCTCACATCCAAGGTCACATTAGAAGTAACCCAAGATACACAGTGTAGGTCATCACTGAAGAGCAAAAGAGATGAGTACTTCTAAGAAAAGTAAAATGCAATCATTATATAAGTACCTGAAAGTCTACAGCAGAGAGGTTTCCTACTGATGCTCCATAGAGGTGGGGAAGAGGCTAAAAAGAAGTGTGACAATTACAAGTCTAAAGTACTGTGAGATTTTTGCTTTTTTCTTTCTATCCAATCCACACAAGATTTACATTAACTCGCAATCATTAACTCAGTTTAGGTTCCAGGGAGAGAAACAAAAATAGTCAGACGGCTGGTAGCAAATGACTAAAATAACTTTCTTCTTAATTACTGATCATGCAAAGGAAGGCAAGTAGTCAAACTGAAATCTTTATTCTCCAACTGGAAATAGATACCAAAGAAAGCTTACAAAATTGTAAGTCTTTTGAAAAATTTTATCTTTCTAAATGGTGAAACTGACTATAGTTTTAAAAATTAAACTATGTTAGTACACATGATATCCTGGGCACAATATCTGTTTTAATGGCTTTCCTCATATTTTTTCATGCTCTCTTTTCTAGGCATCCTGAGTTTCCACCTGGCTAATGAATTTAGGGTGAGTCCTGCAACAAAATTCACCAATTTTGTCATTACTTGGAAAAGGAAGTCAGAAGGAAATGTTAAGACACTGAATAAAACATGATCTTATTCTTTCCAGTCTTTACACAATGCTCCCCAAAGAGCATTTCTTACAACACTAAGGTCTTGCGATATTGGCATAGAAGGGTTCTTTGCTCAGATAAGTATGGGAAACACTGGGCTAAACACTCAGACCTTTAATGCGCTAATATGTACTGTGAATCTCCAAGAGCTAGTAAGGTTGTGGGTTGTTCTAATTTATTTGATCAAAGAACTTTCTTTCAGGGAAGTGTATGGTAAGCACATACTCTAGTTTAAAAAATATTGCACTATACATAAACAACCCTCTACATATAGATACACACACATTTTTTTAAAAAATTTTGAAACGTATGTAATATGGTTACGTATTTTTTAACTGAAAAATCACTGTGCATTTCAGCTCAGCAATTGAAGAATAAAACTAATTTTCATTTCTGCATGTATACTTCACAGTGTAAAAATAAAAACAGCAAAATATTCTAGTACTCTTATCAGCTATGTGGGTTATATTTCAAAACATGCTAAATGTGAAAACCATCTTACCCATTTTAAGGATGAATAAGTTGATTGCTTGATAAATAATTACATACAAATATTTACATCGTATTCCAGTAAACTTTGAAAACTATCATGTTGAGCTTATTCTTATTATTTGAAGGAATTCACAGATATGAACATAGAAGTCCAAATGGATTTTTCTGTGATAGTTTTCTATCTTCTCCTCATCTGTTTTGTAGTATTCCTAAAAAGTCAGTATTTCTCTCATATACTTGCAGATTGATTTAATTTTTGTTTTAATGATAACTAACTTTTATTCCCAATCTCACAGTGTTTTTAAAAAGTCTAATAAACATTATCAATCCTGTTAAAACGAAGGCTTATGTGGTAAGACCTACTGACAATCAAATTTTTTACAGGAGAATTTTCACCACTTCTGAATAAGTGGCCCATGTGTTTCAATTATGGACAAAATCAACAAAACACACCAGTAAGTGAAGCAAAGGAAAAGCCATGGGCCTGAAAACCTGGGCTTCTCTTCCTGCCATAACACAAGCTATTCAGCAGCCAAGAACAAGGTGATTCCATGGTCCTTTCCTGTGCAAGACTGCAATAGCTCTAAGTGGCCCAATACAAAGGCAGTTCCAACTCAGAGACACAGACTGTGTGCCCGTTACATGCCCAACTTTGCACTAGGTGCTTGTAACCTCACAGCAGCATCATAAGGATATTATCATCCTCACTTTACAGATTACGAAATGTAGGTTAAGTGTTGTTCAGTGAACTGCCCACAGTTAGTGAGCAAGAGACCTGGACTTAAAACATTTATTTGATCACATGTCTAACAGTCCATCACGAAATCTGAAAGACTCCAAACCCAAATGTCATGTGGCATCAGGACCCAATCATTACTAACAGCCACACTTAAGAATAGTTGGGAAAATATTAAATCTATAGTTCCAGGACTTCTATACATTGTAGTTGGAGACACAAAATGGTACAACTACGAATGAAGCCTGGGCATAAGGCAATACCAAACAAAACTACATAAGTACTTACCCTATGACCTAGCAATCCCACTACTGGGAATTTAACCCATGGATATCCCTCCAAAAACACATACACACAAAATTACTGAATGAAGAAAAATGTGTGACTGTAAAATATTGAAAACTTTTCCTAAATATTCAAGCATAAGAGATTGGTTGAATAAACTGTGGTACACACATTCAATACAGTGCTACGTACAAAAGAATGAGAAAGCTCTCAATAAACTGATACAGAATGATTTCTAGGAGATATTACTAAGTGGGGAAAAAACCCCAACACAGTACAAAAACCCATACAGTATGCTACTTTTAGGAAAGAAAGAATGAAGAAAAAAATGCTTATCTTTACAAAAAGAAACACAGGGAGGATTAACCAGAAAACAATGAAGTTGGTTACCTACAAGGAAGCATGGCGGAACAGGGTGGAAGGAAAATGGGAGTTGAGTTTTTGAGTAATTTTGATTTTTGAAAGCAAGTTAACCTTCTACATATTAAAAAATAAAATTAAACAAGAACGTGAAGGAGAGGGAGCTATAACCAAAAACAACCTGAAACAATAAACCTCAGTAGATTTCAAACGAATACATGAGCACAGGAATGAAGAAGGAAGACATGAATGATAAGAAGGAGAGAAGGGAGGACCAATCCAAGTAAATTTTGAACATAGTATTTGACTCTTAGGCCCTCTGTCTTGGCAAAGTGGTGCATGTGGATGAAAGGACAGCAAACAATTGTCCACTTTAGTGGTCTGACCAAAGCAATTCTGAAACTATGTGATATGTGTTACAGAATTGAGCAAATGAGTAAATGTGTGGCTTTTTTTTGGAAGCCAAGGTTCTCATGGCCAAAGAAAGGACATACAAATATAAAATGAGGGAGAGTAAGGAAGAACCCTGTGGCTATGGACAGAACTGGAAGTATGCTGTGAACTCCTGATTTCTAAGCTATGTATCAATATGTGTATGCTTATATGCACATGTGCACATATATTTCTATTTGTATATATGTGTATTAGGGTCTATGTGTGTATATATGAAAGCATTATTCCCTAGCTCTGTCAACTGAAAAGGCCAAGAATCAAAGTCGCCCTAGTAGCAATGACCACACCTAGCACCCAGATCTAGATCATTTCCTAGTCAAAGGAACCAGAGCTCCTCGGAAGAATGGCTAACACTCAGGGTAGGGACAGGGTTGATACAACATGCACCTGAAATATATTATACCAAAAAAGGAAGATATTAGCCCTAAAATGATGGGGGCAGATCCCAAAGGCAGGAGTCAGATTGAAAGGGTTCCCAATGACCAAATGTGAACAGCAAAATAGTTAGGTACCTGTGTGAACTAATGCAAGAACATAAAACCAAATACCAGGTGTTCTCACTTATAAGTGGGAACTAAACATTGAATACACATGAACATGAAGATGGAAACAACAGACACTGGGGACTACTGGATGGGGGAGGCATGGGCTGAAGAACCACCTGTTGGGTACTAAGCTCACTGCCTGGGTGACGGGATCATTAGGACCCCAAGCCTCACCGTCACACAATATACCCATGTAACAAACCTGCACATGTACCCTTTAATCTATAATAAAAGTTGAAAGTATTAAAAAAAAAATAGGTATGTAATGTATTTTAAACCATTGAAAAAATAGAAGTTAATAAATACTGACAATAAATAAAAGGGAGAGAAGGCAGTGCTCTTGTTTCAGTGGAATGCTGAGGGCTGACTCATAAATGTGGAGGGAGTACAGAGCTAGAAAAATCAGCGTTTTGCAACCATCTTAGTAGAAGACGATCAGGCAAGAATCCTCAATGAATGCTAAATTTACAGAGAATTTTAAAGAGGAACTGGGTATTTGCATTGATTTAAAGTATCTCCCCACAGACTACTTATTAGTTGCAAGAGAGAAGCAGGAATTATACAGCAGAGAAATCAGGCAACACTGTAATGAGTGATCAAACTTGACAGCCAACGAGGGACAGGTGGTCACCATATGCCCCCAGATGAGACACCTGAGAGGGACACTATTTCACCTATGCAGCTGTACAGCTAGGAATGCATAACCTTAGTCTAATCATGAGGAAACAGCTGAAAAACATGAAATAAGAAACTCTCTGTTTTAAAACAGTGGGGTATAACTGTATTCTTTTAAAATGTCAATTTTATAAAAGATAAAAAAATGCTATGAAAGTGTTCCAGATTAAAGGAGGTTATCTGAATTCTATACCATAGGGGAGAAATGCTAAAAAGGACATTATTGGGTTAACCAACAAAATTGGAATATGGAAGCTAGATGGTAAAAGTATTATATCATTATTAATGTATTAAGTTGTTAACCATACTGCAGTTACATCGGAATATCCCTATTCTTAGGAAATACACACTTACATATTTATAGTCTATGACATACGTAACTTACTCTCAAGCTGTTCTAAAGAGAAAGGCCTGTGTGTGTATGGAGAGAAAGAAGGCACAAATAACAAAGGAAGTGAAGTAAAATGTTAACCATAAGTGACTCTAGGTAACAGTAAATGAATATGTTCTTCGTAATATTTTAATTTTTACAACTTTTTAAATAAATTTTGAGTTGTTTTCAAATAAAAATACTTTTTAAAAATCTATATTACCATGTAAAATGTGAAAGGAACCCTTGGCTTAACGTAAGTGAGACCTCTTGCGCTTGTTGACAAACAGTGATGACTCCTGGCCATCATCGCTTCCCGTGTACTCTCCTTAAAGCAAGCCGGAGAGTTCTGCCAAGTGGATCTCATTACTCACAGCCAGAGTTGCCAGGAACCTTTTGGTTCTACATCCTGTCACACGGGGTAACTTTAGCTGAGGTTAGTTTCCTGAGGTATTATACATAAAAGTAAGCACAGCAGCATTTATTCATTCTTTCATTTATTTCACAAGTGTGCTTACTACATGCCAATTTCTGGGCTTAGTCCTGTGTTAGGAATTACATCCTCCTCTTGTTGCCAAAACCAAGAAATTCCAGTATTATCCTAAATTCCTATTTTCCACAAAAACATTGAATCTGCTACCAATCAGAAACAATTTAACCTCCTAAATGCTTCCCAAATCTGCCGACTTCTTTCCGTCTTTGCAGTGAGTCCCCTCTTGTCTCCCCTTGATCACATCTCCTACTCTGTCTGCCTCTGTGCTCACGTCTGTGGCATGTTCCACCCTGCAGCCAGAGTGTGCTTTCTTAAATGCACATCCGATCATGGAGGGTGAAGCCCAGAGTTAATGTAACACCCAATTTCCCCGCAAGTCCTCAATCCATTCTCAAGTGCTGAGTCTGAGCTCATGCCCACAGTTAAGAGAGGCCCTCCCCTAAGAAGAGTCAGGCTGAACCAGGCAGTGTGCTGGAACCACCCCACCTTCTTTAGGTCTTCTACCCCACATCTCCAGAGGGAATAGGCAGACATGGAAACCCAATCCTCACTCCCTTCCCAATCGACTGGACCAATTCTCATGATGCTCCTTATCTCTGTATATCTCAGTCACCCCCCAGTAATGCTCAGCATACCCCCTCGCCTGTCTCTTTCTTCATCACTACTCAACTCCTGAAACCCTTGCTTTGTGCCCTCCGGAATTCATGACCTCTCATCAGCAAACCCCCTCACTCCTCAGTCTGTTCTCTCATATGTCCTTCACCTTGCTGCACTAGGAGACCCCTGGCTCTCTCTGAAGACCCTGTTTCCACTGTAGCCCTCGAGGGATGGCTGTGTCTTCTGTCTCCACTGTTCTTCCATCTCTGAACCTAAAAGTGGGAAGGATCCTTCCTGCTCCACATTGCTGCTTTCAGACCGTTCTCTTTCCTTCCCCCTAAAACTCCCAGCTTTGGATCTCATCAGTTGATGAAATTCTGCAGTCTTTCACGGTGGGTGTCATCCTGAAAGTCACCCTCCTCATATGTTGATGCTGGCACAGTACCTGCCAGCTATATTTCTGTTTATTTCCCTTGTGCCAAAACTCCTCCAAAGAGTTGTCCACACTCACCATCTCCAAATCTCCAATTCTTATCTTCCTGTTACCTCTCTTATGGGTTTTTCTTAATGAATATGCATCAATTTATTTGTTCATTCCCCCGTTAATGGAATTCTGGGTTAATTTCTTTTTCTGACTTTTACGTAAGTGCTGCACAGAACACCTCTCTAGGGTACACATACTTAACAGGGGAACTGCTGGGTTGAAGCTCACTCTTCCAATCTACTGAAACTCACCTTGTCAATGATCTCCTACATTCCTAAATTCAGTGGCCCATTCTCAGCCTTTACCCTGTATGACATATCAGCATCATCTGACACATGCTTAATACATGACTTTTACTTGGCATTCAGCATAATTACTGTTCCTTCTATCTCACTGGATGATTCTTTTCAGCCTCCTTTGCTGGTTCTCTCTCTTCTTTTCTCATTTATACTCATTCTCCTAGTGATTTCAGGTAGTCTCGTGGCTTCAAAAAGTAGCAGATGCCAATTTTATATATTCAAATTTATATATTCTGCTCAGACGTTGGTACTAAACTCCAGGCTCACATAGCTCACTTCTTATTTAATATCTCCCCTTAGATGTCTAAAGGACATCTCAAATTCAACATGTTCAAAACGGGACTCCTGATCTTCCTCCTCAAGTCTGCTCTATCCATAGCCTTCCCCACCTCACCTGATGATAGCTCTATACTTATACCTCCTGCTTCTCAGGCCAAACTCGTTTAAGTGACCAGGACTCCTCTCTCTCATATCTGCCCACATTCAGGAAACCCTGGTGGTAAAATCCATAATCCAACAGCTTCTCCGCACTTTGTTGTCACCCTGATCCACTGAGATAGAGACACTATCATCTCTTGCCTGGATTTTGAAATAAGCTTAAGTTGTTGAATGAGTAAACAAGTAACAGCCTTAGTTCTCAAGGTATTCAGTGAAAATCAACCATCTGATAATAAACTTTAAAAAATTTCAGCACCTAGTAAAAAACACGTATTCCTAAAACCAAGAACTAACACATAGTGATAAAACAGTAGTGATATTTTCATTAAAACAGAAAGCCAATCAAGGATGCCTTATACTGCTATAACACTTAGTACTCTTCTAGAAGTTCGGACTAATACTACAAATGTGAAATTTACACAGTAGGATTGAAGGAATAAATTATTTTCATTTGCAAGTGATATACCTATAAAAATTTATGAGAATCAAATTAAGAACTCAGCTGGAATACAAGAATTCGGCAAAACGACTAGATATGAGATAAATAAAATTCCACAGCTTTCAATTCTCCTATCAAAAACCAGTTAGAAGAGATAATAGAAAGAAAAGATTGCATCCACAATAGCAAGAAAAAAAGTAAAACACATAAAAAGAAAACTTATCAAACACCATGCAGGAACCTATGAATAAAATTAGCAAAAAAGGGAAAATTCTTATGATACAATATAAAATACAAAAGCATGTACAAAACCACATAGGGGATAATCTACATGTATGTATAAATATATATACATTCACACTGATAGGGTGAAATCTAGAAGCAACTGTATCAAAATATTAATATTCATGACCTCTGAGTTTTAGGATAATGAATAATTTTAATTTTCTTCTTTGCAGGGTATTTTCTGGATTTTCTACAGTGAACATGTACGATCTTTATACTAAAAGTTTAGTTTTTTGTAAAAAATTATGTAAACAACAGTACTTATTTGGAAGTTTAATGCATGAAAGCATCTCTGAATTTGGCCTAAATGCAATGACCATACTAAGTCTTTCTGACCAGACCAGCAAACCAGCAGAATAAGCATTTCAACCATTCTTCATGCTGAATGTGATTACTGTTCCAAGTGATGGGTTTTAAGGGGCTTTTAAATTCAATTTGTGAGTACAGTTAGGCCTCCATAATAATCAACCTAATTCAACCATTATGTAAATCACTGCCTCACAGAGAGGTACCCTGGTGGAGAAAGAGAAAAGACCACAAGCAAGAATACTTAGGAAACAGAATGCTTTGACTAAATGAATGTGATACTTAACAGCAATAAAAAAAAACCTTTAATTCAAGCCTCTGAGTTATATGACCTGCTTTGTCACCTTCTTAAAGATCACTGACATTGAGCTTAATGACCTAGAAGTGTGCAGTGCCTTGGGCCTCCCCAGACATCCATTTCATCTCAAAGCTGAGGAAGGAATGAGGTGGGGGTGGGAGACACCTAAGCCGAGTACACAGGAAACAGGGTCATTCGATGGAGACTGTCATTTGAAAAATAACATGATGATATCAATTTTGTTGCTGTTGTTTTTGCCTAATCATGAAGTCCAAGAAGATGAAAGTTCAGCTTAGCTGGGACTTTGCCAAATATTTATCCTGAGACAGTAGTAGACATATATTTTAAGGCACTGTAATAATAACATGAAAGTCATTCACCAGAGGACCTCACTCACAAAAATAACTTATAAGGAAAGAATACTCTGAATAATAGTAATGCTTCCATAAGTCTTTTGATTATCATATTCTGCTAAAAAAACTTGAAACATTACTTTCAAATATATCTAACAGATCTTACTCCTTGCATTATTATTATTTAGATGAATTATTATTCATGTGAACCTAATGGCAACATAGGGAGAAACTACAAAACCCTCCTAATTAGCTACTCTACTTTTTGCATGATTTTAATTCAGTCTTATATTATAATGCACATCTTTTAAAATTGAGATGTCTAATCAGGAGCTGAAGAACACATTGGATTTCCTCCAAACTAAACCATAAGAACAACTATATGGCTTCTGTACTATCATTTCTTTAAAAATCTGGAATTCCCCTTCCTTACAAGTTGTTAAAACTCATTTCAAAATCCAGTTTTAATTGTATCAGTAAATGGCAGCATGCCATATAGTTCAGGATGAGATAATGTTTTTTTCCTATTAGGAGAACAAAGAGTAGCATCAGGTTTTCTGATGTGGCAGCACACAGTGTCTCAGTGCATCAGCTCATTGATCATTCAACAGATACTTATGAAGTACCTACTACATGTGAGGCACTCTGCCAAATACCATACCCCAAATGTAGCTGCAGCTCTCCTATTCCTGTGTCTCAGTGTGTGCATGCATAAGCACCAATTTACTTTTCTTTAATCAAGAAAATCAATTCAACTCCACTTAGTTTTTGTTCTGCACAAAGTTAGTATCAAAAAGACAGAAGAGTAGATTCTCCTATATCGTGTTTTCACTCATGTATCCCATAAATATGGATTAAACATCTTATTTTCACTCATGTATCCCATAATATGTGGTTTACACTAGTAGCACTTCAATGAAGCATTATTTTCACAGGTAGATCAAAAGGAAGCTTTCACATCCTTGCCTTCTTTCGACCATTTTTCTCAAAGACACACATCAAGGCATGAAAGCACATCCAGGCACTGACAAGTTCTGTGCCCATTACCCAAATACTCCCAGAGGACATTGCCAAGTTGCAAAGCAAAGGCCGGCATTTTTACATTCTCCCTTGAAAGCATCCAGAATTTCCATCTGGTTTGTCTATCACACTCAATGAGGAAAAGAGCAGAAGTAAGACTCCCAAAAGGTTGTTTAATTTACATTAGAGCAAAATTAGAATGCATTTTGGCAGTCCTGAATGCAGGCTATACCCTTCTGATTATAACTCCTACCTTCTACCCTCACAGAGAGTACTGGAAAGCAAATTGCACTAACAACAATGATCACCTCCTATTCTCTCCTCTGCCTTAGAAAGGTTTTGCTTTCCTTTGCTAAATCTAAAATGCCCATTTCTCCATTACCCTCTCACTCATTTCTATTCACTTCCCTTTCCTTCCTTGAGAAGTTGTGCATGTGAGTTAATTAACCTGGTTCCATGTGGAAGCAGCTGAAGAAAACATTTCTTCACAATGTCTTTTAAGCTACAAATGAACACACAAGACACCCCTCTTCTAATTTAAGCTAAGGGCTTGGAAACTTACATCTTTTCCCAGTACTCTGAGTTCAAATTGAGTCTCCTTGAAGTGAACCTTTGTAATCCGAGGCCTAAAAAACAAAGCAGATGGTGTTGCTGCTGTTTTTAAGTATTAACCTTTCAGAAAATCAGGGAAGTATCCAGTGGAAAAAGACTGGTGAATACTGGCTCCTTTATATACTGCTCCATACCCAGTACATACAGCGACAGAGAGATTTCCCCATACACTCTAATGAAAACTCCATTCTCATTGTCCTATGCTTCTCCACTAAATGCACAATGACCTTAGAATCCCTAGATTGTGGCAGTGCTGCCTTCCCAAACACAGTGCAGAGCCATGGGCTTCCCAATCTCTCCAACTCATCCCCATTTGGAGCTAAAAGTCAGAATAGTCCTGGATCCACAGCCCACCAGCACATACTGAAATGGGTGAGAAATCCTACTACACACAGCTCCCAGGGAAAAGAGAGTCTAGAATCACAGTGTCTGAAATTTACAGAGAAAACATATGCTGAGGTGCAACAGGAGAAAACTCACACCCAATTTCACTCATTTATTTATCACCCACTGGAAATATACCTGTTTTCTTTTCCCCAACTCTTTCACTGACACAGGAGTCCCATAAGCCCAAAACATAGAATGCCAACTCTGTTCTCAAGCCATACCTACCAGAAATACTTCCCCACTTGCTTTTTATTCTTGTACACAACAACACCAACCGGAGTTAATCCTAAGAAATACTCAGACTTGTTTTCTCCCTGCAAAAACAAACATATGCCTATAACCACATATTCACATAAAATCTCTTTGTCAAACTATAATTGACCATACAAATATAATTTGTTACATTAATATTGGATTTAATTTTTGAAAGACATCAGCCTAGAAAGCTAGATACACTATGATAGTAGCTAACTTGTTGCTTATTTTTTTCAAAGTTTTAAAAGAAACTTTCTGTTGGCGTTCTTCATACTTGTTACTTCAGTTCATTAAAATGAGCCTGGGCTACCAGTCAGGCCAATGGGACTTACCCAACTTTCCTTACACAGTGGTGTTCAATCCTAGCAACATATTAACTGGAATCACTGTGCAGCTTAAAATGCTGATGCCTGGGCACTACCAGAAACAGTTAAATCAGAATCTCTAATGAAGAGGCCAAAGTAGCAGAAAAAACACAGGACTCCCAGGTGATACTTCTGTACAGTTAAAGACTGAGAACCACTGGCATCTATCAAGGGTGCTTTTGAATGGCTTGATTTATCTCCGATGCGGACAATCATGAAACCCACTGCATCCCCACCCCAACTCTCTCTAGAAAGTTTAGGCAGT
Source organism: Homo sapiens (assembly GCF_000001405.40). NCBI lineage: Eukaryota > Metazoa > Chordata > Mammalia > Primates > Hominidae > Homo > Homo sapiens. The sequence goes on from NC_000005.10 coordinate 112,260,551, forward strand.
CACTAGCAGACACACACTTGAATTTTTTGAAGTCTCTATCATGTTTCTTCCTACTTCCACCTATAACTTTAAGAGTGCTCAAAAATGTAAAAGTATAATCTCTTCTGGTAAAGACTAGAGAACCTTTATTTTAAGGCAATAATAAATCCAAATTTTAAAAACAGGATCTTAAAATGAAAAAGTCATAGAGTAGATACCAAGGACATGCACAGCACTGTTTGTGAGAATGTTATTTCTACTCTAAGATAAATGGTAACCTGCAAAATTATATTCACAAAGAACATAAAGCAATACATTTGGAGGAATACCTGCCAATGCCCACTTTCAGTTCTTAAAATTCAAATCTTAAAGGAATGCACTGAAGAGTCTAATAAATCTAGCTCATTTGCCATAAATTTCTACCATCAACAGAAGGTGATTTCTAATTAGGATAAACATTATACAAATGTAGAAGCATTTTGCAGAAGACTCTCTTTATAAATTTCCTATGGAAAGTTTTCTTTTAAAAACTGAAAACCTAACAAGATTAATGTGGCTAAAGGGAGGGAAGGTAAAACGATAATGATTCTACAGTTTTAGCAGTATTCTTAAAGGACAGTGCTATGAAGCATTAATGACCTAATGAAATTGGAATCTAATATATCAGGGAACTACTTCTTCCCCACAATCTATAGCTTTTATTGCCACATTAAACAGGAATGCTTCTAACTGTAAAAATAATATGAGATTGTTTCTTCTTGGAGGAAATGCTAATGAGCAAAAGACATATACAAAATGAATGCATGAGTGTTATTTGCACTAGATAAAGTTTTATTAGGGTTCTTTAAAAACTGAGTTCCATAATCCAATTGATTAAAAAAAATCAGTCTATAAATACTCTCCAGCAATTCATTTCCTATAAAGAATAAAGTACCTGGCTCATTTCCTCAAATAAAATTTAACTATTGCTATCCACATTCCTCTTAATTCAAAGGCAAAGGCTTTCTAATCTCATTGACATAGAATAATCAATTGGTAGCCTAAGAGAAGTAGCTCAAAGGTTAAAACCCGGATCCAGAACACTCAGTGCAGATTCAGTGTAATTGCTCACTGATGACTATTCAGCAAGTTTTCATAAACCACTGAAAAAAATCTGCAAAAATATTTCTATTAATGCAGTGATACCTACAGTAGGTGGTAACCTTCATATTGACAGAATCAACAGTAGTTGCACCTGGCCTATTGCCTAACGCATCCTTTACCTGGCAAGTGATTGTATTTATGTTTTGCTGCCATAAAATCTATTTTTTGAAAAATCCTCCTGTTTTCTGTCTAATACAGTCAATTACACACCAATTTTTTTTTTTTTTTTTTTTTTGAGATGGGGTCTTGCTCTGTTGCCAGGCTGGAGTGCAGTGGCACGATCTCGGCTCACTGCAACCTCTGCCTCCCAGGTGGTTCAAGCCATTCTCCTGTCTCAGCCTCCCGAGTGGCTGGGATTACAGGCGCCCGCCACCACGTCCAGCTAATTTTTGTATTTTTAGTAGAGTCAGGGTTTCGCCATGTTGGCCAGGCTGGTCTCAAACTCCTGACCTCAGATGATCCACCCACCTCTGCCTCCCCAAGTGCTGGGATTACTTACAGGCATGAGCAACCACGCCTGGCCTATACATCAATTTTATATTGTTTTGATGTTTAGCTAAGCCCTTTGTATCTGTTATCCAGATTGTGTTTTCAAGCCCACTTAATTGTTTTCTACACATGGAAATATAATCACAGATTTTTATGCAAAACTCATTAGGGTTTAATCCACACGAGAGCTGCTTTGTGTTAGAAAAACAGATAAAAAAGTATCATCTGCTTGCTAAACAACAGGACTGCAGCTTTCCTTTGGGAGTCTCAGTGACTTTTTAAGAAAAATGTCATCAGCTTAAAATATTTTGTGTTAATTAAATGTTACTCACATAGACGGGATGGAGGTCAACGCCATACATCTCCAGGGATTTGGCAGTCCTCAAGTAATTCAGCTCAGCCTCAGAAGGAATCTGACCCCTACACCCAGCACAAAAACAAAGAGCCTTATTTTACAGCAGCTACTGCACTTACAGGGATGCAAACTATCTTCATTGTATTCAATGGGAAAACAAATAATACTTTTTACTAATGCAAACTTAAGTCCTTGTATTTCAAGAAGGCCTTTGCTTCTTGGTGACAAAATTTTATACTCTGAAGTGATACTTATATTAATTTCATTTACCAAATCCATTCTGGCTCATTATAGCCTATCCCCAATGTCCCAGCATATATTAAAAATTCTCAGTTTCAGAAACCCCTAAAGAGGTTATTGAGAATATAAGCACTCAAATTAAACACCATCCCCTTCACAAAGAGTAAAATGTCTCTGTGCACCAGCAGCTCTCCATCCAAAGCAAAGGGAACTAGAGCAATGGTCAGCAGGAGGAAGAGAATGGGGCTGCCACCACCCAACTGGGATCATATCGAGATCTCCTGACCACATGTGTAGTTTGAAAATACATTGATTAACGTACAGAGATTGTAAAAAATGCTTGTCATTTTCTTAATACACAGTACAGAATTCTTCCCAAAATCTTCATTGGTGGTAATATAAAGAAAACAGCATTCATTCCTGATGAGGGTGAGCATCAGCCAGAAATCTGCACAGAAGAGTTAAATATGCATGTGCAAGCGAGTGTGTGTGAGTGTGTGAGAGAGAGAGAGGGATTGAGATTTTAATAGATAACCAAAGGAGGTCAAATCTCAAAAATTAAGAAATCCTGCAGTGACATATTTCATTTCAGTCACAATGCACTGGAAAACCACCAACGTACCATACTTTTGAAATCCATGAAGAATGTTCATCAAATTAGACACACCACACTTTGATCAAGCTTTATTCTTAGAAATAACAGTCACAATGTCAACACTATCATCTAAAACACATGAGAGCCTTTACCCAAAGCTCCTTGATAATTTCAATATATAATTGTGCTTTGAAATCCCTAGTAGAATCAGTACTCTCATAATGTGCCAAACACATTGCCCTTCCTAATGTTATAACAAGCACTCTCTGACCATCTACTTCAGCAGAATCTGAAAATGAAGGACTCTACAATCAGGTTGGAGAGCCTTCTAGTGCATGCTAATACAACATAGAGGGCCTCTTTCTCTGACTGCAATTCAGCAGCTGACTTCTGCTTCTACACTCACTGAAACGGATCCTTTAGGCAAACATTTTTTTGTGACCAGATTAATTCTACATTTTTTTCTTTTTTTTTTTTTGAGATGGAGTTTCACTCTTGTTGCCCAGGCTGGAGTGCAACGGCGTGATCTCGGCTCACTGCAACCTCCACCTCCAGGGTTCAAGCGATTCTCCTGCCTCAGCCTCCCAAGTAACTGAGATTACAGGCACATGCCACCACGCCCGGCTAATTTTTGTATTTTTAGTAGAGATGGGATTTCACCATTTTGGCCAGGCTGTTCTCAAACTCCTGACCTCAGGTGATCTACCTGCCTCGGCCTCCCAAAGTGCTGGGATTGCAGGCGTGAGCCACCACGCCCAGCCATGTTTTTTTTCCTTAACTATAATAGATCTGAAACCAAGTATATTCAAGAGGAAGTGTTACATAACAGGGAATAAAGCAATGTTAACCGGTGTAAAGAATTTAACCAAAATAACTATAATGAAATTAAAACTTCAGTGCTATAGGCCATGAATTGAAAATCCTACTAGGGGAGCGTGTCTACTCTCAGAAATGCATGCAGTGTTATCACCATACCCTCAAAGGTTTCACACTGGCATCATCACTATTTCCAGACTCGTTGCTATGGCCTGAATAGGACTTGGCTTATAACCGTGAAGAACTGGGATACTTCAGACAGAGGAAACATTGAAGAATATATTAATGCATTTATGGTTAAAAATTGTTGTGATTAAACATATTTATAGCTGAAAGATTAATTTCACAAGATACTGGTGACTGAAAAAAAAAAAGACTGCAAAATCTAGTATTTACAGAATGATTCCACTATGTAATATCATAAATACATGAACCTATGTATGACAAATTTTCTCTGGGAAATTGTACATACAAAGAGATGTCTGAAAGGCCATTGACCAAAAAATGGTAACTTTACATATTGAAATTACTTTCTCCTTTACACTTTTTAAATTACTGAAGTTTTCGATGAGCATTTTAGAGTTAAAATCAGTTAAACTATACAAAGAGGAGTATTAGAATATTAAATGCACAGGTGAAGAATTTATCATTCTAGAAACTTTTCTTGTGAATATCAGAAGATGATGACTGATGGATGATGCAATAAGACATGGTGTAATGATTCTTACATTAGAGTTTTATGAATCCTTTCTATGGCTTCTTCAAGTTCTTCCTTCTGATCAGGAACAAACCGGTACTCAGATACATATCCTGCAGTATGTTTATATGGGTCATAATCTCCAAGCTCCGCTAAAAAAGAAAGATAACATAGTTTTTTCCATTTTAGGAAAATAGTCCTTAAAACATAGAAATAAAATATTCCTAACATGCTTAAACATTTTTTCAAATGTCTTACTAAAATTCACATATAAGACAACTAAATAATTTTACTAAAACAAATCTGATGAGCATATACGGATGGTAGCAACAAATTCTGGACTTAAAAACAGAAGTTCTTTATTTTTGCATTCCCAAATACTATAATTATATCATCGTTTTTACTTCAATTACTCTTAACAACGTATGTGAAGTAAAATGTTGTAAACAGCATTTCAAGTACAAACATTAGAAATGCTGGAAGTGAAAAACAACCATGACCTCAATATATCCTCTCAGATAATGACACCAAGAAACAGTGCATGTGATTCAATACACCTTTGCCTGAAATAATGATCATGGAAATGCAATACAATGCTGCACATATCCCATTACAATTTACACAAAGAAGCAAAATGATACAAGAAAGCCCACTATATTACTCCTATACAAATGCTTCTTCCTATGTTAATCTACCTTGCAAGCCCCAACCCACTTCATCTATGACATTTTTCCTAGCATATTTCTTCTAGATTATTTTTAGTCTGCAAGTGCCACAAGGGCAAGGACCATGCTATCTTATTCTCCCCACATCTAGCTTGATTCTTAGAAGGTGTCTAATCGTCACTGGAAGTAGTCTCAGCCTCAGTCTCCAAAATGACAATGCATCCTGGAGCCACCCCACACAGCCACCGTATTAACATGAAGAGCTGAAGAGCACTGAGCTCAACACCCATGCCACATGCGGAACCTAGCAATAGCACCTGGCCATGCAGACTCTTCACAACAGCAATGCAGGAGCAATGGGATCTCTGACACATAGAAGCTTGGGAGAGGGTGTGGGGAGGAAAATCAATAAACTCAGATGAGATGTAGATAGAACAGATTGTTAGACCCTCCACTTAATCAAGAATCAATGCTATTCCAGTGACTAAACCTCCATACGACCTACCATAAGGGATTTGTACTAGGCTCCACTTTTACCTGTTCCGAAGGAACACTGAACAAAACTTGAATTCCAAATAAATTCAATTTCTTTTTTTTGCAAAATCTCATGGATAAGAAGAGTTTTAGTATGTAAACTCCCTTTTAAAAATGCAAATACTTTCTCCAGACATTTCTGAGGCAAATATGCTTAAGTGGCACCTACACTGGATGGCATACGCTCCCAGCTGAGCAGCAGTGTTGACGGGACAGGGCAGACGGCCCTGAAGGACATCTTGCTTCACCTGCAAGAAAAACTGATATCTAAAAGAGAAACAAAAAGAGAGATTAACGATCTCTTACACTACTCAAACCTGAGGTTTCGGACCCTGATAATCAAGGTTAACAACCAATCACCTTCAATTAAAATAAAGTCACCCCCCATTCTTGTGTGAGGGGGCTGTTGAGTGAACAGGAACTACTTAAACATACCTTACAGAGGCAATACACGGTTGTCGCTAAAAAGTGCGGCTTTCAAGTTCAACTGCTTGGCTTACTTCCCAGCCCCAGCATTCAGTACCTCTGTAGCCTTAGGCTGCTGCTTAACCTCTACAACAGCCAGCCTCCCCACCTGCAAAACTGGAACAGTTGACAGCATCCACCTCACAGGGTGAATGCAAAGGATAACTCCAAGCTCTTTTAAGCTATCATTACTGCCACTGCCACCACAACATGCTCTTACTGGGAGGAAGAAATCACAAAGACCCAACCTATATTACATAACACTCTGCCTATTATCTGCTCATTCCATGTTGCCAAAAGAAAACCTGTTATAATAGTAATGTCATGCACTGTTCTAAACACTACACGGTAACTCATTCTAAGTAATTTATGTATAACAACTTAGGTTAAGACTTTAAAAATGAAGACAGTATATTATATTCTCCATTGTGCAGATGAGAAAACTGATAGACTCAGGGGTGAAATAACTTGTCCAGGACCTCACAACAAATTAAGCAGCAGAGTTAGAGCTAGAACCCAAGCAATCTGACCCTGGAACTCTATCAATCAGGATGTCATGTAACTTTGATTAGTTTTATTTTTTTTCTTATTCAGCTATTCTGCTAGTGGACTGAGAGGGGCCAGAGGTTTATGAACCAACATAATTAACCATCCACATCATCCTCAGATGCTAGCACTTACACATATGCACACACACTCTCACACACTTCAGCCTGTCCTTTTGTGACTTCTGTTTTGTAAGGTGACTCGATGTCACTGGGAAGGGAAGAAAAAAAACAAAGGAAATGAACTATAATAATCAGCTATATTAAATATCTCTTCTCCAAATGCACACAACCAAAGCACTTAGTGAGGAAATGTTACATGTGTTAGATATCAGACACCACATTGATTATTTCAGGAAGATTGGCATCAACTTTTATTGCAACCATATGTTTCAGAGAAAATTTGCTCAATGTCCCATGTTTCCCCACTGCCCATTTCAGTAAATGGCACCCCCGCCTTCAGATGTCCACGTAAAATAAACCTGGGAACAACGTGTAATCATCCCTGGCACCCACATTCAATCACCAAATATGCTGTTTCTGAAATCTATACTTCTCTCCATCCCCTACACCAGGTCACTCTCTCCTAAACTTCTAAAACCTCCTCCTAACTGTTCTGCCATCACTCATACTTACTTTCCTTCCAATCCTCCCAAGAGGTAAGCAGGATTCTTAAGATGTAAACAGGATCATGTCACTCTTTCAGTTAAAAAAAAAACAACAACAACCCTCAAAAGACTTCCCTTTGCCTTTAGGATAAAGTTCAAGCTCCTTAAGATAGCTTGTAAAACTGACTTCTTCTTACTTCTGCTTACTTCTTGGGTCACTTCTTGCTGCTGATCAGTGACCACCCTGTTCCATAATTTACACACCTTTTTCCAACCCTATTTAACTATTTTCAATTCCCTGAATGTTCACCTGAGCATTAAATCCACTTGATAATGATCATCTGTGCTCCTCTTGGAAAGGAGAAAAGCAGAGTCAAGTAAAATTAGGAGAACTTAAAATACAAAACCTTATAAACAAGAGTGGGCATGGTGGCTCATGCCTGTAATCCCAGCACTGTGGGAGGCTGAGGCAGGTGGATCACCTGAGATCAGGAGTTCAACACCAGCCAGGCCAACACAGTGAAACTCTTTCTCTATTAAAAATACAAAAGTTAGGAGTGGTGGCGCATGCCGGTAGTCCCAGCTACTTGGGAAGGTGAGGCAGCAGAATCACTTGAACCCAGGAGGCAGAGGTTGCCATGAGCTGAGATTGCGCCACTGCACCCCAGCCTGGGTGACAGAGCAAGACCCTGTCTCAAAAAAACAAACAAAAAAAAAACCTTATAAACAAAAGAGACAACTGTGAGAATTATCACTGCTTGCTGCTGGAAACTTGCATTTTACTACACCCTCCTCCTTCTCTATTGGCATCTTCAAATTTCTTTTCCTGAAGTGTATTTTTTTAAGAAATGGGTCAGAGATGCAAATTTCTCTTCCTCTATTAAGACTTTGTGCACAGTGGTTCACACCTGTAACCCCAGTATTTTGGGAGGCTGTGGAAAGAGGATTGCTTGAGGCCAAGAGTTTGAGACAAGCATGGACAACATAGTGATAACCCCATCTCTACAAAAAACAAATTAGCCAGCCAGGTACATGCATGTAGTCACCGCTACTTGGGAGGCTGAGGCAGGAGGATCGTCTGAGCCCAGAAGGTTGAGGTTGCAGTGAACCATAACTGCACCACTGCACTCCAGCCTGGGCAACAGAATAAGACCTTCTCTCAAAAAAAAAAAAAAAAAAAAAAAAGACTTTAACATCTGACTAGACAATCAAATCTTTTGCCAAATACAGAAATGACAGACATCTGATTCAAAGACAAAAGGAAAGAGGAACAGAGGAACAGAGAGATTAAAAATATGTATTAGAAAACAAAGAGCTGAAATACAGACAAACACATACAAAGAAACAGGAGCCACATCACATTAGTAACTGCATTCCCAGTATCTAGGGCTCAGCACATAGTAGCTGCTTAATAAATACTTCTTGATTTGCAAGTTGGATACATGGATAAACAGACAAAATTCTAAAAACTGGTAACATCATTTGCTGTCTCTGAGAAATTCATAAAGAAAAAAAAATATCTACTCAAACTTCCCTGGATAGCCTGCCTTTTAAAGATATCACAGATCTTTAACTCACTGCATTAAAAAAAAAATCAAAAACTGAAGGCAAACAATTTTTAATTTAAAACTTGATTTTTATTATAGCAAGCATCTTAGTAGAGTCATAAGGCAAATTTGTGATAAAGTAAAATCATATTTTCATATGTTAAACATTTTATAGCGTCTCAGGGCCTATTTTAAAGTAACTATATATTGCTTATTTTGTATATTTTATGGGGTTTATAGTAAATTTAGTATTTTATTTAAATTAGAACAAGTTAGAGTTGCTGAGTCTTTCCTTCTGTGTCACTCTGATTAAAGCTATGATGGAATGCTTGAGTCCTCATTTATCTCTGGTTTTAATTAGGATGAACCTATGTGCCAGTCTGCCTAGGAGAGTACTAATTTATGCCTATTATGAATATATAATTATTAATAACTCACTTCATCATTCTCTAAAGTGTCAGGAGTTTGGACAATAAATTATACTGTGACTCTAGTTACATTGTACCATACTGGGGAAAAATGCTAACTAAAAATATCTACTTAACAAGGAAGTTTCCAGAATACATTGTGGTACACAGCAGAGGCTTCATGAAGCAGTTTCTGGTTACCTCCTTATGTAAACTAACAAACCGATGTATATGCACTGCCCCTGAGATTTTGAGTTATAGGTGGGGAGGAGCATTCTGTCTTCCACTCTATCTGTACTTAACACACTGCCACCACCACCAGCACAACACGAGAGACGGGCCTGAAATATTGGCCTCACAGTTTTCTATTTATCTAATGTATGTTGAAACGAGCTAAATTGACACCAAGGATGTACAAGTTGTTGAGGACCATTAACAATTTAGCAATTAGAGGCAAGAAGAACAGACCAGGACTTTCTTAAAGAAGGGGCAGAGAGACAGAAGCTCAAAACAGAAGGCTCCTGTAAGATTCCTGGCCAAGAACAGTCATGAATGCTTACACCAAAGAATCCTGCAGTGCACCTTCTAATGACTTAAGACCCTGCTGAGAAAACTGAAGGATGTAGGGACAGGGAGGAGTTTGATTTTAGGTGCTAGCTGAATGTGAAACAGGAGAACCTAGAGGAGAGTACCAACCTACACAGAGGTAATAAGGAGTGTGATCGTTACCTTCATCCCACAAAGAGCAGGAACACAGCATTTTATCTAACCAGTCTTGATAAAACTTAAATATGAGAGTCAAAGGGAAACATTTAAATCATAACATGATATTAAATAATGCAGAAAAATGGCACATATGACTCAGCAGAAAAACAGTAGAGAAAATCATAACTCTTTAACCTCTAAAGTTTAAAACCAATGATGAAAATATGGAAACAAATAGCAGTAACATCACCTTACATTTATATAGTTCTTTAAAGTTCACAAAGTCCTTTCGCTTCCATAATGACATGTAACCCTCAACTCTGAGGTAGATGAGGACCATTACCTTCAGTGAAAGGAGGAGACAGGGACTCAGGAAGTAAGCATAGGACTGAAGGTCACACAGGAAGTGAGGAAGCCAAATAAAACAAACCCATCTTCACCAAGGGAAGATTCTGGGTTGCAAAAAGAAGACATGAACATAATATCAATCCTCAGCAAAATGCTGTGAAATATTATTTTAAAAGCTAAGAAAAAAATCGAACACCTGTTTTGAGACTCTAAAAAATATTATGAATGAGTCATCTGGAACTAACATTATTTTCTACTTGTAGAAAGAGTTTTAAGATCCTTAAAAGTTCAGGGACATTCCAATGGCATTTCAGATAGGGCTGTCAGCAAGACAACTGACAGATTCTCTCTTCGGGCAGACTGAAACCAGATCTTGCCCTGGTCACCACTGAAACTCCTTTTACTCAGCACACTGTAACATGGTACTCCAGATAGTTACTGAATGAAGTGTAAGGGCATTCTGTCTTGACATACAAATTCAAGAAATGCAGGCTAGAGGGGATAGTAAAATGATTCATAGTTAAATCAGCACCTACAATAAGAAGGATATGATTACTGGATTGACTTAAACATGCAAGAAGACCTATCTCAGGGCTCCAAGCTGGTCTTTTCCAAATGTTTTAATCAATAATTTGAAAATATAAAACAATAACCATTATTTCCATGTCAGCTACCTTTATCATTATTGAACACTTACATCTTTGCATTATGGTAAGTACTTTGCAAGTACACTCTTACATATTCCTCCAAGCATCTTTTTGAAGAAATACTGTAATCCCATTGCACGGATGAAAAAACTGAGACTTTACAAAAGGCTATGCAATCTTCTCAGGATTACAGAACTAGTGAATGACAAAGCAAGGATGCAGACCTCACTCAGCCTTTCTGATTCCCAAGCCTGTCTTTTAAACAAATGTATGTATTATACTTATCAAATCTGGAAGATACAGAGCTATGAAGGACACACAATACAGGGAAGGATGTCATGTTTTGAATCAGAACTGAAAATAAGTTTAACAGCTCTCCTGAGGACACGAATTATCTACAGTACTAATAAAGAATAGAGAGATCAGATTTATTCTGCATAGACCATCAGGGAATTATTATTTCTTATTGAATTTCTTAGTGCTTTTCAAAGGAGCTTTCCTACCTAAAAGTGCTTAATAGGAAGCTGGCTGATGTGTCAGAAATGTTCTACACGGGTGGAGTTCAGAATATACGACCTGAAAGTCCCCCCAGTTTCATTTACTTCAGAAAACATCTTAGAACACAAGCGGGGACTCCAAGTTGATGATTCTATTAACGTACATTTTTCATAATCTGAAACTTTATTTTCCTATCACATTCATTCCAGGTATTTTTTCCTACATCAGTGTCCTTCTGAAATACTGCATATATTAATAGTATGACCATATATATGCACGAGAAGTTCCCTGTAGCATTATTTGTATTTTTTTTTTTTTTGAGATGGAGTCTAGCTCTGTCGCCCAGGCTGGAGTGCAGTGCCGCAATCTTGGCTCACTGCAACCTCCGCCTCCCGGGTTCAAGCGATTCTCCTGCCTCAGCCTCCCAAGCAGGAGTAACCGGGAGTACAGGTGCCCGCCGCCACGCGCAGCTGATTTTTGTATTTTTTTAGTAGAGACGGGGTTTCACTGTGTTGGTCAGGCTGGTTTCGAACTCCTGACCTCGTGATCTGCCCGCCTTGGCCTCCTAAAGTGCTGGGATTACAAGCGTGAGCCACTGCACCTGGCCCTAATTTTTTTAAAAAAGGAAACAACCTGGATGGCCAAAGCATATAGTTAATTATGGAATACAATGTAGGAGTAAAAAGACCGGGTTACAGCACTTTGGGAGGCCAAGGCAGGTGGATCACCTGAGGTCAGGAGTTCAAGACCAGCCTGCCCAACATGGCGAAACCCTGAATCTACTAAAAATACAAAATATTAGCTGGGCATGGTGGTGGGCGCCTGTAATCCCAGCTACTCGGGAGGCTAAGGCAGGAGAATCACTTGAACATAGGAGGCAAAGGTTGCAGTGAGCTGAGATTGCACCACTGCCCTCCAGTCTGGGTGACAAGAGCAAAACTCCGTCTCAAAAAAAAAAAAAAAAAAGACTGGGTTAGATGGCGAAAGAGGCCATACAATATGTATGAAATAGTAACATGTCAAAAAAAATACATAAAAGATTATGTATAAGCACGTTTATGATAGCATGATCATTCATACCAAAAAATTACAGACAACCTAACAGCCAACGCAGAGTAGGCTGGTACAATTTTCCAAAGAACTAAATTAAGATAAACACTCAACTTGAAAATGCTGGCAGAAGTATGCTCTTCCTTAAATAGCATATATCTGGAGATTTTGCTTGTTGGTTTCAGTTCTTGCTTTTGCCAAAATTATCTCATGTGACTCCTCTTTTTCAGGTACATTAATGGTAATATATTCATGCAAATCAATAATAAAATGAATAATGTGCATATATCAATGTATTAAACGCACATTTAACTTACCTAAATTCAACCATATGTTTTAGGCAACAAATCATGGACACTAATTGCAAGCCATCTATGTCACTGTGTTCTTAACTACACAAGCTGGTCTAAAACTTTCAATACAACTGGTTGTACTGAAAATATTGTGGGTTGTAAATTATACAAAAATCCATGTATTCCGTTAATGAGCCATCAGTAGATTCTGTTGGGAAATTCCTGTTCATGTGTGTGGTGAACAGAGGTGAAGTAATGCATTATAAAACAATGATCTTTTTTATCCCTTCTTAAAATTAACTCAAGTATTTTTGGACCCTAACCCCTATTGAAGATATAATTCCACTATACATCTAGAAAAAGGATAGAATGAAATAAGTATTAGCATTCATCAAACATAGTACGAGACACGGACAATCATAAGAGCTTTATATATATTATTCCATTTAATGCTTACAAAAACCTTGAAACAGGTACATCTCCAGTTTTACAACTGAGGACACTTAGGCACAGGCAGAGATTACTCACAACCTGAATATGAAGGACTTTCATTTTATTTTTTAAAAAATGCTGTCCCCTTGCAATTCCCTAACGAGTTACAGATATAAGTGTATTTTTTTATACCACTTGAATTCAGTTTCCCTCTGAAACTCTAATGAAAATACCATCCCTCCCCTCAACATATCCTCCCCATCCTAATGGCCCTTTACCCAGAAAGATGTGCTCTGCAAAAGCTTAAACTGGCATGTCTACTTTTCAAAGTGCTCATTAACAATGTGATAATGAACAATGTGAATGCAGACATCTGCTTGGTTCTAAAAATGAGGTCTACGCTGGCACAGTGACTCACGCTGGTAATCCCAGCACTCTGGGAGGCCAAGGCAGGAGGATTGCTAGAAGCCAGCAGTTCAAGATCAGCCTGGCCAACATAACAAGACAAAAAAAAAAAAAGTATTAGCTAGGTGTAGTGGCACACACCTGTAGTCCCAGCTACTCCTGAGGCTGAGGCGGGAGGATTCTGTGAACCCAGGAGTTTGAGGTCACAGTGAGCTATGATTACACCACTACACTCTAGCCTGTGTGACAGAGCGAGACCCTGTGTCTTAAAAAATTAAACAAATACAGATTATGAAATATAATCTTTTCATCAATCAATCAATCATTAGAGTTCAAAAGATTATATCTTAAGTTGAGGGATAAAATAAAACAAAGTAAAAATGAGGCCTAAATATGGCACTTCAAAGTGGGATGAAAAAGGTCCAATTAGCCTACCCTCTTCTTATTCTTCTGTGTGCAGTCCAGAATAAAGAAAAAAGAAAGTCTGAGACAGATGAAAGCATGGAATAGAAACAAAACCACAGGCTACCAAAGACATGATTTTCAACTTTTTTAAAGGAGGTATTAGGCTTTATTTTAGCCCCTAATATGGGTTCACTGGGAAAACTGACCACCTACGGTTAAGTTAGGGAATATACTTTTGTTTTTCCTACCACATGCAGCTAGGTCACCAGCAGAATAAGTTAAAATATAACTGGTCTGTTCCTTATGAGCCCTTTCAGTTGTTGACATGTACTATTTTGACAACCTAATTAATACCAATAGGAAATTCTGTCTTACTAATATCAAATATTTGGTGACAAAGGTGAAGTAATGCATTAAAACATTGGTTTCCATCCTTAATACTAAAAGCAAAATTATCTTCTCATTTCCTATAGAGATAAATGAAACACCTGGAGAGCTAATATTTAAGCTACAACCAATTAAAAAGAAATACCTGGCTGGGCAAATGTATATTTAGAAGTACAAACTGAACATCAAAATATCCTTCCTTTAGGCAGTTCAAATAACTTCGATATGAATACAAAGGCTGAATGCATGCTTAACAATAATGATACAGAAATATTTCATCACAGCAGATGCAAAATGTATCATCATGTCACCCAGGTTCACGCCATTTTCAAACACATCTATCATCAGACACTGATCAACTTCATGCAATGCTAGTTTAAATTTTACCCTCTAAGGAGATGCGTTACAAAATGCAGGTAGACACACATCCAAACGTTTAGCCCAATTTTAATTTGTTTTAAATAAAGCTTTTTGTATATGCAATGCATGTATCTGTTCAAAAACAAAGTCAATACTATACCTGGTTATTTCTTCTTTAAGTTTACATGGATCTTCAGCATAGAATTTAATACCAAAATACAAAGTATATGGAGGTCCAGCTAAAATAAGAAATAGAAATTAAATTTCACTAAAATCATAAATTAGTCAAAGTTACAGTATAATATTATACAGCTATTTACAATTACACTCCAAGATTGTCTAAAGAAACAAGAAAACATAAGATAAAAACAGCAAGGTTCAGAACTGTGACGATAGGACCTCGACACATACACACACACAGATAAAAGACAGGGCCAAATACACCAGAATGTTGCTGGTTCTTATGTCTGGTTGGTGAGGTTATGGACAATTTTTATTATATATGTTTTTCCCATTTTCTATAGTATATATGTAATTTTTCATAGTGAAGAAAGAAAAAAAATAAATGGTTTAAAAAACCACCCACCTATCATTTCATTAAAAAAAAATAGTTTTTAAACCTATCTGCAAAAAGCTGAAAACAACTTAAATGCTCAGCAGCATGTGGACTATTTAAGTCAGCCCCAGCCACAGGACATATACCATGCAAATGTTTAAACAGACAGAAGGGCATCTGCATGTGCTCATGTGGAAAAGACCAACTATCTAAATTTCCGAGCACAGAAATATCATACCTTTTGTGAAAAAGTATCAGTTAATATATATTTGAGTTTTTTTTCCTGGAAGAGTACAAAAAAAATTACTAAATGGCAAACTCTGGGAAGAAGGGCTAGAAACATTCTATCCTTAAACTAATTCATTAGAATTTTCTTATGATAACTCTTACCTTTTTTTACAGGAAAAAAGTCATCAGTGAGGCTACATAATAAAATTAGGGACAATATTTGTTTCATTCTTAAACATTTCTGAATCTAAAAATGTGTTCTCACGTATTTAAGAAAACCTTTCTCATCTCATTAATTTACCAAAGAAGAACTATGCCTACAAACTTTTTTTTAAAATCAGAAACAAAGCCTGGAATTGTATGTACATGGGCAAATAAAAAATAAACACTCATATTGTGCAAGAAGACACAAACCCCTTGGGTGCTGAACACATTATATTATGCTTTTACTAGAAATATTTTTATTTCTGAGGGTATCAATCTAATCTGTACTGTTTCCAAAAGTGCATATTTCCAAGCTGTGCAGTAACTAGATCTAATACACTTTGTTTTTAAAAGGATTTGTTTTGTTACCTGGTATACCAATTAGTGGTTACGGGTGTTAATTTTGTTTTCCAACAAAAGCTCTCCCACAAATTAAAAAGAAAAGATGTGAAGCATGCATCTCAGTAAAAGTCTTCGATACTATCTAAACTGATAAAGTAACCCCAGTCTCGCTATTCTTAACTGAATAAATAAAGTCACAAATTTAGAAACTGGGGAAAAGAAATTAAAATGAACAAGAATAAAGGTATCATGTATTTATAACATATGAACTATGTTACTATTTATTAATATTACATACACATACTTATGTGTGCAGCACCCTGGAACCCTGTTCCTGGCATGTGGGAGACCATCAAGATGAGGATCCTGCCCCTCCCCTCATCTGTGCCTTCCTGTGTAAAGACACTCCTTATGCTACAGCTTTTTTAAAAACTAAACTTTAAAAGAAACTGCTAGAATTTCTTATTATTGGAGTTGATTCCTTATGTTTAACTTTTATGTTTGTTTAACCACTGTGTTTGTATTTCTGACAAATACACCTCTATCCCTGAACATAGATGTCAGGGAGGCACAGACTATTAAATATTTAGAAGAGCCAGGAAGTCCACCCTCAGCTTATCCGTCTGTGTCAATCAAGCTCCATGTTCCTGAGCAGATGGGTCTGCCTGTGCCCGCAGGCAGCTGGGGTTGGTACCTAGGGGGCGGGGAGGAGCACAGATGCTGCTGAGATGGTGCACAAAGGGAAGAGGCCTTCTCCAGGCCTCAGAGCTGCTTCTATTCTTTGGAACATGACAGATTACACCCTATTCACCAAGCCCACGCATTTCAAATGTTCAGTATGAACAGTTAAGCAAAAATGTTAAAAGTACACAGTTAAAAACATTAGGTTTTGGCTAATTTTCTCTAAGGTCTTCTGGCCCAAACTAGACCTTCATTTCCCATTCACATATAAAATGGCTGTGTTCTAAATATAAGGCATTATTACCATTTGGTTACACTTCATAATGTACGAAAATGTTTCATAAACATTTGATTCTCAACAACAAAAACTTGGGAACATATGCAAGGCACATTAAACTCCAAGGAGTTAAACAACTTGCCTAAAATCACAGGGAAGAAAAAAAAGTTTGCTATCATCTAGGGCTCAGCACTTTGGGGTGCACCATTCTATACAGCTTCTCAGGGAAATACAAAATAATAATACCTTTAGAGTGAGATAATACTCTCATATGCATCACTGTTTCAGAAAGCAATCAAAGGCTATAGAAATGAACATTTTGGACAAGGATATGTCTAGCCAGATATTTTTTGGCTCCCTATTCTAAGACTGACTACAAAAAAGTAAGGTGCTGATAATTCAAATTACAAAATTATTGTCTTGAATCCACATCATTCCATGGACTCAAACGTTTAAGAAACTCTTATGTAAAGTGAAGTTAATATTGTTTCACTTTAGCAAAAAATACAGAAGCCAAAAACTGGGAATCCTCTATATTTTGTGTAGACTAATTTTGAGGTCTTTGATAAGGAGTTTCTCATTAACTCAAGGAGAAATAAATCAAGATTAACTATAAGCATTCTGGTAACTAGCAAATGTTCTGTCATTTTTATAGATTCTCTTTCTGACTAATCTATTAGAGATTTGATAGCCATTTTCCTTCACTATCAAATAATTTCATGAGATAAAATGTAAGGATTCTTCAGTCACTAACGTTTCGTCAATTATAATACCAGTTGTTTTATTCTTACTATACATCAATTTTTTTTTTTTTGAGATGGAGTCTCGCTCTGTCATCCAGGCTGGAGTGCAGTGGTGGGATCTCAGGTCACTGCAACCTCCGCCTCCTGGGTTTTAAGCCATCCTCTCTGCCTCAGCCTCCCGAATAGCTGGGATTACAGGCACTCGCCACCACATCTGGCTAATTTTTGTATTTTTAGCAGAGACGAGGCTTCACCATGTTGGCCAGGCTGGTCTTCAACTCCTGACCTCAGGTGATCCACCTGCCTCAGCCACCCAAACTGCTGGGATTACAGGCATAAGACACCACGAGTCTTATGCAAATTTTTAATATTGCATTTTTAGAATGAAAAAGTGACTGCATTATAGACTGATACTTAAATAAAATATTTCATACCATGTAAATAAGTAGACACTTTAAATGTGCTTAGGAACACTTTAATAATGCACCTTAAAATAATTAACATTTTTTCATCACCTTGATAGAAATATCAACTTTTCCTATAAAAGAAACCTGTGAGTTTATTTTAAAATAATTGGCTGGGTGCAATGGCTCACACCTGTAATCCCAGCACTTTTGGAAGGCTCAGGTGGGTGGATCACCTGAGGTCAGGAATTCGAGACCAGCCTGGCCAACAAGGTGAAACCCCATCTCTACTAAAAATACAAAAAAAAAAAAAAATCAGCTGGGCATGGTGGTGGGCGCTTGTAATCCCAGCTACTTGTGAGGCTGAGGCAGAAGAATTGCTTGAACGCAGGAGGCAGAGATTGCAGTGAGCCAAGAGCTCGCCACTGCACTCCAGCCTGGGTGCCAGAGCAAGATACCGTCTCAAAAAAAAAAAAAAAAAAAAAATCATTCCTGAAATTTTTCTGGTTTTCCAACTGGTATTTTTTTAATCGGTTCAAATATGCTAGAGCTGTAACTTGTAAACTCCAGTGGTTTCCACTACAGAGGTGGAAAGGCGATGAGAAACAACAATGATGCTGACATTCATAGAAACAGGACTTTCGGATGGCTTTGCAGTCCAGGTTTCCAGTTCCTTTTGGAAGCAGAGCTACATTCCTGCCCTTGGATCCATGGAGCATCGCACAACCAATACTATCACAGGAAACAAGCTGACATGCACAGAAAATACAGACTCAGAATGGGGATAATGAATGCCAGAAGAATCCACTCCGTTTTGATTAGCAATAATTCACACAGTTCAGCAAAATGCTTTAATGGGGAACAGAGTTTCAGTTTAGGGAGATTAAAATGTTTTGGAGATGGACAGTGATGATGGTTGCACAACAACGTAAATGTACCTAATGCCACTGAATTGCACACAAAAATGGTTAAAAGGATCCATTTTATATGTTATGTACCTTTTATTTCAATTGAAACAGACAATTTTTTTAAAAAGAGTATTTTTTGCGCACTTAAGGAGCCTCTGTTTGTGCTTATAAATAAAAACTTGGGTTCTGGAAATTAAGATTAAGGAATATATACTTAATTATATTGCATCTCCTTATAATATTTGTATTGATAAAACCAAAAAGCTAGCTCCCAAAAATGGTCTCTCTCTGAAGACCACTTTTCAGATCACAAAGGCACCTCTTACTTACTGGCTTAGGAAACTGAGTGGTCTGAATGGCAAAACCATGCCATAACCCAAGAAACTCAAGCTCTTTAAAAGCTTGGACATTATGACCCATCCCTGCAGCCCACCTACCACCCCCGTTAATGTCTATTTGCCTTTTTTGTTTTAAGGTCAAATTTTAAAGACAAGCATACAGAAAAACCACAGACAAAATCAAGGAAAGACCTGCCTCTAGGAAAAATTCCATACTAAGATCCACTCAGAAACTGATTAAATTTAATCTGACTTTGGAGAGGGCCTAGCAATGCACACAATACACACATTCCCATATTCTGGTACTCAAGTACTAGTATTCACTTCTTTCTCCAGTACTAAAGCCCACTTCTGCACCCAACTAATCATGGACTTTGTCATCGTTTTCAAGCCACCCTTTAACAAAGTAAAAGCTAAATACCTACTGTTGATCAGTTCTTTGTGTTCAGCAAGGGTTTTTGCAGGATCCAGCCAATACTGTGTGAGGAAGAAAAGGACAATTAAAGAAATTAGTTGCTTTTCATTAGCTTTTACTTCAAGAATATTTGCAAAATGTTATTTAAACAACATTTTAAAACTTGGTCAGTTAAACACTTCTCTCATATACACACACAAACATACATAAGAGTTTTCTGCAGCAAGAACAGTAAAAGAAAAAATAGGCCAGGCACGGTGGCTCACACCTGAAATCCCAGCACTTTGGGAGGCAGGGGAGGAAGGACTGCTTGAGGCCAGAAGTTTAAGACCACCCTGGCCAATATGGCATGACCCCATCTTTTAAAAATAACATTAAATTAAAAATAAAATACAAAGAGAAAGATGATGCTGACGTTGGAAGAGAGGCAAAGAAGAGCAGCAGTACTTGCTGGGTCCCTGGTTGAATTATCATACTGATTATAATGTGACATCCAAATGCTTACAAGTGACTTCTATTTTTGGTGGGAAAATAATGGCCTCAAAAAAAATGTCCTCCAAGTCTCTTTCCAAAGTCTCCATCATCCCAAGCACTGCTCCCCTTAGAGCCATGTCTCTTCCTAATACGTCCTCACCATCTTTGCTTCCAGTCTCATCCCTACAGGTATTGCTGCTAGGTGTTAGGAAGAAAGCAATCAAATCGTCATTAAGGATCCAGGAGAGCAGTTCAGCACAGTGGCTGAGGGCCTGAATCCCAGGGCAGACCCATAGAGAGTCTGTTCTGACTCTCCCCATGTCATTGCCATGTAACTTAGGACAAGCAACTGGACACCACTGGACCTTCCTCATAAGGTTCCTGTGCAGATTAAATAAGTTAATCCAGGTAAAGTCTTTAGAATAGCCCCTAGCTCAGGCTACACATGCTAAGAATGATTAGGTTACCTCTAATAACTGCCTTTGGCCAGTCTAAGATACCTACTTATTAATTCAAATTAACAGTTAATGAACAGAATTTCAAGTGGTGGCAGGAGAATTCGGGGTCCTGGGGAGAGGCCTTCCTTTAAATCTCACAATTATTAAGTAGAATTATCGAAGGAAAGAGATGAGGTAAGCCTCTAGCTTCGCCTCTCCATCTGTGGGAAGAGCAGGGCAGAAGCCAAGGAAGCACAGAGGGCACTGGAGTTCCCACAAAAGCAGAGTCAAAGGGATAAGGGCTGCCCTGGAGGGTCAGGGGAGGGCAGAGATGGAATCGCTCCCACACTCTCCTAGCCAGATGCTGGGGACCCCCAGGGCCAAGCCACTCAGTTTCCATTTCCTCGTGCTCCTTAATGAAGAAGGGGCAATTCCCACCACAGCGAGGTAGGAGCTGACCCACTTTGAGCCACGTTCCATCCAGCACTCATGCGCTGGCGCAGTTCCCCACTTTCCTTCCCCTCAGTTGAGGGCAGAATGCTTGTTCTGCTATGTAACGGTAGCAATAATTATAAATGGCAATTATAATGCTTTATGCAATCCCCTTACCCTTTATTCCTAATTATGAATGCAATTATTCATACTATGAATACTATGACTATGAATACAACTGTTGTAGTCATTTTACTGTAAGATTTTATAACTATACTAAACTCTATTCATGCATATATAAGCTTCATTATTTGTCACTCACAGCAGTTTCCATTTTTTGACTTTTTTTTAAAAAAAAGTAGAGTAACCAACATATCTAAGTGTAGCAACTAAAAACTAAAAATAAAAACTAAAATGTTCATTATTCTGGTTTTCATCATGTCTTATTTTTCAAAGGTCTAGAATCACTCACTTTTAAAACAGAAAGTGTATTTGAGGCAGAGGATGTGTCAGTGAAATGCTCTTGGAGCCCACAGCGACTAAAAATGAGGCTTTGGTGTTAAAATTATGATCCCCAGGGAAAGTGTAGCTCATTCAAGTAGAGTAAAATCAATCCAAACGTTAAGCTGTGTGTTGGACACAACGCAGACCCATCCCTTTACATATATAAAGCTGTGGGTTCTTCATGAAATGGAAACATGAGGTGAGGGGACTGTTTCTTGCCATTCATGTTAAACAAAAAGGTTTTACTATCCCCTGAATTTTCCAATGAAGAGAAAACCAAGGAAAACAAACGCAAATACTCATTAACACTTGCATTCGGTTTCCACTGCTGCCGTAACAAATTACCACAAGCTTAGAGGCTAAAACAACACCTGTTTATTATCTCAGAGTGCTGAAAGTTAGTGTCTTTCTTTGCTTCAAATTTCACAAGGCTAAAATCAAGATGTCAGCCTGCTGGGGTCTTGGAGAGCTGGTTGGTTAGGGGACCGTATTCCCTAGAGCACAGTAAGGGAGAGGGCTTATGGATGCGTTATTAGAGGCTCTCCCAGTTTCTCCAGGTGTCAAGGCACATGTAACATTGGGATTTAATTTCACGCCCTACGCTACACTTACACATGAAGTGTCAATATGTGCTTGTGGCAAGAAGGGAAAAAAGGAGGCTTTGGTCTTATTACTGTCTGTCTAATCTTGTTCTGAAACTAGTAAGGGGCAGAAATCAGAGTTTTAAATTTCTCCTCCTATCATCATCATCATCCCAAAAGACAACCTTTGTAATTTTTTTTCAGATTTTTTGATTCATTTTGTTTTGTTTTGTCTTTGTTTCCTTGTCTCCAGAATGCTTTTCAGTCACTAAAGCCAGCTAAAGAAAATAGGAAGAAAAAATTTTAACTACATATAATGGGAAAAACTGGTTAATCTATCAAAAATTTTACATTAATGATAATCTGTTCTATTTTAAAATAAATCTCTTTCCTTGAGAGTGATTAAATTTGAGAGGTGAAAAAAGTAAAATAACAGTTTCAAGAAAAGTTAGAAATTACAATTCTGCAGCACGAAGCAGCAGCAGCAAGACTCAGTCAAAGGCTATTCAATCAACTCACTGCACATTTGCTATGCTAAGCATCACCCTAGAGCCGGCCACACACAAATCTCATTTGATCAAAATGGAAACCAGGGGTTACAGAGGTCAGACAATGATAAATGCCCAAGAACATAAATAATAAACACAAGTCACCAGGTTTCAGAAGCCAAGATCTTGAAATGTAAAACCCACTTACGTTCAACCAAGGGAAAGATGTGACCTTGGAACCAAAGCAGCCATGCTATGATGGCACTTGTCACCATTCATTATCAACAAGCAATCAAACAGAGCACATGGAAGATCAGAGTGAAACACAGCAGCCTGTTACTCTATAGTTTAAGAGAAAAAAGGGCACAAAAAATTGCCAATGAACACAATATCCCTGTTTTAAGGAATACATCCAGAATACTGGTCATGGAGTGCCAATATTCTAGAGGTAGACTCTAAAACTGGGATATCATTCATTCATTCATCACTTATGGATATCCACTATACATGTTCTTTACATGACATGTCAGACACTGTCCTTAGTATGGGAACACAAAGTTGAATGAGACCCGTGACTAACCTCGCACTCACAGCCCAGCAGGAGACACACAGCCATGTAATTACAATACAATGTGGTGAGACAATAATTACTTATATAAGATGAATACATATGAGATAATAAAATCATGTACAAGGAAAATTAACTGCAGGGTGAGTATACAATGGCTTTACTAAAAAAATCGTTAAATAGCATGTTCAAAAAAACTTTCTCAAAATACATAAATGGGAGATAACAGAGCCTTAAATCTGTATAAAGTACATGTCTATCAGCTCAACTGCTCTTAAAGCAAGTGAGTAAATTTCCATGTAATAACACAGAATGTAATACTCTAAGTCCTTTACAATTGAACACCCTATTGAAGTCAGTGTTGCCTAACAGCTAACAAATACTCAGCTAAGCAATCAATATTCATGGAGAACTTCCAGAAAGGGAAGTAGTCCATTCAGTCTTTCCACCTGCCCCACGTGAGGGGAAAGAGGAGCAGAGAGCTGAGAATCATGCAGTGTGGTGCCCTAAGAGACTGTTCTTTTGGAGTCTCCTAGAGTTCTAATAGAATAAACCCTAAATTTTTTTAAATAAAGGACAGCATGCAATAATTGGAGCTGTGCTGCATCTTATTTCACACTGGGTCCAATGTTGATTCAGAGAATGGTTTCTCTGAATTGTACCCTGGTGTGCTGCCTCTTGCATAGCCAGATGGTCACGAGGAGAAATAGCCCTATCTCTCATTCCCTCTCAACATTCAAGCTGTCCATTCTCTAGGATAATCACTCAAACACTTTCCCCTTCCCCACTCCCCTCTCTCTCCTATTTCAAATGTATACTATGCAGTCTGTATATGCTGACAAGCTGGATGAGATCCCATTTTGTAGGAAGGTAACAATGAACCCAAACAGACCCTGCTCTCTGATGTCGCACAGTCCACTCCTAACATACTGTATCCTAAACACTCCATCACTGAGGAGTCAGGGTGACAGTCCTCTCGGACTCTGCCCCTTTGCCAGAGTAGAAGAGGTAAAGCAGTTAGACAGCCTTACCACTTCAGGCCTGTCAATCTTAATCACAGCACTGATGTAACCCGGAGAGCAATGACAGACCCTTCTTACTCTCTGACAGTCCTGGCTAAATGCCCTTGGCTGCTTTCATCCACCTTGGCTGATAACTTCTCAATTTCATCAATTTCCTTGGTAACAGTCTCAGAATTAGGTTCTGAAACTCTAATAGTGCCCAGCCAATCAATATCCTAATCTTCAAAAGATATATATTAAATTCGGGGTCCAACCTTTCATTTGTCAACTGTTCTTTCAGAGTCTCCTAGAGTTCTAATAGTAGAATAAACCCTAAAAAATTTTTAAAAAGAAAGGACACCATGAAATAATGAGAGTTTGCTGCATCTTATTTCACCCAGAGTCCAATGCTGACTCTCTTTTGGAGAACTTAAGAATGTTACATTGACATTTAATAAAGTTTCCTGTAGGCCAAATAAAAGGACTTAAAAGCACACACAGTTTTCATTAATATAGCAAAACAACCTCTTGATCTAAGAGAGTAAAAACAGAGTTGGTCATGTACCATTGACAACAGAGCCACAAAGATCTCAAAAGTGATATAACAGGTCACTCCTGGGGAGTTCTAGGACTCAACATAATTCACATATATGTTTCAAGGAATCCAGGACTTAGGTTATGGCTATTTGTGCTTTTCCCACTGACCCTGTAAACAGATCTATGGCCCTCTAAGCAACATCAAGAGGACATGGCTTTAATTTGCTCCTTCATATGAGTCACAGAAGCCTTAGGACCTCAAGTAAAACCACCATAATAGAGCTATCTTGCAGTGGCGACAAAAACAAGGGCCTGTCACTGGAGTGATCTACAGGGAGGGAGAGATAATTACAACTGGCCCCGTTTTTCAGCAAAAGTGAATTTCAAGAAATCTCTGATGGACCATGTGGCTTCTCATAAAGTGTCACTGGCCCTGGGAATATTCCTCATTTCTCATCCATGGACCCTGACACCACTCTAAGGTTACAGAAATGCAATAATAACAGCTAGCATTTATTAAATGTTTGCAATGTGACAGGCACTGTTGAGGACTCTACATGTGTTTACTCTTTTAATCCTCTTAATAACTCTAGGAAGAACTATTATAATTACCATTTTATAAATGAGGAAACTGAAACACTGAGTAAACAACTTGCCCAAAAGTACAGAACAGCAGCTCCAACGAACTGAAGCCATTCCATCTTACACTCGGGCCAAGCTACTTTCTAAAATATTGTCTGAGAAGTAATGCACAACTTAAATTTCAAGATTCTTACTCTCAACTAATACTCTTCTCCCAACTCACTTTAATATTCTGACTCCACCAAGACACCCAATTCATTGACCCTACTACCTTTTCATTGTCCCTCGCTGATGCCCCCAACCAATGTCATTTCCCTCACTATTCATTATAATCATTCACTTGCAAGTGTCCTCAATTTCCTTGCACATCCTTGCTTCCATAATATCTACAGGAAAAAAAAACACCCATGGGTAACTCCAATTCCCCGCATTCTCCATGCTAGCACCCAAGGAGCTGAACATAACTGGAGGCTCACATTGCACAACCATAGGTGGGCTTGCTTTACATTCATTAGCAATAACCCAAGGGAACCCTTGGTATCACGCAGAATCCTACATTTTATTCCGTCATTCTCCTTAATAATTCTTGACACTTTCTCCTCTGTCCTTAAACTTCCAACAACTCCTTTCCCTTCCTCACTCTCAGCTGAAGATCTTCATTACTTCACTGAAAATGGAAACAATCATAAGAGAAATGCGTATGCATCCTGGCCCCGTCGACCAACCTGCTTGCATCTGAGCTTGTGTTCTGCCTTCTCTCCTGTTGCTGTGGAGGAACTGTCCATGTTCCACTTAGGCTCATCCCTTTCTCATCTATTCAGGAACATGGTTCCAGCAACCTTCTGTTCTCTTTCCTGCATCATGAAGGTTTCCCTTTTGACAGAATCATTGTTGGAAGAATGGTGGCTTTATTTCTCCCATCTTCAAAACAAAACCAAAAAACTTTGACTCCCATACCTGTCCATTTCACTTCTGTGCTTTGAAATAAATCTCTGGATGAGAAAAAAAAAAAAAAGTTGTTCTACATTCTCTCATCTCCTCATGGTCCCATTTTAGTATTTACTGCAATTACCTCCACGTTGTTCCATCATCCATGTTCTTGAAATACGTCACACGCTTCTAGGACACTCCTCAATCTTGCTTCTCCTCCCGTCTCACTGGCCACGTCTTCAAAATCTGTTGCTGGTTGCTCATATTTCCCTGACCAGGAAAGGCTGGACTGCTTAAGCTCATACCTCACATCAAGGCTCATGGCCTTAAATGCCATCTATACACTGACAACTTCCACAGTTATAGCCAGACCAGAATTCCCTGTTAATCCAACTGCCTACTTGGCATCTCCACTTAGATGCCTGTTAGAATCTCAAACTTTAGATGTCCAAAAGAAAACTGATGATTCTACCCCCTCAAAAAAAATTGTTCTCCTGCAGTCTTCACCATCT
Organism: Homo sapiens; assembly: GCF_000001405.40. Taxonomy (NCBI): domain Eukaryota; kingdom Metazoa; phylum Chordata; class Mammalia; order Primates; family Hominidae; genus Homo; species Homo sapiens. Next base: position 112,287,308 of record NC_000005.10, read on the forward strand.
CAGTAAATAGTACAGCACTTTTCCATTGGTTCCAGTCAAAACCTCTTTATCTTCTATCTCTTCTATCCATCTGCAAATCTTGTTGGCTCTATGTTCAAAATATAAACATAAAAGGTCAAATTCTCACCACTCTCAGGTCCAAGCAGCCATTATCTTTTACTTGGATTTCTTCAACAACTCTTTTAATAGTATCCTTGAGTCTGCCCTTGCAGTTAGAGAAAATCATTTCAACACGGATCAAATCAGTTAACTCTTTTCTTCAATATCCTCCAGTGGTTTCCTTTCGCACTCAAAGTAAAACACAAAATCCTTCTAATAACCTATAAGGCCTTCCATGATCTGGCCCCACTCCCTCTACTTTCCACTGTGTGTTTTTGGGATGAAGTAGCAAGAAGGACCTTAAGGAGAGTATTGGTAGAAGCCTGAGGGCTTGCAGGGAGGCTGTCTCTAAGAGCCTCAATTAAAGCAGAGAAAGCTATTGGAAACAGAAAAAAATGTGGAATAAAAAATGTACCAAACGAACTGGATGATTCAGATAAGGAGGTTTCCAGGTAAACTGTTGAAATTGCTGATTGGCTTCATTTTGCTGGCTATAAATGAAATGTAAGAAGAGAGAGATAAGCTAAAAAGAAAGAAGAACTATTAAAATATAAAGGAGCCAGGACTTTTTACTGAGTTTGAAAATAAAACTTTCGCATTCCTAGTCCTATCAGAAGGCAAACAATGCTGCAATTAAGAAATGGCTTCTGGGCAAAGAATGAATCCAGCATGCTGTCAGGTAAACATGCTATAACTGTAAAATCCTTTATTAGATGTAATACAATTTATAAGATTTAACACCATGCCTCATGGACCCTTTCAAAACAAGATCCTCTAATAATCTTAACGGCACCGTGTCCCAACAGCCTTACAGGGAATCTAAGGTACAGAAGAGCTTATTCCAGAGCAATCTGTGGGTGCTGCCTTTGTCTAATAAAGTTAATTAAAGGTTGATTCATTAGAAATCCACAAAAACTTTTAGAAGAATTATACCAGCTTGGGCTGAAAGGGACAGAGATACTACAAACTGAAAAGAGGCCTTTGAACTCCCAATCTTCCTTAGGCAAAATCCAGGCCGAGAACACTACTCCACCGCAAATACACACTACTTTTTATTAAAAAAGCAAGCAAGCCCAGACAACAGAACCAAGAGCCGAGAAGACAGGGCCAATCGTCATAGTGAACAACTCCTAGGCAATAGGACCAAGTCCTAATCAGAGAAATCACCACATGTGTCTGGCTAGATTTCAAAACTAGTATTATGGACTAGTAATTGTTGTGTGCCTCCTGTTTTGCCCCTTTCTAACTGGAAGCATTTATACTGGTTATCCTATGCATGTTCCACCACTGTATGTTTGGGGCGGGTAGGCAGGAAACATATCTTATCACCTTAATTCACATATCTTCAGATCAAAAGGAACTGTACTCAAGGGTTAAACTTCAGGGAAAATGTTCGAAGAGTCTGATTAGAGGAGATGATATATCTTTTTTTTTTTTTTATGATGGAGTCTCGCTCTGTCACCCAGGCTGGAGTGCAGTGGCGCAATCTCGGCTCACTGCAAGCTGGAGATGGTATATCTTAAGCTCAAGTCCCATGTCACAATAAATAAGAATATTGGGAGGCCTTGGGAGGGATAAGTGCATTTTATATGTAAAAAGAATATAAATAATTTTTGGTCAGAGGAATCTCATGTATTAAAACATGTCTTTAAATTAGTCAACACTATTCCTATCAAAAGGTATAATGTAGTATTCCTCCCCTTTAAATGTTACCTGACCAAGAGTAAAAACAGTATATGGTGTAGTGATGGAAGAGAAGGCTAGAGAAGGATCTACAGATTATAGATAGGGCCCAGATAATAAAGAGTCTCGTATGCATAATAGAATTTGAATTTAAGCAGAATACTATGGATACTCATTGAAATCTTATAAGTAGGGGAGCAACTTCATAATATTTGCATTTTAATCTGATCACCTTGACAGCAAGTAAAAGGAGAGTGGGTTAAAGTAAAGCAAACCAGGAATCCAGGAGCCTAAGTAGCCTACTCAGGTAATCCAGGAAAAACTTTGAGAGGTGCAAACTTGAGGGAATTTGAGTGGCAGGGGGTTTGGGGGGAATATTGCCTGGACTTTACTTTGAACCAATAGAATGCCACAGAAGTAACACTGTGTGGTGGCAGAAGTAACTGCCTGTCTTCTGAGACTTGGTCATGCACAGTGACCATGCTCCTTCTGGTATCCTTCCCTCCCTTTGCCCTCTGGATGTTTTCCCTTGCGAGGAAGCCAAGCAACAACACAGAGAGTCCACAAGTAGGTGCTCCATCCCCAGTTGAAGCCCCAGCCAATGCCAACATCAACCAGCACACACATGACTGAGACTTCAGATGACTCCAGCCTCCAGCCTTCATGCTGCTCCAGCAGACACTAAGTAGAACAGACATGAGCGGGCCCTCCCAAGCCCTGCCAAAGTCGCAGATCCACGAGCAAAATGTGTGTGGCTGTAATTTAAAGCCCCTACATTTTGAGAGGGCTAGTTACACAACAAAGAGTAACTGGAGCACTTCCCAATTTATCCAGACCTCTTTTATCTTCATTCTTGTATTCAACAAACTTGCTATTCCTCCTGTGTTTATGCCATCTGTGAATGTGATGTGCATGCCCTTTATGTCTTCATCCCAGGTACTGGCATAGATGTTCTATGCCCTGGAACATACCTAGAAACCTCCCTCCATCACATCATTCAAGAAACCAGAGATGACTGTGAAAAGCCATCCTAACTAATTATCTTTCAATTTAGCATCATTTTTCCATTTAGTCCACAAAGACATCATACAAACTTTTCTGTGTATCTTTGACTTCCAAACATACTAGTTTTATTATTAATAAAGTGGTCTGATGAAAGCTGCTTTTTTTGTTACTGAAAATACACTGGATTCTAGGGACCTACTATTATATGTCTTCAGAGCCCACCAATCATTTTTTAAACATGCCTTCCTGCCAACATATGCCTGTCTCTAGTGGAGCTGCCCTACAGTTGCATCTAATAGGCTGTTTCAAATCTCTTAGGACCAGGGCACATAATAACCAATGTGTTCAGATTTCTTCCTAAAATGAAAATAAACATGGTTTTAGGGATCACAGATTCCTTGAGAAAGTCCTGAATCCCGTGAGTGGACTCTAAAATAATCAATCTGTGCTGCTTAAGAAACCTTAGATCTCTGGAAAGTTTCGACTACATTTTGGGTAAGTGAAGTTGCAACACATTTTTAAAATGTGGATAAGTGAGGCATCACTGTATACAGACTATGAGATCATTTCATCTTGAAATAAAATCCTAAATTTGCCATGTCTTGAAACTGTAGTAATTTAAAATATACAGGTGGTTAAGTTAGGGTTCATTTAAACTCTGTCCTAGAAGCTGAACATAAATGTAGTTTTAGCTAACCAAGTAATCTGGCACAAAGGAGCAAGCCAGCCCAGGGAGCTGCAAAGTAAGCAGGGTCCAGGTGCCCTGCTCAGCACCACCCACACAGTTACACCTACTCCAGCATGTACAATTCACATGGTTAGCACAGCTGCACACTGCAGCCTTGCCCCTTCTCATCTGCAATTACAGTCTGTTTCTCCCTAAATGACCTTATTTGGTCTCATGACTTTAAAAACCTAGAGACTCCTAGATGTGACTCCAGCCTACTCCCCTACTCCCCTAATGTCTCTGGGATGTCAAATGGGTGTTTCAAACCCAACATATGCAAATCAGAACTGACTTCCCAAACTGAAAAACCAGCTCCCTATCACTCCTCATCTTGACATTTCCAACAGAAATGTACACAGAGCCTACAAAAGCCTGCTGGGCCCTATGTTATGGGGGCCCTGCCCACCTTTCCACTTCATCACCCTCTTTCTTACAACTCTAGCATCACTGGACTCCTCTCAGTTCCAGAACACCTCGCATCTGTCTCTGCCTTAAGGCCCCCATGCCAGCTGTTCCTCCTGCCTGCCATGCTCCTCCCCTTATCACTCCAGCCTCGGTGTAAATACCAAAGAGGTCTCTTCTAACCACCTGTGGTGTTTATGATATATATTGGTTTTCATCCATGGTTCCTGGTTCATAACTCCCATAGCCCTTGTTAGTCTTTTGTTGAAATGTTGGGAGTGTTAGGCCTCAGGACACAAAGTCTCTCTCCTGCCCTCCTTTCACCTGCCCCTAGCAGGACTCTAATCTTCTCCCACCTTTCTGACTGTGGGTCTTAAGACCTTTCCCTGTGTTCATACAGATCATGGGGGAATGAGGAACCCTCCCCAGAGAAAGTCTAGCCCTATACACCTGGAAAAGGAATGCTGACATCATGACACTTCCACAAAGACTCAAGAGGACTTGGTCCAGGGAGCTTCTAGGTAGCCGAACACATGCAGGTTCCTGGAGGGTGGCGTGCCCAGGAGGGCATAGAAGTTCCATGCCCCGTTCCCCCATACCTCACCTTACACATCTCTTCATCTATATATTCTGCGTTTCTGAGTTTTGTAAGCTGCTCTAGCAAATTAATCAAACCCAAAGAGAAGGTCATGGGAACTCCAACTTGAAGCCAGTTGGTCAGAAGTTCCACAGGCCTCGGCCAGGAGCAGTGGCTCACACCTGTAATTACATGGGTAGAGACTTTTTCTCTACATACCACCCAATGGAAGAAGCCTTCACAAAACTCTAGCATATCATCTTATTTTCAAAGCATTCAGTACCTGATATTTGAGTATCTTTTTATGGTCTGTCTCACCCCTGGAAATAAACTCCTTGAGACCAGAGACCTTGGCTCTTACTCACCATTGTGCCATACTTCCTGAGACACAGTGGCTGCCTGGTAAGTATCTGCTATGTGATTGAATGGAGATGAGCAACAGCAAATGCTCATCTTTCCTCACAGTCCCAGTTCAGGCTGTGCTGATATGAGTAAGGATATAACTCTAAAAAATGTTAAACAAGAAACTTCCTGAATATCCTCTATAAAATATCCTGCGGCCTCCAATACTGATGGGTATCATGAAAGAATAAACTAAGCTCCTACAGATCATCAGCTTTTAAAGGCCCACTTCTGTTAATTCATAAAGCAGCTCTCAAAACTCATAGTCCAGAAGGGAAAGTAGGTAACTCCCACTTTCCCATGAAACAAAAAAGCACCTGCACAGCTTTTTAACAATTCCAAGAACATCTCTCTTATTGGAACAGGTCCTAAAATGATAGACAAACTAGTCACTTAGCTTTTAGTACATGCAGCAAATTTGCAATTTTATAAAATATAAGTAGAATAGAAAATATTCCATAAAATACATTTTATTAGTAGGCTACTGACACATCACGATTAAACTGTTTATTATATTCAAGGAGAAAATTCTCTTAAGATTCAGAATAAGGTTAAATCAAGGTTAATTTATCAGAGCTTTGTGTCGAAACCCTAAATTTAAAAAAAAACTAGTTTTCTAATGTCTAAAATCATTAACTCTAAAATCACTGTTTTCCCATTAGGCAATCAATCAACTGTCTGAAATTCCTTCCTTTATGGCTCATTCTGATTTAACCGGGGAGAAGGACAGTCTAATTTAATAAATGTTCATAGTAAAGAAATCAATATTCCTTTCACTTATGTATATAACTAAGAAGGTATGGGTCACAGAAATTTCTCAGGTACTGCATTTATTGATAAGAACACCTAGCATACCTACGTACCTGGTTGTATATACAAAAATATAAATGTATATGGATATATGGATATATATATACATGTATGTATATGTTGACATTTCTACCATTCCTGATAGTTTTGTTATTAAGTACTTTGTACCTTTATTGTTTTCAATTGTTGTTCGATGGAAGCATTTTTTTTTTTAACTTTTAAATTCAGGGATACAGGTACAGGTTTGTTATACAGGTAATCTCGTGTCATGAGGGTCTGCTGCACTGATTAATTTTGTGACCCAGGCATTAAGCCTGGTACCCATTAGTTATTTTTCCTCATCCTCTCCCTCCTTTTAATTTAGTTTAATTTAGTTTTGGTGAAGAAGGCATTGGGTGCCATTAACAAAGAAAACTTTCTCTCCAAGATAGAATTCAGCCCTTCACCTCCCTAAACCTAGAAACCGCAGGATAAAATATTATACATGACCCATGGAAGAAACATTCATGCCTACTGCAATCAACCATTTGAGGGAAAGAAGGAAAAAAGAACTAAAGTTCAAAATGTGCCATGGAGGTGATCCTACACAAACCTGGGTCCTTCAAGAGCCGTTTTTGAGTCCGTGTCAAAATCAACAAACTGAAGACCAATCAGTCAAAGCATGCTCTGCTTTTCCCGATGCCGCAGTGAGGAAAGCATGCAGTGCAAGAAGCGACTTTGGGGGAGCCGTTTGGGAGGCTCCCCTCTCAGCACTTCCCGGGGTTATTTCAGGCATGTCAGCTGCTGAATTCTCATGGTGTTTCACATGACTGTGCTCAGAAGAGGGCACACCCACTCTAAACAGAAAATGTTCCAGAAGAACATCATCTCTTCCTTTCCTATTAAACACTGTTTAACCAAGAAGAAATAGAAAAATCTACTTTTAGAAGTGCTATTTATTATAAACAATTTTTTAAAATCATGGGATCCACCATCATACAGTTACACATGACATTGTTTGAACTCAAATCCTCATATAATATGCCTCCTTTTATTACATACTACACCACTATACCTCTAACCAGACAAGAATATTCTAAACAGCACCTAGTAGCTGCCAGCACATTAAAAATATCCTGTACCTGTTGTTTCTTATAATCCCAATAAGAATTTTCAATCTAACTTCCTAATATCTCAGTAAAGCTTTTTCTTTTTTTTTAAATGTAAGTTAAATCTGGTTAAAATGAACAGCAGGAGAGGCCTTTCATAAGAGAAGGAGGGAGCATGCAGGCGTGGGAAGGGGAGGTGTGGGAATGCTCTTGTCAAGGCCCTCGCCTCCCAGTGAGCGGCCCACACAGTCCAGGCGAGAGTTCTTTCACTCAGTAACATTACAGATCACTTGTTTTGCAGTGACAGAGGTGGTAAGAAAGTGGTGAATAGGATTCAATGCTTCCCTTCAAAAAGTATCCGATCAAATGGTATTATTCAATAGACACAAACAATGTTGTATTTGTAATATGTGATACAAGAAGGCCCAAAATATTTCTGGGGGGTCGGGGAAAGCTTCAGGAAGCAGGAGACATCAGAAACACCACACTCTGTGGATGGTAATGATAAACAAGATTTAAACAAGGAAAAATGATGGAAGGGAAGAGAACAAGAAGGGTGTTCAGGCAGGGGAGGCAGCACATACAACCCCCCGAGACACTATGGTACAGCTAAGGAGCTGCAGGTAGTTCAGTGGAGCTACGGCGTACCTGAAGTACGCATTTGGGTGGGGAACTGAAAAGTCATGTTGCAAGAAAAGGAGCTCAAGATAACCAAGGGCCACGTATCTTAAAGGACTTTGTAAACCATGTTTAGGAGTTTGGATTTTCCCTTAGGGAGCCATTAAATAATTTTAAGCCACAGAAGGAGACACCATCAAAGTCGCCTTTCTGAAAGAAAACTGCAATTGCAGTGGGGAAAACACTGGAGGGAGTAAGACCAAAGACAGGACAGCCAGTCAAAAAAGCTTTTATAGAAACCCAAGCTCATCTGGCACTGAAACTAAAATTCAGAGATGGAGACTGATTCTAGAGAGGTGAATAGATGACCACAAGTCCTGTTTACACCAGTGGTCCCAGCTTAGTTATTAACAGTGTCCCTTTTCACTCTCAAAAGTATCCTGGATTAGTGAGTGAACTGTATGGTCAATCTAGGAATTAAGGAGTAAAGCTGCCAGGACTTGGTGACTGGCTATGAGGAGAGGTGAGATGATGTAGTTGGGAATGACACCCAAGATTCTAGCTTGAGCAATTGGGTAGATGGTGTTGCCATTCACTAAGCTATTGTAACAAAGGTGCAGGCACCTCGGGGATGCTATGTGAGGACTTCCCAAAGGATACATGGGTAAACATAGTTTTAAGAACTCAATTCCCAGATTCTCACCTTCCATATACACTCTATTCCAAAACTGATCTACCAAAGAATAAGCCCAAGATTAGGACATTATGCTAATTCTCCTTTCCTACTGCACTCTCCTTTCAAAATTCTCCATTCCCAATTTACTGAAAGGCACCTTTCAGCCCTGTCAAGCTGCTATAGTGCATTGCCCAAGGGCACGAATAATCACAGGAGAAGCATAGGAAGACTTTAAAATACTGATGTTAACAAAGTTGTCTTTAATAAAGACACTATAAATCAGAAAAACATAGTGTTATGTATTTTTCCATTTTATACATATTTCTGGCAAGGACTATGCAAAGTGTTAGAAGCATGATATTTTGGCCTATACTTGGGTGGTTCTAAAATCAGATACATTGTACCATAGGGCAGCACCAGGAGTGATGATTTTTGTTTAATGATCTTGCAATTTCCATACTCTAGCTACTGTCAGTTCCTTAAGAATAAGACAAATCAAAGTCTTGGTAAGTGAAAGCAGACCTATCTTATCTAGGCAACAAAATGCTTTGCCTTATCTGTCTTAGGAATAGAATTCCAAAATGAAATACTTTTCATGGAACTCAAGTTAACATTTTTATTTAAATTGACAAAATGACAGAAAGCAAGTTGGTTTGGCTAAGTGGCTTAATAATGACTGGCTTTGTCCAAGAGTTTTATGTTGGAGACTTTCCATAAGCCAAATGAACTAAATCTGCAATTCTAAGATTCTGATGAAAATATAAAGTATATAATTAGATAAAAGCACTTTATTAAAAATCTTACATTGGCAAACTTATGTTAAAATTAATGATTTTAAAATTTTTCTAAATCCCTTCTATTTTTTATTTAATATTGCATTAAATCAGGTGCCTCTAAATAAAAAAAAGCATAATTAATAACATTTTGGTAAGTGTTGACAAAGCATTTTTAATACATTTCCTAGAAATTGTGGAGTTGAATTACTATAATAATCAATTAAGAAATTTTAAGACAGGTGGTCTTGAATTCATTGCTTTCAACTAAAGAAAAACCCAACTGAATGGTCTGAAAAAACACTGCTCTCAGATATATAAGAAAAAGGTAGAGTTGGAATCATTCCAGGAATATATTATAATGGACTAATTGGAAAGAAAAAGTCCCACTCACCTCATTAAAAGATGCGCTTCCAATAAATACTTATATTTTATGTTTAATAATTTTTTTCCATAGGTTTTTAGGGAACAGGTTAGGTATTGAGTTACATGAATAAGTTCTTTAATGGTGATTTGTGAGATTTTGGTGCAACCATCACCCAAGCAGTATACACTGAAGCCAATTTGTAGTCTTTTATCCCTCACCCCCTTCCTACCCCTTCCCTCCCGAGTCTCCAAAGTCCATTGTATCATTCTTATGCCTTTGCATCCTCATAGCTTAGCCCCCACTTACGAGTGAGAACATACAATATTTGTTTTTCCATTCCTGAGTTACTTCACTTAGAATAATAGTCTCCAATATCATCAAGGTTGCTGTGAATGCCATTAATTCATTCCATTTTATGGCTGAGTAGTATTCCATCACATACATATATACATACATACACACACACACACACACACACACACACACCACAGTTTATCCACTCGTTGACTGATGGGCATTTGGGTTGGTTCCACATTTTTGCAATTGTGAACTGTGCTGCTATAAACATGGGTGTGCAAGTATCTTTTTCGTATGACTTCTTTTCCTCTGGGTGGATACCCAGTAGTGGGATTGCTGGATCAAATGGGAGTTATACTTTGAGTTCCTTAAGGAATCTCCACACTGTTTTCCATAGTGGCTGTACTAGTTTACATTCCCACCAGCAGTGCAGAAGTGTTCCCTTTTCATCATATCCATGCCAAAATCTATTATTTTTTTATTTTTTTGATAATGGCCATTCTTGCAGGGGTAAGGTGGTATTGCATTGTGGTTTTGATGTGCATTTCCCTGATCATTAGTGATGTTGAGAGTTTTTTCATGTATTTGTTACCATTTGTATATCTTCTTTCGAGAATTGTCCACTCATGTCCTTAGTCTACTTTTTGATGGGATTGCTTCTTTCTTATTTGTTTGAGTTCCTTGTAGATTCTGGATATTAGTCCCTTGTCAGATATATAGATTGTGAAGATCTTCTCCCACTCTGTGGGCTGTCTGTTTACTCTGCTGACTGTTCCTTTTGCTATGCAAAAGCTCTTTAGTTTAATTAAGTCTCACCTATTTATCTTCATTTTTGTTGCATTTGCTTTTGGGTTCTTGGTCATGAAATCTTTGCCTAAGCCAATGTCTAGAAGGGTTTTTCCAATGTTATCTTCTAGAATTTTTATAGTTTTAAGTCTTAATGATTTAGGACTTAAATCTAAGTCCTTGATCCATCTTGAGTTGATTTTTGCATAAGGCAAGAGATAAGGATCCAGTTTCATTTTCCATCATGTGACTTGCCAATTATCCCAGCACCATTTCCCCACTTTGTTTTTGTTTGCTTTGTCGATGGTCAGTTGGCTATAAGTATTTGGGTTAATTTCTGGGCTCTCTATTCTATTCCATTGGTCTATGTCCCTATTTTTATACCAATACCATGCTGTTTTGGTGACTATGGCCTTATAGTATAGTTTGAAATCAGGTAATATGATGCCTCCAGCTATGTTCTTTTTGCTTAGTCTCACTTTGGCTACGCAGGCTCTTTTTTGGTTCCATATGAACTGTAGGATTGTTTTTTCTAGTTCTGTGAAGAATGATGGTGGTATTTTGATGGAAATTGTAATGAATTTATAGATTGCTTCTGGCAGTATGGTCATTTTCACATTATTGATTCTACCCATCCACGAACATGAAATGTGTTTCCATTTGCTTTCAACTTTTCCCCGTTCATATTATGTTGGCTGTGGGTTTGTCATAGATGGCTTTTATTACATTGAGGTATGTCCCTCGTATGCCAATTTTGCTGAGGGTTTTAATCATAAAGGGATGCAGAATTTTGTCAAATGCTCTTTCTGCATCTACTGAGATGATCATGTGATTTTTGTTTTTAATTCTGTTTATGTGATGTTTCACATGTATTGACTTGTGTATGTTAAACCATCCCTGCATTCCTGGTATGAAACACACTTGATTATGGCGGATTATCTTTTGTATATGCTGTTGGATTTGGTTAGCGAGTATTTTGTTAAATATTTTTGCATCTATGTTCATCAGGGGTATTGGTCTGTAGTTTTCTTTGTTATACTGACTTCACAGAATGATTTAGGGAGGATTTCCTCTTTATCTTGAAGAATAATGTCAATATGATTGGTATTAATTCTTCTTTGAATGTCTGGCAGAATTCAACTTGAATCCATCTGGTCCTGGACTTTTTCTTGTTGGTAATTTTTTTATTACCATTTCAATCTCACTGCTTGTTAATGGTCTGTTCAGGGTTTCTAATTCTTTCTGATTTAAGCTAGGAGGGTTGTCTCTTTCCAGGAATTTATCCATATCCTCCATGTTTTCTAGTTTATGCACGTAAATGTGTTCATAGTAGCCTTGAATGATCTTTTGTATTTCTGTGGTGTCAGTTGTAATATCCCCCATTTCATTTCTAATTGAGCTTATTTGGATCTTCCCTCTTCTTTTCTTGGTTAATCTTGCTAATGGTCTATCAATTTTATTTATCTTTTCAAAGAACCAGCTGTTTGTTTCATTTATCTTTTGCATTTCTTTTTGTTTCAATTTCATTTAGTTCTGCTCTGACCTTGGTTATTTCCTTCATTCTGTTGGGTTTGGTTTGGTTTGTTCTTGTTTCTCTAGTACCTTGAGGTGTGACCATAGATTGTCTAGTTGTGCTCTTTCAGACTTTTTGATACAGGCATTTAAGGCTATGAACTTTCCTCTTAGCACTGCCTTTGCTGTATCCTAGAGGTTTTGATAGTTGTGTCACTATTATCATTCAGTTTGAAGAATTTTTTCCACTATGGTCTGAGAGAGTACTTGATATAATTTCAGTTTTCTTAAATTTATTCAGACTTGTTTTGTGGCCTATCATATGGTCTATTTTGGAGAAAGTTCCATGCACTGATGAATAAAATGTATATTCTGAAGTTGTTGGGTAGAATGTTCTGTAAATGGCCAGGCGTGGTGGCTCCCGCCTGTAATCCCAGCACCAAGGCAGGTAGATCACCTGAGTTCAGGAGTTTGAGACCAGCCTGGCCAACATGGTGAAACCCCATCTCTATTAAGGAATATTATGTAAATATCTGTTAAGTCCATTTGTTCTGGAGTATAGCTTAAATCCATTGTTTCTTTGCTGACTTCCTATCTTGATGACCTGTCTAGTGCTGTCAGTGCAGTATTGAAGTCCCCCACTATTACTGTGTTGCTCTCTATCTCATTACTTAAGTCTAGTAGTAATTGTTTTACAAATTTGGGAACTCCCGTGTTAAGTGCATATATATTTGGGACTGTGATATTTTCCTGTTGCACAAGGGCTTTTATCATTATATAATGTCCTACTTTGTCTTTTTTAACTACTCTTAAAGTTTGTTTTGACTGACATATGCCTGCTTGTTTTTGGTGTCTATTTGCATGGAATATCTTTTTCCATCCCTTTATCTCAAGTTTATGTGAGTCCTTATATGTTAGGTGAGTCTCTTGAAGGCAGCAGATACCTGGTTGGTGAATTCTTATCCATTCTGCAATTCTGTATCTTTTAAGTGGAGCATTTAGGCTATTTACATTCAACATTAGTATTTAGATATGAGGTACTATTCCATTCATTGTGCTATTTGTTGCCTGTATACCTTGTTTTTTCTTAATTATATTTTTGTTTTATAGGTCCTGTGAGACTTATGCTTTAAGGAAGTTCTGTTACTGATGTGTTTTCAGGATTTGTTTCAAGATTTGGAGCTCCTTTTAGCAGTTCTTATAGTGCTGTCTTAGGACTGGCAAATTCTCTCAGCATTTGTTTACCTGAAAAAGACTATCTTTTCTTCATTTATGAAGCTTAGTTTTGCTGGAGACAAAATTCTTGGCTGATAATTGTTTTGTTTAAGGAGGCTGCAGATAGGGACCCAATCCCTTCTACCTTGTAGGGTTTCTGCTGAGAAATCTGCTGTTAATCTGATAGGTTTTCCTTTATAGATTACCTAATGCTTTTGCCTCACAGCTACTAAGATTCTTTCCCTCATCTTAACTTTAGCTAACCTGATGACAATGTGCCTAGGTAATGATCTTTTTGCAATTTGCCAGGTGTTCTTTGAGCTCCTTCTATTTGGATGTTTAGGTCTTTAGCAAGGCTGGGGAAGCTGTACTAGATTATTCCCCCAAATATGTTTTCCAAACTTTTAGATTCCTCTTCCTCCTCAGGAATGCCAATTATTCTTAGATTTGGTCACTTAATGTAATCTCACATTTCTTGGAGGTTTTGTTCATTTTTTTAATGCTTTTTTCTTAGTCTTTGTTGGACTGGGTTAATTTGATAACCTTATCTTCGAGATCTGAAGTTCTTTATTCTGCTTGTTCGAGTCTTACTGCTGAGAATTTCAAGAACATTTTGCATTTCTCTAAGTGTGTCCTTTATTTTCTGAAGTTGTGATTGTTTTTTATTTATGCTATCTATTTCACTGAAGATTCCTCCCCTCGTTCCTTGTATCATTTTTTTTGATTTCCTTAAATTGGACTTCACCTTTCTCTGGTGCCTCCTTAATTGGTTTAATAATCAATCTTCTAAATGCTTTTTCAGGTCAATCAGGGACTTTTTCTCGGTTTAGATCCACTGCTGATGAGAGAGTATGATTTTTTGGGTGGTGTTGAAGAACATTCTTTTATCATATTACCAGAATTGTTTTTCTGGTTCCTTCTCCTTTGAGTAAACTATGTTAGATGGAAGATCTGGAACTTAAGGCTGCTGTTCAGATTCTTTTGTCCCATGGGGTGTTCCCGTGATGTAGCACTCTCCCCCTTTTCCTAGGAATGTGGCTTCCTGAGAGCTGAGATGCAGTGACTGTTATTTCCTTCTGGATCTAGCCACCCAGCAGGGCTACCAGACTCCAGGCTGGTACTAGGGGTTGTCTGCACAGAGTCCTGTGATGTGAACCATCTTCATGTCTCTCAGCCATGGATACCAGCACAGTATTTGCAGTGTCTCTGGGTTCCTGCAGGAGCAATCTGCTTCCTTCAAAGGGTCTGTGGATTCTCTCAGCTTTCTTGGTATATTTCTGCAGTAGTTCTGGAGCAAAATTTCACAATGCAAGTCTCTACACACTGCACGATCCGTCCGAGTGGGAACTGCAATCTAGTCCTGCCCCCTGTCTGTCAATTTCCATAGAAAATATGTTTAATAATTATTAAAATGCATAGTATTTTGCTGTTTTAATTAATTGTATAGTGACAACCATGGTAATAACAACTACTTTTAGGGCTCAACAACAATTAGAGCCTTAACATCTTAGGAAATAAACTTTTAAAATTCCAATTTATATGTATATTATGGATATATGTTTTTTATTAATAAAAATATAATAACATTTTAGGGAGAAAGTAGAATAGGAATACAAGTTTAACGACATAAAAGGAATAAATAAATGTTTCTGATTTTTAAAAAAGAGCTTGTTCATAAATTTTTATAAAGGTAGATGAAGAGTACAAAATTGCTATGAAATATAAATTCATAGGATACATTTAAAAGGAATATGACAATTTGATTTTACAATGTCAGTATTTATGATAAACCAAAGATCTGGATCTACTAAAACTTACAAAATTTCAATTCTCAACCTAAAATTACACACGAGTACATGGTTTTTTAAAAAAATTCATAGACCAGGTATGGTGGCTCACACCTATAATCCTAGCACTTTGGGAGGCTGAGGCAGGAGGATCACTAGAGCTCAGGAGTTTGAAACCAGCCTAAGCAACATAGTGTGACCTCATCTCTAAAAGAAAAAAAAATCTTGAAAATCACTGATCTCAGAAACATTTTTTAAAAAGAGCAGATTTGGAGGGGAAGATGGCTTCAGTTTTGAATATGTTACCTTTGAGATACATGAGAGGCATCCGAGTAGTGAACAACAGCTAAAACATTATGTGGACCACACATGTTAAAGCACTAGTCTGTGTATTTTTTATAGATTCCTTCAATCATCACTACCACCCTATGAAGCTGGTACTATTACTATCTTCACTTTATAAACAGAGGAACTGAAGTATAGAAAAGTTAGGGAGACTCACTCAATGCCACACAGCTCTCCAGGTAGACTGTGGTTTGAACCCATACAGTCTGAATCCAGATTTTGAATTTTAACACAGTGTAGTCCCTCCTGAAACATCTGGGTTGAAGATAGGAATCTGAGGCTCAGTCTTTCAATATAATTTAAACCATGGAACAGTTACCAAGGAAAAGTAACACACATTCGTCAGCAGGAAACTTAGACCTTCGGTGCTATGGGGCCCCCTATAGATGCTTCCGGCTTCCAGGCCGTGGACTCTTGAAAAGCCACCTGCCATCATTGTTTCCCAGATACCCTTCATGTGTTGTTGTCAGCCCTCCCAGGATACTGTGCTTCTCATGATGCTCTTCATAAAGTCAAAGGGTTACCTAAGAGGAACTTTCTGCTTCTTGATCTTTCCCCTCTGTTCCTCCAACAGTTGCTTGAAGACATCTCACATAGTAAGTTTCATTCTGTAATAATCCAGCATGACAATCTTCCTTTCTTTGCAACAGGACTCACATTATCACTTATACATATTTTATCAGTCATTATAGGTACTTTCCAGAACATATAATCACAGAATGTGAAACTTTACACGTTACAAAATACAGCATCAGGATGAAAGGAAGAGGGGCCACTACTGACGGCAGAGAGGACACACTTAAGCATGCCTGCTAGAGCTCAATGGATGAGGATTTTTGTTCAATACTCAGAGTACTCGGGGGCAGGGAAGAGAATACAAATATTAACACATACACAGCTTAGTTTAGATGGTTAAGGAAATTATCTCAGAGGTAAACAGTACTAGCAAAGGTAGCACTAAATGTGTGGGCCTGAACAGAGTTAGAGCCTAAGAGAACTAAGGACAAAATCCTGGTGAACACCAACATTTTATGGAACAGGCAGTGGAATCACAATCGTAGAGAAGACTGAACAGGAATAACTAGAGAAAACATGAAGAGAGAGAAACAAAAAGAATATAGTGCCAGAAGAACAAAATGAGAAGATTTCAAGAATGGGCAAGTTGTTAGTGTCAAAGCAAAAGAAAGGTCAAGTAAGACAAGGACTGACAGAGTCTCTTGGATTTAGCAACTGGCAAGGCAGGGCCAGTTTCAGTGATGTGATCGGGAAAAAAGCTGCATGGTGATATGTTTAGGAAACAATGGGATTTCAGAAGTGAATGTAAGAAACTTAGACAAGGTTTTCTGAAGTTTACGCGTGATGCAGAAGGAGCCAAAGACAGCAGCAGATAAGGGAGGGCAAAGGAGGAGGGGAACGGGAGGTTCTAAATGGGAAAGACTTGAACACACCCAAACACTGACTGGAAAGAGGGAGCAGGTAGGGTACAGAGACACAAAACAGAAAAAGCAAGGTGGTAAGATCCAGCTCACAGACACTGGTGACAGGAAAGGAAGGGTATGAAGCAACTAAGTGTGTTTGGGGGTGGGGTGGTCAAGAAAGTGGGAAGTTTCTGATTGCTTTTATTGTCTTAGCAAGGGAAAAACAGAGTTCACTGGCAGAAGACAGTGTTTGCATGCTGTCTTCATCTGTGTGCTTCACACATTCCCCCTCCTTTGACTTCTGAAGTAAAAGGGCAGCAGACCCAGGACCTAATTCTCAATGCCACGTTGATTTCCATATTCTGAGAAAAGCCCTAATTATATACAACTTCTGCCTTTCAAGGAGTAATCTGTAAAGGAGCCTCAGGTGCTAACATTAAAGTAAGACATAACTATAATTTCTGGGAATTTTCTGTAAGTCAAACCAAGGCCCTAATATGAGAGACCTACATCCCCAAACACACCAGTCTGGATCAAGAACGAACCTGACTGGCACAAGCCAGAGTGGAACAGAAAATAGGCTCTAGCCCAGGCTAAGCGCTTTCCCTTTCAAAACTAATCTTAAAACCAGAAGTAGTATTGAGATATCACATTTATATTTATTACTGCTTTCAGTATCAACAAAACTCATCTTCAAAAATCTCAAAGGTATTTAAGAATCTACAGTTTATTTAATTTTTTCTTTTCTTTCTTCCAGACTTTTTCCTTCTTCCTTCATTCCGCTGATATCACCAGCAATATTTTCTCCCATCCTAGTTTCAACAGGAAAGGCCTTTTACATGTTCAATGCCTTATCATCTACAAAGAGCTATCATGTGTTCTGATTTAGTCCTATATCAATCCTGACAGTTGAGGAGAAAAAGCATTTTATTGTCAATTTACGATAAGCATATCAAGATTCAGAAAAATTAAGTGATTTCACCATTTTTTAGGAGCAGACACAGGACTCAAACCTATCTTGTGACTCCCAAGGCAGCTATCCATTCCACCAGATCACAATCCATTTATAGTAACTTCTGAAAGCCTAGAAGATGGCTCAAGTTCCTTCCAGCCTCTAATTAATTTCAAAAACACCAGTTCCTTAAAGGGAAGACTGCGCTGCTGCAATTTCAATTATCTTGAAAGTCAGGATATTACAGTGTTTGAAAGGTCTTGGAGACACTCAGACTTGGGGTGGAATTCTGGTCCTAATACGTGCTGATTATGCGAACTTGGGAAAGATGCTTAACCTTCTTAGTTTGCGTTTCATCATCTCCAACAGAAAGATAATAATACTTTAGAGAACTTTTCTGAGCATACAATTTCAACAAACAAAAATATTTACAGTCGGTGGTGCACTGATGATGATGGTGGTAATAATGGAGAATGATGAGTTCCGGGGTTCTAGGTTCTCCTGGTCCTCCAGTGCAGACAACTTCTCTGCTATGTGAGGTCCCGAATGTACAGTAATTCAATCAACATTCATGAAAACCATTTGGTTTTTAAGACAAATGCTTCTAAATGGGAAACCATATTTGGTTTTTAAGACAATGATTTTTTAACCATACCCTGTACTATTTTCACACAGGGTTTTTTTTAAATCCTTATTTGTTTTAAGTAACTGTCAGATATGCAGGATTGCTTCTAATATACTTTTGATAAAACTGTTACCAAGATGAAGTACAAAATTTCATTACATTATTCTCAGAGCCTCCTACAATTAAAAGATAATCAGACAATACATGTGAACATGCAAAGACTAAGCAATGTTTACAAATCATCTCTATTTTAGCTGAGTTTACCATTAGAATATAACAAAAACAGGGAAAGAATACTTTTTTCATGTCATTTGCACACCTGATATTCTTATCACATCAAAACAATATGACTTAAGAGCTTTCTCCTAAATGTGTCATTTCTCCTAAAACCTGTATTATAAACACTATGATAAATGCCAAACCTTTAGGAGTAAAAGTAAGAGGAAAAAAATGTTCTTAATTTAAACCCTACAAAACTTTCAATAAACTAGCAACACTAACTGCTACAGTAGGGGCCATTGTTTTGAAATTCTCTAGCTTTTCACATTTTTCCTTTGCAAAGTTTAAAAAAGGTAAGGGGGAAGATAGAGACCGACAAGGTCTATATAACTTTAGCAAGACAGTCAATCTTTCCAGGCAAAGTCTGACATAGTAGATAAGATCAGAAAACTGTAGTTTTCTCTGCTAGGAAAAAAATGTTATTTCAAAAATATGAATGTAGCACATGACACCTTCTTTAGCCTTCAATTTAATCTTTCTGTATAGATTTACAGTACTGCTATATTTATTCATGGTCTGTACAAGATAGAATTCAGTGGACTTCTAAACATGTCTGTTCCCCTTTTTTGCAACATGCCATAATGACCACTAGCCTTTAGAAAGTTATTCCTTTCTATGCAAAGCTATCCAACATACCCAATTTTTCATTCCAACCTTATGAAATCCTCCTGTGAAACAGAAAAGATTAAGGAACCAGCTCAAGAAAAGTCACAAGTGATCACCATCAATAGTGGAAACACCACTCAGAAAATCATGTTCTTCACTGAATGTACCACAAATGACCCAGTGGAGGATGGGAGAACAAATGAAGGAAGAGGAGGACATCTCTATTTCAACAGCAGTTGAGTAGGATGAAAAATAAAAGGCAAGTCAAATAGGGTATTTCTGAGATAAGCATGTGAGCATTCTGCATAATGAGGCTGTGCCTATCTGAAGCTAAGATCTTTACTTTCTTAGACTAAACCAAAAGTCACATTAATAAATATCCTTTCGTCCTTCAAAATCTTCATCTCCAAAGTTTTTCCATTGTGGTGAATTTCTTAGTAACTCTCTACTCCGGACTGGAAGACCCTCTGAATTAACCTTTGTGAACAACTGACATAAGAACTAAAAGCTAAGTTGCCTTTATTACTCTTATTTCATCAGGTTCATGAACAAAAAAACCTCTACTTATTTTATTTTGTAACAGCTCATCTCACTTATAAAACTTAGGTAGTCACTTTTTTTTTTACACTGTTATTTCTTCTCTAACCATTCCCTTTCTTAAAAGGCAATTAATATCTCTCACCTCAAGAGACTAGCCACTTGCCTTCTAACACATATTAAACGACATATTCAGTCCTCCATGTTCACTCATGCTTTGCATTCACTATGATAAGGTTGCAAATCTGGAAACCACATATGCCATCTGCAAAGACGACTACACATGTACAGAAGCTGTGAATCCAGCAACTCTACAGACTTTTGGCAGAAGAGGAAAAAATGCAAAGAAATTATCAGGGGAAAACATGTTTGAGATTTTCAAAGTCTTTTTCAGTGACAAAGAACCTAACCACCTAAAACCATATCAGGAAAAGCCAGAGATAGAGTGAAATTTATAACCAGAAAAATTTAACACAAAGTCACCTTACTCACCGTCTGATGGCTTCTGTCACAGTAACGTAGCCCAAAATAATCTATCTCCACAAGGTTTACGTGATGGAATACGTGGTCAAGGACAACGGAACCTTTCGTTGACTTCTGCAAAAATAATTCAGTTTTATATTTTTTAACTGCCCTTTTGTTCCTAAGTAGTACACAGTCATGGTTCTCATCTTTTATTAGTTTCACTCACAATAGCAGCAATTGTATCAGACCATGGTTCTTCTCTGTAAGTTGTGCCTCAATTATGAAGAAAAAAACGTGATTTAAAGCAAAATGTATTATAGAAATTGCTTTGGAAAATACTTTTTAAATCGCAGTGGGTTTTAAATTAATATAAGCTTCTTTCTTCTGGGATTATAAATTATCTTCAGGACAAAATTCTTCTTTTAATAAAGATAATCTTTTATATGAAGAACATCTAATAAATGCATCAAAAAAACACTTTGTTTAAAAATCCCACCATTCCCTCATTTTAAAAAGCAATTTTCACCTATAGCATTACTCTCACAATGAATACAGAAGATATATAAAACTAACAATAGTCAAAGCTTTTATCTTCAATCCTCAAATAATAAACCCATAGATTAAAGCTGCTAAAGCTAATGTTCTGAAAAGCCCCTGTGAAGATATTTCACTTTATCTCTTTCACATAAGCACAGACACAAAACTTTTCTTTTGGCTGCTTTTTAAACACTGATAACTACCTAAAAAGCTAATCTCTTCTCTCCCCACCTACTACATATACAGATTCTTTAAATTAAGATTCTTATCATCTGACATACTAAAAATCAATTATTCACACATGTAAGAAACACTTGTATAGATACAGCCTCTTCCTTTCTCTCGCCCCATCTCTGGCTGGTATAATAAGATAATAAAAGAAATCCCACAACAAGTCTCACATTATGGTAATAAAGGAGGGCTTTTGTTCAGTTTCATCTTCCCTCAGAAAATTGCCAGGATGCGTTTATCCACATATGGTGAGCACTTAATACTGCACTGCTTTTAGAAAATGGATTGTTAACATGAGAGAAATGTTTTTATTAAATGTATTATAAAATGGGCAATATGAGGTTATAAAAGTACACACCAGGGTGTACACACCAAGAACTTTCTTCAAGTTCTTGTTACAAATTCCATAGGTATTTTGTTTTCCTCTAAATTACTTTGACTAACTTTAACTGGTTCCTTTTTCAAAATCCATTAAATAATTTATAAACAAAAAGCCCTTCCATGATGAATCTTTAGGTTACTGGACATTTTCTGCAATAATCACAATGCCACAGTGGCCTGTAAATGTCTCTGTGCTCATGTACCCATGTATTTCTCAGAGGTAAAAATCTTGAAGTGAAATTACTCATCTGAAGGATATGTATACTCATAATTACAGTGGGCACTGCCAAAAAGACCATTACAATTCATTTGATGAGAGTATATGTTTTCCCCGCACCCTTGCCAACATTTGGATTGCAAAACTTTTTTCCAATCTGATTGAGCAAAAAAAGAGGGGAATAAAGGAAATGTTTTAATTTACATTTTCCTGACATTAATAAAAGCAAGCACTCTTTCATGTGCTTACTAGTCAATTGCATTTCCTAGCCTTTGAGTTAGGCATTCCCTAACCCAAAGTTTATGAGCAAATTCTCCTAAGTACTTCTAAATACTTGTAGAATTTTACTTATACTTAGCTCTTCATTCCATCTGGAAATTATTTTTGTTCTTGGGATAAGGGCCCAACTTTGCTTCCAAATGGACAGACAACTGCACCACCATTTACCAAAAAAAGCCATCATTTCCCTGTTGATTTGAAACAACTTTATCATCTATTAAATGAATCCCCAGTATTCTATCTCATGGGTTACTCCAGAACCAATACCCCCAAGATTTTGATGTATGTAGTTTAATTTGTTTGATATCCATCTTTCTTTTTCAAAACTATCTTTGCTACTTCTTAAACATTTTTCTCTACTCAGGGACGTTAAGAACCAGCTACCCAATTGAATAAACAATTCTGCTGGGGATTTAACTGGAATTAAATTTAATTGACAGACCAGATGACGTGGTAGGTGGAGGTGTAGATACTAAGATATTTACAAAGTGAAACCTCTATATGGTTGTCTTTTATATCCTTCGAGGAAATTTTACACTTTTGATGTGGGTCTTACAAAATTCTATTTAGGCTTTGTGGCAAGCAAATTTACCAAATGCCCTCCCTCCCCCAAAGATGTCCTGCCCTGACCTCTGGAATCTGCATGATGAGAATACCACCCCTATAATTGTGTTATGCTATATGGCACAGTTGACGTTAAGATAGGGAGATCACTGAAGTGGGCCTAATCAAATGGGCTCTAAAAAGCACAGCACTTTCTCCAGCAGAAGGGAAAAGCAGGGGGAAAGTCAACTATATTCAAACCATGAGAAGGGTTCCACCCTTCCCTCTCACTTGAAAGATGAAGGGGGCTATCTGAGAAGAATGAGAACAGCTTCAGGACCTGAGGGGAGCCCCCAGCTAACAGCCAGCAAAGAGATGGGAACCTCAGTCCTACAACCACAAAAGCGGGATTCTGCCAACAGCCAACAAGGGTTTGGAAGTCGATTCTTCCCCATCATCCTCAGATAAGTGCTCAGCTGACTAACACCTTGATTTCATCCTTGTGGGGCCCTGCAGGGAAGCCAGCCATGACATCCTGGACTTGTGGCCTACAGAACTGTGAAATAATAAATGACTGTATGTTTAAACCACTGTGCTAGTGATAATTTGTTATGCAACAATAAAAAATAATACAGGCTGGTTCTTAGCTATTTTAGTTTTATTGCTGTTATACTTTCTGACTGTCTATTGCTAATGCATTGGAAAGCCAACTAATATTCCCTATCGGTCTTATTCCCAGCCGTCTTGCTAAATTCTTCTTAGTTTGTCTATGGAGTCTTCTCAGATAATCAGTTTTCAAAATGCTTTTTCAAAATGCTCCTCCACATTTATTTCTTCTTTTCTTACTGCATTGGCTGGGACCTCAATAAAAGAATAACTAGTAGTTTTGAGAACATGCACCCTGTCTTCATCCTGACTGTAATGGATTGCTTCTAAAATTTCACCACTAAGTATAATGGCTTGTGTATGGCCCGAACGCATATCCTTAATCAAATAGATGGTTCCTTCAATTCTGCTTTTTTTGGTCTTATTCTGTTTTGGCCTTTAATCAATGACTAACAGTTTTATCAAGTTCTTTTTGGGAATAAAAGATGAGTATATGATGTTTGTCCTTTCAGCTTTGAGTTACATTAAAAGAGTTTCTAATGCCAAATCTTCTTAGAGAAATTCCCGCTTTAGTCCTTTTTGTTCTGGGTACATATCAAACCTTCTGCTAATGTGCAAACAATCCCCCTATTTGAGTCTTGGTGGAGGCAGGAATCAGGCTCCCAGAATAACTGACAGCCAGGTCACAGGCATATGATCTGTGGTTTCAGCAAGGACTTTGACTTCTCAGCAAGAGTTTAGGATTAATTCACAGAGTAGCTCCCAAGAGTAAGGGAGTATCCAATAGCAAAGGCATCCAAAGATGGAATCAGCTGTGACAAGCAGTAGAAATGACTGATTCCTGAGTCAGATTTTCCAGCATTCTTATCTTTTTCCTGAGACAGGGTCTCACTCTGTTACCCAGGCTGGAATGCAGTGGTGTGATCTTGGCTCACTGCAACCTCCAAGTGATCCTCCCGCCTCAGCCTCCTGAGTAGCTGGGACTACAGGCATGCACCACCACACCCGGCTACAGCATTCTTGAGGTACAAAATAGGAACATTCAGGCAATCTACCACCTTCATTTTCTGAATATGTATGTTTGGCTCAAGAGGCAGGCCAGTATCCCAAGTAAAAATCCTGAGTAACAGTATAGAAAATTGGATCCAACTGTATACTAAAAATATCATGATGAATACAAAAAGCTTATCCTTTTTGTAAGTGCATCCTTGGTGTAAGTACATCAAGCAAGGATTCCTAAAATAAATTCTATCCAATGTAACTATGAAAAGAATTTACTGAAAAGATACTGAGTATCTCACAGGCTCTATAGATATCACACTAATGGTTTCCCAGAGCTTTTTATGATTCCCATCTATCTACAGCCACTAAGCTTGGAATACTCAGTCCATCACTACAACCTTTCGTAGTTCTTTTGCTCATGTTTTGGGCTGTGGTTTACACCTCCAATTGTTTCCCATTTGCCTTTCAGGAATTTTTCTTATCATTTCTGGTCCACTGAGACCAGATCGCACTGCTGCACCCCAGCCTGGGCGACAGAGTGAGTGAGACTCTGTCTCTTTGATCTAAAATTTTAGATCAAACTTTCTTACTTTCCAGGTTACTGTAGAAAGTGCACACACACCTTTCCTCTTACTTCAAAATATTTCTGGAATGCTGGCATATGAAGATAGTCTTCCATTTTGATCTAATCTCACTTATGGGTCCTTTCTCCCATCTAGGCACAGAGAGAAACAGATGGAATAACTAGAGCAGGTAGAGCCACACAACTCTACCTAATTCTTCTATCCCAAACAGGTAAACAAGAAGTGGTTCGTGAACAAAGAGGAAACAATTATGCCTGAAATTACGTATGACAATGAGAAGGTACAGATTTTAAAAATATGTAAATCAAATCTGTCTTTATGCAAACTATATTTGTGCTTCTGTGTCCAGCAGAAATGTTAGGGTTTTCAAATAAAGATAATAGATTTATAAAGCATAAAAAGGATCTAATATTCTACCCACAAAGATTATACACAAAAGCAAGCTCAGAAAACCAGCTCGGGAGTTTACAAAGTATACAGAAACTCTAAAATTTTCATGCAGAGGAAGAAATCATCAAATTTGAAAATTTTCCAAAATGATCATTCCCAAACTACCAGAACATGCCAATCTTTTGTGACAATTTTGCATTTATATAGAATCTGGTGCTGCAAATGCTTTGCAAATATTATCCTTTAGCATCTTTTGTTACCCTCTACCGAGAGGACACAAGGAAAGCATCCAGTGTTATGCAACAAATCCAGTGCTGACCATAAAAAAATATGACATCTCGTGATTCCCTCTATAGCTTTCTGTATAGTGCAGGTGTGTCTACACAGGCACCTGGAGCAGGGCCAGGAGAGTCTCAGAAATGCTGTATTTCTGTCACTACTTCAAGCAAATACACACATGAAAACCTCTTAACTTTTCATCTGTCATACTGTAATATGATAAGACTTAGAGAGCATGGATGCCAGAGGTAAATTAGCTATTGGGGTGGAGGTACATATCACCAGCTCACACTTCTGTCCATTCTGCCCTAACTGACCTCTTCCAATAACCCTTTGCCCAATCAGTATTCCATTGTTATGCCTCCTGCCCTTATACACATGGATAATTTCATTCTTCTTATGGGTACTTTGTAGAGACCACCTATGGGCCAATATTTTGCAGTTCAGGTGTAAAGTCTTCAGGTCCAGAAGAAATCATCTTTGAATAAAGAAATGAAGAACTGACAGAGAACTGACATAGAACCAAAGTGCAATTAAAGTATATTTGTCCAGGAAGGGGCCAGTCCTAGGATTTATTACAGGAAAAAAGGGTATTATGAAACACATGACTTCATTCATTGAAATATTTATTTATTTATTGCCTAATACCAGCAAATGCTTACTCTCTAGAAAATGGGAAAAGTACACTAATAAATGCCAGAAGAAAGGAGGATGATTATCTTTCAGAATTCCAGAATATAATGCAAAGTGATGTGATGCGGGAAGTCTTTGACCAGCCTATTAGAATCCCTGAGAAGCCCTAGGGCTATGAAGCGACTAAGAAACTTCTAAAAAGTGACTAAAAACTTTATTGAGAAAGTGAGACAGGGAGAGATTTGGTTATCATCAAAAGTCCTTTTGTAGGGTGGGCGCGGTGGCTCACGCCTGTAATCCCAGCACTTTGGGAGGCCGAGGCGGGTGGATCATGAGGTCAGGAGATTGAGACCATCCTGGCTAACACGGTGAAACCCCGTCTCTACTAAAAATACAAAAACTTAGCTGGGCGTAGTGGCGCGCGCCTGTAATCCCAGCTTCTCAGGAGGCTGAGGCAGAAGAATCGCTTGAACCCGGGAGGTGGAGGCTGCAGTAAGCCGAGATCATGCCATTGCACTGCAGCCTGGGCGACAGAGCGAGATTCCATCTCAAAAAACAAAAAAATCCTTTTGTGCCTTGGACTAGCAACCAGGCACACATATAACTTGCAATTCTTGAAAAGAAAAGGCAACCAGGCAGAAATTAGTCATTACCTTTTTTTGCTGTGGAGGCAGTTTGTTTGTCAATTTGGTTTATGCACCGAGAAGTGTTAGGTAAGGAATGCATAGAGGAATATAGTGATGAGCTGTTAATTTGTATACTATATTTACATATAAACAATTCATACTCCCCAACCGCTCCAAAAAAAGGTAACTTTCTTTTTTTTTTTTTTTTTTTTTTTGAGATGGAGTCTCACTGTGTCCCCTAGGCTGGAGTGCAGTGGCGCAATCTCCGCTCACTGCAAGCTCCGCCTCCCGGGTTCACGCCATTCTCCTGCCTCAGCCTCCGAAGTAGCTGGGACTACAGGTGCCCACCACCATGCCCGGCTAATTTGTATTTTTAGTAGACGGGGTTTCACCGTGTTAGCCAGGATGGTCTCAATCTCCTGACCTTGTGATCTGCCCGTCTCAGCCTCCCAAAGTGCTGGGATTATAGGCATGAGCCACCGCACCTGGCCACCGTGTAACTTTCTAATCTGAATTATTCCTGAGCCTTTTGAACAGGTAGACCAAACTATTACGGGCCATTATATACCAATGTGGAAGCTATGCACCCCCATTCCTTAACATGCTGAAAAGGGGCTTCATTTCTAAGTCAGATGGCTAGTTTCATTTGAAATTTAATGAAATCTTGATTCTTAACCTTACTTCTTTCAATACTTTGCAAAAGAAAAGATATGGAAGTCAGCCGGGCATGGTGGCTCATGCCTGTAATCCCAGCAATTTGGGACGTCGAGGCGGGTGGATCACCTGAGGTCAGGAGTTCGACACCTGCCTCACCAACAATGTGAAACCCCATCGCTACTAAAAAAAAAAAAAAAAAAAAAAAAAAAAAAAAAGAAAAGAAATTAGCCAAGCATGATGGCAGGCGCCTGTGGTCCCAGCTACTACAAGGTCAGGAGATTAAGACCATCCTGGCTAACATGGTGAAACCCTGTCTCTATTAAAAATACAAAAACTTAGCTGGGCATAGTGGCACGCGCCTGGGGAGGCTGAGACAGGAAAATTGCCTGAAGCCAGGAGGCGGAGGTTGCAGTGAGCCGAGACTGCGATACTGCACTCCAGCCTGGGTGACGGAGCAAGACTCCATCTCAAAAAAAAAAGAAAAAGACATGCAAATGATATTAATGCCATTCCAGTTTTCTTCTGACCATTTCCAGAAGAAACCTCTGCCAAAATGGGGAATTCACAAGATGCCACAAAATAAGGTACAATGATAACATGCCCAAGGACTTTCTGAAATCAATAAATAAATTAAAATTTTGTCTTCGATAATAATGGACCTCCACTAATGAGACATTTGAGAGAATGAACTGGGTAACACCCCAAATATCAGGGAGGGATATTTGGAAACCTGAAAGAAATGCTTCCCATTTCAGGTTTCAGGAGGTCTCCCTGGGATATCTTTCCTGCTCTATGTCATGGTCAAAATCCTACTTATCCTTCAAGATCCAGTTAAAATGCCACCTTCTTCATAAAGCCTGTCCAAATCCTCTCAATCTCATTATGACCTCTCCCTCCATTGAACCTACCAAGTTTCTTATTTTTGCCTGTCTCTGATACTTACACTCTTGCACTCTTAAGATGGCCATTTATTCCTTCTGTTAACTTTCCTACTTATGTTTAGACATTTGGAAAGCATGTGCTGAGTATCACACACCACTTACTTTCTATGCAGTCCAATAACTTATTCTCAGTAAGAGCTGCCTAAAAGTTCACTGAATTAATACCAAGGGCCAATAACATGGTGTCTATAAATTGAACCTTTCTTCCTGTTTCTTATGAAGATTTCCATTTTTCTTGACCAATCAGACTTATGAAATTAAAGAAAAAGCTGACCAGATCCATGTATTTTGTTATATCACCTGATACACAGAGATTCAGTTTACTTTTAACTTTAAAATACACATTTGTTTCAGTGACATATAATTCCAATAGACTCAATATATTCTAAAGGTAGCATAAGGAATAAATATCTTATATTTAAAATGGCTAAAACACCAAAAACTGAGGAAGCCATATATTACATTTTTATACCTAAAACTTGCATAGAAATTTTTATGCAATAAAAATAAAGATTATGCAAAAAAAATCTGACAGAAATTTGATTTTCCATCATCAAAAAAATAAAGAAGACTTGATATGAGACAGTTAAGAAAATAAAAATAAAGGGAGCACCTGATTTTTTATAACTAATCAGCAAAACTTCATCTCAATGTAACAATATATTAATTTACTTTTAAAATGAGAGTAAATGCCTATTACATATTTCTGGATTGTGAATTGTATTCCACTTAACTCTTAGCAAATGAGATAGATTACTTTCATTACTGACATACTAGCAACATTCCAGAAAGAATAGAGCTACAAAAGGCTTATAATCGTAGAGAAAGACTCACTAGTAGGACAAGTTTATTTGAAAATACCATCAATGGAGCTTTCAACCAGAACAAAGAATATTTCAAATGAGTAATAACACCTTTGCAGATTAACATGACATTACAAACCAGAAAGGCAGGTTCCTGCCAGCTTCACAGAATGATAACTATTACATCTGAGACAAACAGCTTACTCCTTCACAAAGGGGAAATGAACTCTGCAAAAAATTCTTATAACGTTATGCCTTTAAAAATTCACTCTATCTTTATTTAGTATTTTGACCACAATACATTCCTAGTTCTCTGGGAAAACTTAAAATTACATTAATTTTTTTAGCTTAGGCCATTACGATAAGGCAAAGTGGGCGCACGGAGGAGACATTCTTCAGGTACCAAAGGTAACTCCTTCCCAGGGGAGGCACTGTTCACCCCCATTGTCTGGCCCCCATTGTTTATGTCTAAGAGTTACCCTCACCCTCCAGATGAGGAAAATCCTCATTTAATCATTAAAAAATGAGTAAAATGTATTTTTCTAGGTGCAATTAATATTTATATTTTTCATATATAAAAGTTTCTTCACACTGATAAGCTTTTCTCAGCTATCTATTGCTTTGTAACAAGTAACTTCAAAACTCAGTGGCTTAAAGCAACAAGTTGCCTATAATTCTAAAATTTAGCCAGGGCTCAGAAGAGACAGCTGGTATCAGCTCCATCTGGTGTTGGCTGGAGAGGTCTACCTGGGCTGAAGAACCCAGGATGGCTTCATTCACATATTGACACCTCACCTGAGATGGCTGGAATGGCTGGAAGCTGGCTGGGCCACTCACCCTCTAAGCAAGGTAATCTGACTTCGTGACATGGTGACTTAGGGCTCCAAGAGACAAACAGGGGAAGCTGCCAAGTTTCTGAAGGCCCAGATCTGGCACAGCATCAGTCTTGCTACACTCTATTGATCAAAGCAAGTCACTGAGTCAGTGCACATGGAAAGGGAGCAAAAACAGATCCCATCTCTTGATAGGAGGAATGACATGAACATATAGTGAGCGACTGGAAGAATCACAGGTGGCCATCTTTGTTGACAACCTACCACATCTTTTTTTTCTCTCTAAACTTGTTATATGCTTTATGTTTTTCTTCACTCATCTCTGTAATATTTCAAATTAGAGCAAAAGAAAGAATGACAGTAAATCATCTTGATCATCTATATAAAAAGAACTATGCTAGATGATTTCTTGTACTTTGTTTCATTTAATCTCTACAAGAGCTATGCAAACTTGTCATTTTTTATTCCTGCTTTATAAATAAGCTCAAAAAGGTTGGGAAAGAATAGCAGTTTGGCTAGAGTAACACAGAAAGAAAGGGAAAAGGCAGAGACTCCAACCCAGAAATATCTAACTTAAAATCCTGAGCTCCTTCTAATACAGCAGTGATTCTTGAAGGCTGGAGGGCCTAGAGACCCTTTCAATGGTGCATGAAGTCAGATCTATATTCCTAATGTTATTAGTTTGTTATTTTTCATTTGCCCTTCTCTCACAATCATAGAGTTTTCTAGCGGTCACAGGGCATATCACAACAGATGATGCATAAAGTAGCTATGACAATCCAGCTACTTTCTGTTAAGCTAGATATCATAGTTGCAAAAATGTAAAAACAAGGTCATTCTTCTAAAATTGTTATGTTTTGGACAATACATCTTTTTTGTAAAAATATAAAACTATTTTTGTTGACAAGTAATTTTTTAAATAGGTTTTTTGGATGATTTCAAAAATCTCTCCACTTAATGGTAAACAGATACAGAGATAACCCATATGAACAAAAGTTCTTCCAGGTCCTCAATAATTTTAGAGTGTAAGGGGCTCCTAAGACTGAAAAGCTTGAGAATTACTCTACTATACTAAAAAACAAAGGAATGTCCTTGATGACATAGATTGCAAAATAGGCAATTCTGATTCTTAGATACCTGGAAAGCCAGTCTTTCCTCATTTTATAGATGAGGAAACTCAGAGCCGAGAGATGAGTGACTTGCCCACAGGTCACAGGGCTGGCTAACTAAAAATCTAGAAATAGAATCAATGCAGCATCATTGCCACTAACCAAGCACTTGCCTTCTCTTTTTTTCCTACCAATTTTGATAGGAGTTCACAAAAATCCTGTCAGCAACAAAATAAAACCAAAAGAAAAAAACAAAGCAGTCCACAAGGAAGGTCAGAGATTAAATAATGTGTAATGGCATTCTTTGGCAACAGAAATCAGAATTCCCAGAGTAGAGAGCTATTTTCAAGACTAATTTAAAGGATATTCTTTGGTTTCATCACTGTCTAGGATCCCTGAGCCACCATGAAAGAAGTCTAACTACTCTGCTGGAGAAACCATGTGGAGAGACCTTGAGAATACATAAGAAGTTGGACTCAAGCCCAACCTTTCAGACGCCCTTCTAAGGCATCAGGCCTGTGAATGAACACATTTTTGGCCCTCCAGATCACTCCAACTGCCTAATCAATACCAACGAGTGTTCACAGTCAACATCACATGGAGAGAAGTTGCCCAGCCAAGCCTTGCTCACTGTCCTGACCAACAAGTCATAAGATATAATAGCTGCTGTTTCAAGCCACTAAATGTTGGGTAGTTTGTTACAGAGCTACACAACCACAGATAACCAGACTAAGACTCAAATGTTCTCAGCCCAGAAATATGGACTCTCACAAAGAAGAGTTAAAGCAGATACCAAACATTAGTAATTCCTGTCTTCCTACCTGTTTCAAGATAGGTAACATACGTATGTTACACAGAAAAACCTCAAGAATTTCCAGTTAAATGCTATTTCATACTCCCCTTCAATCTCCCTATACTGTAACCCTTCCTTCAACCCTTGTTTATGGGTTACCATGAAGCACGTCCCCAGGTATTGTCACATTAGCTTGTTATAGGAAACAGAGCAACAACACCTCAATAGCAATGACCACATCTGGTACCCACATCTTTGGTTTCTAAATATCATTCTCCACTCCTTGGAAAACAGACTGATTCCAAGGCTGAGACAGGAAAGTACAAGGCCTGAAATAACTTACTGCACCAAAAATGGAAACAGTGTTCAAATAATGATGGAGGCATTTCAAAAGAACATTTCAAAAGCTAGGAGCCAGCTTGACAGGACTCTCGCTAATCAAATTTGGGACAATCTGAACAACAACAAAAAAAATGATAGTGTCAGATTACAACCCCTATGAGAAAAATCTATGAGTCCAAGTGAATATAAATACATGTGTGAATAAATAAAAAGAAGAGAAATGTGTCCTTACAATAAAATGCCAACTAATAAATGTAGAAGGAATGACAGAATAAGAAAACTACCATCATTAAGTACAACTGATTTGGTCAAGAATCATCAGTGGATGCTAAAATGAGTACATTAGGGTCAAAGGCAGAATAGAATTTACACATGAAAGGATGAACCAACAACAGCAAAAAATACAGAATCACTTCTAAGTTTTTCCTGCTAAAAAATAGATAAGATGAAATTAATAATGAAGAAGCATCAGACAAGCCGAAATTGAGGGACATTGTGCAAAATACCTGGCCTATTCTCTTCAAAAATAGTATGGTTATCAAAGTATCAAGTAACTGTTCTACAATGAAGGAGACTTTTAAAACATAAGAAAATGCAATAAATAATTCTAGATTGGATTATTTTGCTCAAAGGACAACCAACATTTGCCTGGGGTCCGTGGATTAGATGAGTGTGCTTTGCCTCCTTCCCTGATGTTGAATAGTTCTGCCATGATGATGTACTAGAGGATCCTTTTGGGGTATTATGTATTAAAGCATTTAGGGGTAACCAGTCTCGTGTTTTCAATTTACTCACAAGTAGTTCAATAAGAGAAAAAAATCATCATAAAGCCTATGTGGTAAAACGTAAGCAACTGCATCTGTGAGTGAAGGATCTAAAGAGTTGTTTGTATTATGATTACAGCTCTTCTGTTAAGCTTGAAATTATTTCAAAAGTTAAATGAAATCACTTATCCTCTCCTAT
The DNA here is from genome assembly GCF_000001405.40 of Homo sapiens. Lineage (NCBI taxonomy): Eukaryota > Metazoa > Chordata > Mammalia > Primates > Hominidae > Homo > Homo sapiens. Next base: position 112,320,108 of record NC_000005.10, read on the forward strand.
TCAAGGCACTTGAGAAGTTCCGGGCCTTGCTCATTCTTCCACCCAATAGAACTCTCTTGGTCACCCTGCATCTTGCTCTCTTCTTTCCATCCTGCCCAACTCTCTCAGTCCTTTCATCCCTTTTTCAGAGACCAGTGAAGGAAGAAAGCTGTGTGAGAAAAGAGGAAGGAGAAGGCTGTGACCCACTCTATAGCAGTCATCTGCATTCCATCATACAACATAATCCAGGATTCTGCTGCAAGTATGGGTTTTATGATACATTATAACTTTCCCCCTTAACACAAAAGCCCTCTAAAGTGACCCAAGAAACATTTCACTGAAGTCATTTTAACATTTATAACCATTCTTACTTTTGTTATCACTAAAGTGTTCTACAAAAGGGTAATTCTTTAAAATTGCAGTAACAGTGGGGCAGGGGATTGGCTTATGTCCTCCTGTTAACAGCCTGTTTCCGATTCTACAAGAATAGCCTGGGAACTTAAGTTATCCCACATGAGAGATAAAAGCTCTGGAGATAGAGAGGTTGAAGGGGAGTATGGACAAAACAAGCTACTTTCTCATTATTTATTTCCACTGACGTATTTAAGACAGAGGTCACAAACAGAAGCCCACTTTTTATTCAGTGGCCTACGTAGTGATGGGAAGATCAGGAAATGTTATATTCTGCCTCTTCCAGCAACCCAAAGCACATGGCAAAAATCAGCAGGAACATCCCTGCAGCTTCCCTGCTAAGTGGGAAATGGGCTCTCCAGCTTACAGGTGTCTTCCACTCCCTGTGGTCTAAAACTCTGCTACTTCATTCATTTAAGGGAACTCCCCAACCCATGAATGTGTCTGAGTTGGCGCCCCCACTGTGAGGGGCCAAAAGTAAATGACTTCAAGTTTCCTGAAAGGTTGAAAGAAAGGGTCGTGAGATTACAGGCCATCGAGACTTCAGGGTGTTCATATCTTGCCTGGTCAGATGACAGTATGTAGGAAATTCATAATTATGAGCCGGTTTACATCAGGATGCTAGATGGAGAGGCAATTCTAAAAGCTTGGGATCACAGAGGAGAGAACACGACAAGAGTCAGAGAAGCTACAAGAGGAGAGATGTTGCCAGATCAGGACTGGAAGACCAATGGGCATTGGGGTTGGGGTAGAAGTGAAAAGGCCACAAGAAAATGACATTCGCAAGATATATTCCTGACCTGCTTTTCTTCTCACCTTTCCTGCAGTAACACAATGACCAAGGTGAGCATTCTGTGCAAAGGATGCATTCCTTAAGACATTTCATAATCCGGTACTTATTTCCCCACAGGAATCACAGGAAAGCAGAGGGATGCTCTTTTAGGGCACACAAATCTGCAACTGCCTTAATACTGCTTTATTTGATGGAAAAACATACTGCATTATTATGTACATTATTTGGCAAAATGCTCTCTCCTAAATTAATAACAGCATAGCTTATTACCATGGCAGTTGCTGAGCTATTTTAATAATGTTTATGACATCTAACTTCTGCTTCAAGTTACTCATTTGGGGAGCATTTCTGCCCTGGTCTTAATGTACCACAACCAAAAGAATACTGAGAGAATACTTTTTTCCCAAATAAAAAGGGCTTTTTAAAATATAATAGTAAATGTTCAAATAATAGCATAGTAGATGCCAAAATTTGCTGCAAAAGTTCCAATGCATAGGTGTATTTAACCTATACTAACTGAAGATGGTGCATACTACTTTTTGCCAGGCAAAGCAGCCCCATGATGTGGCTGTGGCAGAAACACTGTTTATAACTCAGCCTCCCACCTTTAAACCTGTGTAATTTTTGAAAAAATTTCTTTAACCTGGGGGAAATTCTAAGTTTAAAAGATAAAGGGAGGCTTCATTAACATTTTTATGTCATAGTTCAACATTACATAAGTCATAATCAGATAAAATAATAAAACCAGTAACAATAACATCTATCAGCACATATTATACTTTACGTGTACTAACTCATTTAATTCTCAGAGCAGCCCCCTGAGTTAGAGATAAGAATAACAGCTAAATACTATTTGTGTGTGGCAGGCACTGTTATAATAGCACTGCATCTTCTCATAAATGTGAAACTTATTTAACCATGATAGCAATTCAAGGAAGAAGGTATTATTTTCCTCATTTTAGAGACAAGATCATTGGAAACCATAGGCTAACTTAGCCAAGAATACGCATACAGAGCCAGGATTAAAATCCAGACTAGCTCTAGAACCTGTGCTCTAACATGCACTCATATTTTACTGGGAGAACTAAAGTTTGAGTATGAGGCCAAAGCTCTATCAAAACTGCTACTAAGGAGAGCACTCTCAAATTCTCTGTGTCAGAGCTAAAGGACCCACCTGGGTAAACCACAGATTTTAAAGTTCCCTAAAGTGCCCTAGCCAGAAATCTAAGTCGGTTCTACTTAGGAAGGCACTGGGGTTGATGCTTGGAAGAACTGTCTAATCCTACCGACCCCAGCAGACCTCAAAGGTCACTGTGCCGGTGAGCCAAACTGCTCTTGAGAACCAAGCCTCCTCCCCATACCTCAGCTGATGGGTCCCAGTTTGACGGCTTATAGCCATCCACTATGAGACACACACACACACACACACACACACACTCACACACACACCCCACACACACACACCTGTCTTCCACTACTTGATGTTTTGCCACTGCTCCAGAGTGCTCTTAGCCTGCCTGATAAATAGGAACCCATCAAAGACAAAGAAAAATAACAACCCATGTAAGGGGTCTCCGCAACTTGAATGAGAGAGACCAAGATGAATAACCAGAACAAATAGGGCCTATGAAAAAGACAGAAGAAGGTAAAGGGGGAAAGGTAATGGGGACTTTCAAGAAGATACAATTAGAAGACAAGAAAGGCTTTCTAAAGCTATTTGATTTCTGAAATTAAAGTTTCAATAGACAAGATGAAAAAAGTATAGTCGTTGCCAAGAATCCATTCAGAGTTCTGAAAGATCAAACAAACATTGTAGGTAAAAATATCAGAGATGTGGAAGATGTAACCAGAAGACAAAACATGCAGATAACAGGCTTTCCTGGAGGACAGACAACAACAAATAAGACATAACTGGAAAGGAGGGAAGAGGGAAGGAGGGACAAAATAAAAGAAAACCTCCCTGAGATGAAAGAAGGGATAATTCTCTAGACTGAAAGGGCTCCCAGCAAGCTTAGGCAGCAATAAGAAAAGACACATGCCTAGGCTTGGTAAAATATTTAAACTGAGAACCCAAATTATCTGTAACCACACATCTTACTATCTATACTAGCATGACTTTACTACTCAACTGTCTACATTAACATGACTTCACTATTTAAGGGAACTCTGACCCAAGAAGATGAAGTTACAAATAACTTTACTGTTTCTTACAGAACTTTCCAAAAACTTATTTATGTGAACAGGCAACTCAACTACTCCTTATTAAGTAAATACCCTCTACTCAGTCCCACAAATCTTATTTTATCAAAAACGTTGTCTAATTATATGTCCCTGCGTTGAACAACGTACCTTAAACCAGACCCTAAAAAGTCTCATAAATTCCCCATCTTTGCCCTCCTTCCTCTGAAATGGTCAGTGTAACAGTCTCCCTTACCACAGTAAGCAATAAACTGGGTTTTGCTTTATTTAGAGGTTATTCTGCAACCTTTTTGGGGAATCAGTAGTCACAGACTAAAGATAAAAAGGAAACTATATAGTCAAACAAACTGAACAGTGGATTTATAGAGGAAAAAGAACCAGATTAGCATTAGATTTCTCAAATGCAACACTGGAAACTAGAGCACAATTAAACATTGACTCCTGAGAGAAAACTCCCAGCCAAGATGTTGTTCACCTGTCAGGGCAAGCAAAAGGCCTTTTTTCAACATGCAAGAACTTAGAAGCTACTTAACCAATGAACCCAATCTAAAGAAATCTTTGAGGATATGCTCTAATAGACAGAGTTCTAAAGATATGAAAGATCAAGAGAGAGAAAAGTGGCACAGTGTATCTAAATGAGGCCAACATAAGCAGGAATTTACAATTTAACTATTGTTTTAAGGAGAAGAGACATACAGGAAGAGAAAACTTAACAGATGAGAACGAAAAATTCTAAACTATCTCAGTAAAACTAAGGGGGGATATTTATTTTTAATTTTTGTAATCAATATAGAATTTTAAATTACAGCTGTTCTGAAAGTTTCTAGTGAGAAAGTAACCACAGTAGGATTTTTTAAAAGGTAGGAAATTCTGTGTTAATGATGAAGTGATACAAAACTAAAGCAGAGGTCAGGAGTTTGAGATCAGCCTGGTCAACATGGTAAAACCCTGTCTCTACTAAAAATACAAATGGTGCCTGTAATCCTAACACTTTGGAGGCCGAGGCGGGCAGATCACGAGGTAAGGAGTTCAAGACTAGCCTGGCCAACATGGTGAAACCCCATCTCTACTAAAAATACAAAAATTAGCCAGGCGTGGTGGAACGCGTCTGTAGTCCCAGTGACTCGGGAGGCTGAGGCAGGAGAATCACTTGAACCCAGGGGCGGAAGTTGCAGTGAGCCGAGATCACACCACTGCACTCCATCCTGGGTGACAGAGTGAGAGTCTGTCTAAAAAAAAAAAAAAAAAAAATTAAAGCAGTATGACTCAAAGATGTCACAAAAAATAAGGGGAGGGGACAGAGAATTGAAGAGAAATTTGACCATGCAGCAAAAGAGTAAATAATAATAAAGTATAATAAACAGTAAATTAAAAACAAATGAAAAGAATAAAATAAATAAGTATTTATGATACTAAATGTGTGGTAGATGAGCTACAACAATCTTTTTGAAAAGTAATGAAACAGTAGCTATCATCATACTTGTAACTAGCTATCTCACTTAGGAAGAATCTATTCTATGGAAATAAAAGTGCCAGGTATACATACAAGGATGGCTGTTAGTAGTAAAAATAAAATCCCCTAATTTGGATGACCATCAATAGAAGAATTGTTGAATAAACTGTAGTCATCCAAACTGCGAGAAATTACGCACAATTAAAAAGAGAGTCAGGGCCGGGCGCGGTGGCTCACGCCTGTAATCCCAGTACTTTGGGAAGCTGAGGCGGGCAGATCACGAGGTCAGGAGATCAGGACCATCCTGGCTAACATGGTGAAACCCTGTCTCTACTAAAAATACAAAAAATTAGCCGGGCGTAGTGGCACACGCCTGTAGTCCCAGCTACTTGGGAGGCTGAGGCAGGAAAATGGCATGAACCCAAGAGGTGGAGCTTGCAGTGAGCGGAGATAGCGCCACTACACTCCAGCCTGGGTGACACTGCGAGACTCCGTCTCATAAAAAAAAAAAAAAAAAGGGAGAGTCAGATAAATGTGTGTTGAACTCAAGTGATGCCCATAAAGTACTTTAGCTATAAAAGCAGAGTAGAGTTTTAAATGGGTGGTAAGAAGCTATTATTTTTCTTTATGCATCTCTGTATTATTTTTAACTTGTTAACATCATGCTTTAGTAATTTCAAAAATGTCTTAAGAAAAGGTAATGAGGAGGTCATTTCAAAGCCAAAGAACAGCACAGACCAATGTTCAGAGGTAGCTGAAGGGTGAGTTGGGGACGTAGGTTTCATCCAGCCCTACTTGCAACCTCGGCAGGCTGCTTAACCACTCAGTTTCTCAGTTTCTTCATTTGTGAGATGGGATAACTGAACTCAGTAAAGGTCATCCCCAGCTCTGGTATTCTATGAATATGTTAAGAAAACTACAGGACGGGCACAGTGGCTCATGCCTGCAATCCCAACTACAGCAACTCAGGAGGCTAAGGTGAGAGGATTGCTTGAGGCCAGGAGTTTGAGACCAGCTAGGGCAACATTGTAAGACCCATCTCTAAATAAATTTTTAAAATTAGCCAAGTGGGTGGCACACACCTGTATTTCCAGCTACTTGGGAGGCTGAGGCAGGAAGATTGCTTGAATCCAGGAGTTCAAGGCTAGAGTAAGCTATGATCATACCACTGTACTCCAGCCTGGGAGACACAGTGAGACTCCATCTCTTAAAAAAAATTTTTTTTAAATTAAACTATACACCAAACCATTCGAAATCTTCCACTGACTGCCTCTCTTTCCTAACATTAACATCCCCAGGATCAGGTGGAGGGTCGGTGCCCCCAATCCACCTCAAAGGCATGCCAAACCCCGCATCCAGAAGGAAATTCCATCACAGGGTTATAACTGCCAGACCTACACACAACCACAACACACAAATAGTTCACCAGAGCCTTTTTGTCAAACTGGGCCCTCCCAGTTTCATGGCAGAGGCAACAAACCCCCTTAAGGAATTATGGGCTAAGCAGTAATTCAAAATAATTTTAGTAAAAAACACTTTTTTCCATCTGAAATTTCTATAAAATATAAAAAGGAAAGATTGCTATTAGAACAAAAGTTCTACCAATGGGCTTTTGTCTTTGTAAGCTCTCTCAACTCATCATGCCTCTGCTGTGTCTTGTTCCAGTGCGCTGCTATTTCATTTACCATTGCTTACTTCGGCACTCCTAAAAAGGATGTTATGTGTGGCAGTTCACACTGCAAAATGCCAGTACTCTCCTGAACTCGCCCACTGTCTTCTGTTTTCATTACTACTTCCTTTATTCCTTTCCCTGCTTGTCTCTACTTTTAAGAATCAATCAAATGACTAATAGCCATTTACACATCTACACCATGTAACTTCTACATTCAATCAAATCTTCATAGGCAGCAGAGCAATAACAGTCATCACAGAATCCTTTAATCATTTAACAAATTGAACTCAGGATTCATTAAAAAAATATTCACTGATCACCTACCAATCACACTGTGCTAGAGACTTAACACTTCAATTAACCCTCACGACTATACTAGAGACCTTTAATACTGAGGTACTAAATCTTACAAACCTTACAATTGTGTCCCCACAAGGCAAGAGTAATCTCAATTTCACAAATAGGGAAAACAAGGCTGAGAAAACTCAGCTGAGCGAGTTGCAAAAGCCAAGAGCTAAAACCCAGATATAAGCCCTGGCCTTCTAAGTGCATGGTCTTTCCTGGACAAGACATTAAGACTCAAAATAATGAACAACATTTCTCACTAGGATGATTAGAAAAGGCTTTGTTAAAAAAAATTCAAGACATTATATACTCAAACAAGACTTCTATAAAGAAGAAGCTCCTCGTGTTTAAATTAAATGATTCTAAGAAATAAATATCCTCTAAAACTACCTTTAAGGATGTAGCAATGTCAAAACTACCTGTACCTACTCAGTAAGACATACCTGTTTCTCTTGTGGTAAGAATTGCAACTTAGACTGGGTGCAGTGGCTCACACCTGTAATCCCAGCACTTTGGGACACAAAGGTGGGAGAATCACTTGAGGCAAGGAGTTCAAGACCAGCCTAGGCAACACTGCAAGATCCCATCTCTACAAAAAATTTAAAAATTAGCCAGGTATGGTGACATACAACTGTAGCCCTAACTACTCTGGAGGCTGGGTTGGGAAGATAATTTGAAAGCCCAAGAGTTTGAGGCTGCAGTGAGCTATGATCACACCATTGCACTCCAGCTTGGGTGACAGAGTGAGATCCTGTCTCAAAAAAAAAAGAAAAGAATTATAAACTACAAACTTTAGCTACAAATAGAAGCACTGCACCTACAGTAAACATCTCGCAAGTAACAGAAAGGGAGAGAGGGAGGGAAGTGGGCAAGCAGAACTGGATTAGCAATGGGGTTTGGTTGTCCAGTCAAACCATTCTTCATGTTCACTGCAGTTCTACCATACATTTTCACTACATGCTGCCTCCACTATGAATTCATTTTGTTTCTGTTCATCCCTTTTCATTTTGTTCTAATATTTGGGCATTACAGTCCTTTAAAAAGATGCTATAAAATATTGGGGGAGAAGGCCGGACACGGTGGCTCACGCTCGTAATCCCAGCACTTTGCGAGGCCAAGGCAGGCAGATCACAAAGTCAGGAGATCGAGACCATCCTGGCTAACACAGTGAAACCCCATCTCTACTAAAAATATAAAAAATTAGCCGAGTGTGGTGGCACACACCTGTAGTCCCAGCTACTTTGGAACCTGAAGCAGGAGAATCACTTGAACCCAGGGGGCAGAGGTTACAGTAGGCCAAGATTGTGCCACTGTACTCCAGCCTTGGTGACACGGCGAGACTCCGACACAAAAAAAATAAAAAATCTTGGGGGAGAAAGATGTGAGAAGTTAAAATAATTCTAGTTGCACTTGGCTTTCCCAAAGAAAGATTATTACAAATAAAGATCTGTATTTTTGAACAGGAAGGGATGTATATCTGATAACCACTTTTCCATGGTTATATCTAAACTCATTTTTAACAAATGAAGTGATTTGGGATATTGCTATATAAATAATAAAATAGATCTAACATAAGAAACTTGCCCCAGAGTTGATTAATAACCAGAGTGGAGGCTAGAACCCATTTCTCCTGACAGCTCACTCTTCATCAAGCTCACTGATTTAAAACACCATTCAGGTTAACCCTCTGTAAGTAATCAATACGCACCTAGAAGTTTTAATCAAATCAGATTTTAACGTTGACACTTTTATTCCTGAAATGGCTGGACTTAATACTCAAATAACAAAGCTTCTAGTAAAACTTCTCAATTCCTTGCATTTTTTGGTTAGTTGATACATTAGAATGAAACACAAATGTGCTAAAAGAATTATTTAAAGTCTACATAATGAATTACCTTATGTGAATCACTAACTCCTAAATCACAAGTTTTGAAAACAGGTTTTCTTGCATCATTCTTAAACCAAAGTTCATAGTTTTTCCATTCTAAGAAGGTTTAACCAAAATGTACAGTGAAATAGTGGCAAATGCACAGTGAAATGTTTCAAAGCAACTTGAACAGTGTGTGTTTAACCAGCCCTTAACCTGAGAGCTGTGCAGTCCGATACGGTAGCCACTAGCCATGTGTGGCTGCTAAGTCCTTGAAATGCAGCTGGTCCAAATTGAGATGTACTATAAATATAAAATACACACTGGATTTTGAAGACCATATAAAAACAAAATTGCTAATTTTTTATTGATTACATGTTGAAATAATATTTTAGATATATTGAATTAAATAAAACGTTATTAAAATCATCCTTTTTACTTTTTAAATGCAACTAGCTGAAAATTTTAAAATTACAGATTTGGTTCTTATCATATTTTACTGAAGAGCACCATAGTGAAGTTTTTCTTACCAAAGGAACACAACTGCTGATAGCTGGCTGCCTGAGTTGGAGAAAGGACACTACTAGCTCTCATTACTAATTCTCTTAATACAAACCCTCCCTATTTAGTCCTGGCTCTGCTATTAACTAGCTGGGTGACCTGGAACTGCCACTTAATCTCTCTGGCCCTAAATCCTCATCTATAATCCTAGACAACATCTAATACCAAGTCATCATTTTAAACAATGAAGATGCTGAGACTCCACATTTCCTGCCTTCCGGTTCATGGCTCGTTTCACTGCACTACTGCACCATACACCCTTTCTGATTTTATCTGTTCAGTGGCTCCACAATACAACTCTAATCCCAGGGACTGCCCTGCAAATGAAATCCATGTCACTCTCTACAGGAAAAAGGGGGTGTGAATGGATCTGAGTACACCTAAGCCATTGTGGGGGAAATACTTTCAGCACCCCACCCCCTCTTCAGTTGAAGGTAGCAAGCCATTCCCACAGTGGGTGGCCCGCAGGGTTATCTGCCACATCAAAAAGAGAGGCTTTATGGTACTCTACCAAGCATCCTTACAGGTCTCCACAAGGCTATGTGACTGTCGGCAAGTCTGCTGAATCACTTTCAAACCGGATGTCCTTATTTGCAAAACAAATTAATAATATCTGCCCAACTGCACCACAGACTGGCTTGAAAGATCAAATAAAATGAATCTGGAGGCTTTAAAAGTATAAAGTATACTTTATACTTTTAAAGTATATGGTAGCAAGAACGGCTTGCTACCTTCAGCTGAAGAGGGGGTGGGGTGCTGAAAGTATTTCCCCCACAATGGCTTAGGTGTACTCAGGTCCATTCACACTCCCTTTTTCCTGTAGAGAGTGACATGGATTTCATTTGCAGGGCAGTCCCTGGGATTAGAGTTGTATTGTGTATAAAGCACCATATGGATAGTTAAGGTCTCATTCTTACCATAAAATGCTAGCCTAACCTGTACACAATCAGTGTCTCGGTTTTGCACTAACCAGGTTCTGCAGAACTGAAAGATGACAATAGGATACATTTTGGTAATTTGCTAAATTCATTTCTTTTTTAAGGGAAAAAATAAGGGTTGATGTACCTCTCGCATTGTCTTAAGTTTTAAAAAAGCAGGATGCAGGGTATCAGTGGCTTGCATGCATCCTGTATTTATTAAGTAGCAGCCATTGTTCCAAGTTATTAACATTATCAGATTCAATCAGAAGAATCCATACTGCAGATGAGAAAACTGAGGAATGGGGGGTAACTAGCCCAATGCCTTAAACATGGTAAGCAGAAGACGCAGAATTTGAACCCAGGCCAGCTGGCTGTGGAACCCATGTTTGCAACTGTGCTATCCTGCCTCTAGTGTGCAGAGTATTCTATTCTATCTTTGGTATAGGTTTAAAAAAAAAAAAGGATTATACTTCTGGGTCTGTGTATCAATATATGTTAATATGCATATTTTCATATAGATTTAGAAAAAAATCATCAAGAGTGATTACCTTCGGAGACAGCAGTTAGGAGGATGGAGTGTGGACAGGGTGAGGAGGGGCCTGCACTCTTCATTGTGTAAACTTCAGTACTGTTTCCATTTCCTGACCTTACGTATCTTGTTGAGGTCAACAGGCCATCTTCCGTAACAGAAGTCATCTTTAAATATGTGAAGGAGCTACCTTTCTCTTCTTAAAAATCCTTACCCAAAATGGTAAGGAAGCCACAGATTCTGTGTCAAGCAAGCCTGAGTTCCAATCTCAGTTCCCACTTCTTAATACTCACACAAATTTGGAAAAGTTTCTTAACTCTCTGTGCCCAGCTTCCTCTTCTAATGGAGGGCATGGAGGGACAACTCCATCTTCCTCACAGGTTTGTTGTGAAGGTCAATTTGTGCCAAAAACCCGGTCCAGAACTGGTGCCCTGCTATCATTCCAACACATTACCTTCCAACCCGTCCTCTCCTACAACTACCCAGTTCTGCTGGTTTTACATATAAACAAACCAGTGGAGAAGTGTTGACCATGCTATACCAGACAAAAGGCCCCAAACTGGAGGTCAAAATTCACTTCCTGCTTTCCTTGTTTATAACACACAGTGGGCACACAGCCTCAGGGATCCCCCAACTGAGTGTTCCCTGGGGTATCAGAGGGCTGGCATGCCCTGCTCCTCACTGATACTTTGTATATAGCATTGTCTGCCATCTGAACCACAGAAATACTTGGTGCCTGGGGCCAGAGCAGCTGAGGGTACCTGGTGAAGGCTGCCCAAGCGGGGCCTTCTGGGTACTATTGCTGCACCCCAATGAATGTCAGCAAAGTTCTCAGTCCCCACCCTGACACTGTATAAGCAGGATGCAGGATCTTCGCAAGTCCAGCTGATGGAGTTGGGAGGCAAGGGCCCTCGGCCCCCAGAAGCAAGTGGCCACCAGTCCCTTAACCAACATGAGTGACAGCAGCTGGAGGCTACCAACTCCATAAGGGATATGCTGTCCATGGCCCCCACAAGGTGCCTGCTTCTGAGGGCGTATTAGAACTACCTGGGTTTTTTCAATGCTAATCCCTGACCTTTCACCCTGCGCTGTCCAAGTGACTCCCAAGAACAGCCAGGGGTTAGAATCATAGGAGCATTTCTTGTTAAGAAACAAGACTACTCCAAAAAGCTCCCTCTCAGACCAAATGAACTGGGAACAGGAACAGAAACCGAAGGAATCTAAGGGATCTGGTGTGTGAACCAAGAAGGAAAGCAAAGGTTATCTGGACTTCCTCCTCTATCCTCAAGGAGGGAGTTCCAACACTGCTGCAGAGTCCTGCCTCTATTGTTCCAATTCCAGAATCTTAAGGATAGTGAGAAGAATAAAACACAGTCTTTTTGTTTTTAGTTCTCTATTCCTAACTATCATCCCATCTTTCTTTTGTCCACTTTTTCTCCTGTTTAAATTATTCTTGATGAAACATACACCCTTAGGTGGGTAGTACTATTTGCATTATTTGAAGTAATTATTTGGCTTGGGGACCACCCAGGACCTTGACTCCTCTTTTGTCTTTGTCACTGCCCATGTCACCATTAGTGGTATTTCAGAGTGTGAAAGGGTCTGCCATGAAATACATGCGTATTGATTTTTATTTTTTAAAGACCATAATAAAACTCTGGCTGAAGAGAGATGCATGGCACCAATGCTCCTGAATGACACCCCAGACTCTCTCTGGAGTCAGTCTTCTACTCCCCAACCTGGACAATGATTTTTCATCCCTGATTTTCTTTCTTTTCCCTCTTCCTTTGTGCATTCTTTTTTTCCTAAGCCTTATATTTGACTGACACCAGGTTATATTTTAGTCCCCCCTGCTAATTCTCGGAATAACAGAAGTTACCAACAATACAGTTACAATTAGCAACTGAAAATATGCACAGATATGGTGGAAGTTTGGCTTTTTAAAAACTCTGCCATATCTTCTAAAAAGCACATTATTCTTTTTGTAGAATTGCTTATACTTTTTGTGGCTATTTATAAATAGTAAAAGGCTTTCTTCCGTTACTGTTTTGAAAGCAACACAACATACCATCAAGACATTAGTGCCCAAGGTTTGCAGAAAGGTTCTCAGACACTCAGATCACACACAGCATGTGGTATGGAAAGAAGAGAGAAATGGTGGGTATTGATTTATAAGCATAAATTGCATTTAAGATATTATAGAGTTCCCAATGCCTCTAAAAAATGTGAAGATACTGCAATCATTAGTAGCTACTCTGCTGCTCAATAGCTCCCTTACTGCAGGACTATTATCTTTCTCTATCGGTTTAAAATGGAGGCACCCAAAGGGCTTAGAGCAGATCACAGTTGAGTCTCTGGCTGAGAAGCTGCACCCTGAGCAGGTTTCATTTCTTGGGGCAAGCTCCTAATTCCTTTCTGCTGGCCCTCCCCTCTAGGAAATATATTGGGGGGTGGGAGAGGGAGATGTCAAAAAGGGGGGAAGGGAAAACGGCAGGAATGTGCATGTCAACTGCATGCTGACCTTACCAGCCAATTAAGGAAATGCTCGGCTGGTCTCCGCAGGAAGCTGCAGCCAGTCTCCGATGGAAGGATAATGACTGTGACACCAAGCCCCAGGAGAAGGAGTGTGTGTGAATATTAAGTAAACACACATATTGACAGACAAAGCAGAGACAATCCAGGATGCTGTGTTTGCAGCCCCTATTCTCAGAAATGGATAGGTTGGTCATGAGGAGAGAATGCTGTCTTCTCAATTGCCTGACTCTCTGGTCCTGTTTTCTCCCCCACTCTCTCCCCTCCACTCACACACCGTATGAGTTGCAGTCTCTCTCTCTCTGTTACATACTGACAGCAGATCTAATGCCACTTTTCCAAGACACATGTCACCAGTTCTCTTTTTGCATAAATGCTTTTCTGGCAACCCGGCTGTCTGCCAGGGCCTCTGATTAGCCAGGAGGGATATCACATTGAATTATTCTATGTTCACACTTGATACTGTTACCATCAGTTTCCCCCATAAATGTAAAGAAGCAGCTAGCTCAGCACCAACCTTAGATCATCTAAAGGACTGCAGTATACTATCAACAGCGTAAACCAAAAATAAAATTCTAAGTTTCCCAAACTGATGGAATGGACCCTCCTCTCATCCAAGGGGACCCAGTGAAACCTGAAAAACTAGTTCAGGCCATGATGGGAACGGGTTGCGGGGTGAGGGCAGTCAGACAGTCAGATGTGCCTTATTATACGCTCCTCCCTTTGGAGTTCAGGCACACAGCCAACCATTATTAATATTAAAATAAAGATCCTAAAACTGACAAAACAAACCCTTTTTGTAGCAACAAGATACCAATTCCAACCTGACTTTGGTATATAACATCACATACATCACATAACAAATAGCAGACCCTAAAAGGAAATCAAAGTATTTTACCCCAAAATATATTTCTTTGACATATTTTGAAATGGCCCTGCAAAGCTGTCTCTTGTGGGGGAAATTTACATTCTGTGTAGAATCTCTTTCCCAAGTGCTTTTCTGATCCTGAAGAGATTAGCTGAGAGTCTAGCACCTTTTATATATCTCAATAGGAAATATTTGCCATCTATTGCCTCTAAAGATGGCCACATATGAGACTTCATCTACATAATACAAACCTTAGTCTCCACAACCCCTTATCTTAACCCAGACACTCCTTTCTATTGATTCCAGGTCTTTATATAATAATTTATCTCTGTCTACCAACTGCCAGTCAGAAAAATCTTTAAATTCCCCTATGACATGTAACCCCATCATTCCCTTTGTGCTGTCCCACCTTTCTGGGCCAAACCAATGTATACCTTACATGTATTAATTTATGTCTTTGCCTGACTTCTGTCTCCCTAAAATGTATAAAACCAAGCTGTAACCCAACCACCTTGGGCGCATGTTCTCAGGACCTCCTGAGGCTGTGTCATGAGTCATGATCCTTAATTTTTGCAAAATAAACCCCTAAACTGATTGAGACCTATCTGAGACATGTTTTGGATTACAACAGTGAGTATAAGAAAATAAAAACTGATATAAGGGGTCTGGGTATTTCACAGATGTCCTACCAAGCAAAGATCAAACTTTAGGAGAGAACACAACTTTAGGAAATGTTTCACAAAACACTGGCCTATACTAGGGTACAGCCTCACCCCGAAAGTCATGTTCATTTTCGTGAAGTCAATATGGCCCAGGAATAACCACTCTGTCAAGTAGAGGAACAAAGCCTCCTGGCTTTGCACTGATTGGGCACAAAGGAGCCCTGGACACAGGATGTCTCGTCAGGTCCTGGCCAGGGCTTGGCACAGAGTACAGGAGGGCAGGGGAGAGATTTCCATTGCCAAGAGGCACAAAAACAAAAGCAACTGTGCTAGAGTCTGTATCTATTAACACCCAAGCACCAACTCACAGAGGGGATCAGTGTTAAGGACCCTCCTTCTTGAACAGTCAGACACCTTTTAAGCCTTATAAGAGGAAGATTAATCGATTTAACAGAAAAAAAGTGAACCTAATGTAGATGTATAAGCAGAAAATGTTTACCACTTTCTTTGAAATCTTACCAGATCTATATAGTTTAAGAGATACAGAATATGAGAAAAAGCAGTCCAGTAGGTTGAATGCTTCTAGACATTCATGTCTATTAAATCAGGCCCTCAAACTGGCATTTTCCAGATGGCCATTTTACCAAATTACGCCAGTCAGACATTTTTACGACTAGAACAGGATTTCTGGGCATGAACCTGACCATGGCTCTCCACCTCCACAGTCATTGCCTGATAGGAGGCATCTCCACTACTGCAAGTGCCTCCTAACTGGTGTCCCCATATCTACTTCTGCTCCTGTCTCCACAGAGCAGCCAGAGAGAGAGAATTTTAAGATGCAAACTTAACATCTTCTGGTTTAAAATTCTTCAATGGCATTCCAATATAATAAAAACAAAAACCAAATTATCTACACCTTGATCTCCAAGCCCTCTCTCCATGATCTAGTCATGACCCATCACAGCTGGTGTTTCTCTCCCCTCACTCTGAGGGTCCAGCCACTCTGGACTTCTTTCCACTGATGCTTCACACCTGCTATCTCCTTCGTCTAGAAACAGTACCGTCCCCCAGTCTTTTTTAATCCATCAGGCACCACCCTCACACGCCCTCAAAGTTGTGTTTCATGATTCCCTACACCAGGCAAGGAAAGGCCTCCTGGAGGAAATGAGAACTAACAAATGAGGAGGGTTTGGATAAGTGGGATGGGAAGGGTCTTCCAAGAAAGAGGGAAACACAAGTGAAGGCACAAAGGAGTATGAGAAAGCAGTCACACATTACTAGTTCAAGGAGCAGTGGCAAATCCAGAAACAAACACATTTTAAGTTAATTTTAAGACCAAAGATGGATGGGGAGGGGGCAGTGGAAATTGAACCTGCATCGACTTGTTTGAGAAAGTGCAGGTCAAAAAGCTTCAAAGTGGGCTGTTCAGAGTTAGGTGGAGTAAGGCGCTTTCCTCTGCATGTCACTGGTTGGGGGCGGGAGTTCAATTCCAGAGTATGAAATAGGAGGCCTGTGGCATTATTCTTTCCTGTGTTCCAGAAGGCAGATTTCCTCATCCCGCCAACCCCTTTAAAAGGCTTCAAAGTGGGGTGATTCTTTACCCTGTACACATTATACTGTGGTGGTCATTAGAGCTGTTCGCCAAATACTTCCAGTGGTACAAGAGCACTTTCCTGGTCCCCTTGTGATTGGGTGGGGCCCTGTAATTAGGGCTTACCACTGAGTGGATCCAAAATGCAAAACCAAAAAGTTAGTCAGGGTGTGAGAGGCAAAAGTACAGAAAGGAGATGATGACAACATCCAAAGGCTTGGTGGCTGTGCCACTGAGATACAAGGTCAGAAAGCTAGAAAGAGAAGATTTTTAGCTGCAGAAATAATGAGTAGGTGATAGCTTTCAGAATTGACAAATGTCCTAGAGGTATTTGGGGTCAATTACATGTCTTTCAACTTTCTCAAGGCCATGTCTAAAAACAATTTCTGATCTCTCAAGAGCAAAAGCATCTTTTCATTAGAGACTTCCCTTTTACAGTCTGTTCATATACCTTGCTCATAAGACAACAAATACAACCTGTCTGTAGTTATTTCACAGTGCCATTGAGAACCCAAACAACAACAGCTACCTGTCTGTATAGAAACAATATGCATTGTGGACATTAATCATTACCCCTCAGTGTTTACCTTTTGAGCCTGTCACGTGAAGGTTTTGTAAGATGCAATATTTCATCATTAATACTGATAATGCATGTGTACTGGGGCTCTTCAACCATATATAAATGAAATTTTATCAGCTTTTCCTCTGTAATTAATGAGATATCTAGCTACATATAAGTTTCTCTGAAATTCCATAATTTGATCATTACAAAGCCCAAACCCATCTGTTATAGTCAGCTTTGCCACAATTCAGTCTGGTCTAACACAATCTACTATAAAATCCGGTACCACATCCCCTATGTCAAACGTTTGCTGGGTATCTACCATATATCAACCACCGTGTTAAGCACTGTTTTATCAGTAATGCTACTAATAATTGCTAACATTTATTGAACACTTAAGATGTTCAGGCTCTGTTTGAACTGTTTCCATGCAGTATCTCAGTCATCACAAGATCCCCACAGACTGGTGAAACTCCTGTCTCCTTTCATAGACAAAAGGACGGAGGCTCAGAGAAGCAAAGTGATTGACCTAAGGTCACACAGTAAGTGGGAGGACAGCATAACCCCCGAGTTCATATTCCCTGCTACACCATATACAAGGATCCTAATTTCAATAAAGCATCTCCTGCCCTCAAGAGTGTTACAATACATAAGAAGTGATAAGGGCATCTAAACAAAAGCCCTATCTGACCCATATTGTAAAAAAAGTACTGGGGAAAAGGTGCTAGGAAAATTGAGAGGAGAAAGTGAACTCTTCTAATATGAGTGGTCAGGGCAGGCTTCTCACAGATGGAAGCCTTTGGGCCATTCCTTGGAAGTGAAAGTCAGGAGCGGGCATCCCTGGAGGACAGAACAGCAGAAACAAAGGTACCAATGACTGCAAGAAGGCACTGGGCACATGGAAAGACAAAAGAGGACCCCATTTGTCTGAGGGTGAGATATCTCCTAAATCGCTCGCCTTGCCTCCATCCCCTTAGGTTCAGGTCAGGCCTTCAACCTTCTTCCCATCCACATCCCTGCCTCTTACCCTCCAAAATGCCATGTGTCACCTTTTCTAAAACACAAGCAGTGTTCCTTGCCTTAAAAAATATGCCCATGAATACAGTGAAATTCCTCTGGCATGACATTTGAAGCTGACTTTACTAATCTCAGTCTTCTCACACCCCTGAGTATCCCATCTCATCTGCTCTCTAGCCAAACTAAACTGCTACCTTCCCATAGCAGATCAGCTTCTCAGACCCCTTCAAACCTTCAAAGAAGCTACTTTCTTTGTGGGGAGCCCTTTCTCCCTGTCTGCTGGTGACCCCCCTACCAACTCTTCTCTCGGCACTGTCTCAGACTGCCTGCCCACCTGCTCCGGCTCTCTCCAGCATGGCTGGCTCCCTGCTGTTAACCTGAACAAGCCCAATACATGGTCATACCAGGTCGCTGCACCTGTGCTCCCTCACCAGGAAGGCCCTTCAAACCATCAGGTATCCTATGATTTGTTTCCCCCACTGTCTGGAGATGGGGGAGGCTTCCTCTACCAGCGTATATAAAAAAGAACACCCCCCGCCACCACACACAAAAAGATACCTAGCTTTCCATTCTCTTCGTAGCAGTTATAACTTGACAAACACATACACACATTGTGTATTTGTTAACGGCCTCCCTCACCCTCTAGAACAGGGTTGGAAAACTACAACACATGGGCCAAATCTGAGTCACTGCCTAAGCATTTATTAGAACACACGTCCACTATTGTTTTACACATTGTCTGTGGCAGAGTCCAAGAGGTGCAACAGAGACCTAATGGCCCACAAAGCTCAAAATATTTATTGCCTAATCATTTACAGCAAAGGTTTGCCAACTACTGCTCAAGAATGGCTATCTCCCTCTGTCTCCTGCTGTGCTCACACTTTATCTCCAGACCATTTTGGCGCCTTACCTAGCATGCAGTAGGCACTCAGAGAACATTTGTAAATAAAAGAAAGTGACAGGGTGGGGGAGAATGAAGGGAGAAGAGCATATGAATGCAAGAGATACTGGAGGGAAAAATCAACAGGCCTGGCGACTGGGTTTAGGTGCCAGCGAAGAGAGCAGGAATTGCACAATAGGAGCTTTTCAAATGTGGCTGTGTTCCTTGGCCAAAGGATGAGATTCTAATCATCAAACCATAAACACAAGCTGTGAATCAGGGCTGGCTATCACACCACTGATGGGTTTAAAATAACAGTGTCAGGCTCCTTGACAAGGTCAGTCAAGGCCTGACAGCACTGCCCCCATAAATAAACTGGCTCCATTATTATAGGACTGAAGTATACAGTGGAGAGTCAAAGTTTTGGTAACCACAAATAACACACATAAATCTAAGTAGCTAACAATACAGTAACAAATAAATATATTTAAACAAGGAGATATATAGCTATAGATATATATATATCTATATATATATATATATATATCTATATATATATATAGATATATAGATATATATCTATATATATATATATTTTTTTTTTAGACAGAGTCTCATTCTGTTGCCCAGGCTGGAGTACAGTGGCCTGATATCGGCTCACTGCAACCTCTACCTCCTGGGTTCAAGCGATTCCCCCGCCTCAGCCTCCTGAGTACCTGGGATTACAGGCACACGTCACCATGCCCAGTTAATGTTTTTGTATTTTTAGTAGAGAGGCGGTTTCACCATGTTGGCCAGGCTGGTCTCCAACTCCTGACCTCAAGTAATCCACCTGCCTTCGCCTCCCAAAGTACTAGGATTATAGGCGTGAGCCACCACGCTTGGCCAAGCTTATAAATTTCAAATGCATAAATATTTAAGCAAATAATAACTTCAGACCTCATGGAAGAGACCTTTTAATTATTAATAAATATCACTCTCTGGGCTCACAGATGAGAAAACCAGGGCCTAGACTAGTTAATCACTCACGTCATGTCACCCAGTTGGTTAATAAGAGAAAGTTGGAACAGAGAACCAGAACTCCCGATTAGGGCCCCATGTGGTTCCCTCATA
Organism: Homo sapiens; assembly: GCF_000001405.40. NCBI lineage: Eukaryota > Metazoa > Chordata > Mammalia > Primates > Hominidae > Homo > Homo sapiens. The sequence goes on from NC_000005.10 coordinate 112,340,062, forward strand.
TCCAATGCTCACAGCAGCATGAGAAAAGTCACGGAGGAGAGCCCATCGACCCCGCCCTTTCAACAAAGTGTTAAGGTCAGAGTCAAGTCTGCAAAAGATTGAGGGAGTGACGGAAGGAAAGGAAGATCTACCCAATTAGGAACCCCAGTGAAGATTTCTGGCTCTTATCCAACTTGACCTCTCTGTAGCACAGTGGTTCTTAAAACTTTAGGATGCATCAGAGTCAACCGATGGCCTTGTTGAAACAGACTGCTAGGCTCCACCCCCGGAGCTCCTAATTCAGCTGATCTGGAGTGGGGCCCCAAAATGCACGTTTAACAAGATCCCAGAGGATGCTGATGCTGCAGGTCCAGAGAACACATTTTGGGAACCACTGCTGTAGCATTTAACCATGACCCCTGCTTTGGCTTTTATCACACTTCTTATCTGCCTCTCTGGCCAACAGTTTGAGAAGGGTGGGAAGTCTTACTTAGATTACTTCCTTCAATAAGGAAATATTTTCTAGTTCTCATATAAAGACTAAATAGCAATAAAAACAGATCCCTGCTCTGTAGAACATCAATTTTTAAATGGATGTATAATAGCATATTAAGGTATTATTTTTACCTTTTATATTCGCTAGTTCTGATGTAACTACATGTACGTTTCTGCCAATTTTCTTTCGGTGATATGAATTTTGTTTATAAATGATCCATTTAAAAAGGACGTATATTGTTGCTCCTATGTCTACTCCCTGGATAGAGATTCAATTTCGACAGCAAGCCCAAAACATTCACTCAGCCCTATTGTAAACATAAATATATTTCATACATAAGTATCCATTTACATATACCCTTCGACCTTTCCACCTACTGTTCACAATGCAGGGATTTTTCTTTCCCTCTATCAAACAGCCACATGGCTTAGTCCCTTACTTCATTCAGATTTCTGCTCAAATGTTACCTTCTCTGGAAGGTCCTCTGCAAGCACCACTCCATAATAGCAATCCTCCCCACACGCCATCTCTCCTATCCCCATCACCTACTTTGTTTTTCTTTACGTTTATTGTATATTAATGTTTTCACTGTTTAATTGGTCTCCTTCCCATGAGAATGAAAGCTTCATGGGAACAGGGACTTTTCAGTTCATTGCTCTGTCCCCTGAGCCTGGTATGCAGGACACTCAAATTTTAATTAAATTGTTGAATGAATGCTTATCAACTTCCAAAAATCCCACATATAACTGTGTTTGATTATAATGCCTTAACCTTCCTAAAACTGATACAAATGTTTCTTACTCCTCTCATAACCAGTTCTTCAATGAATAATTTTCCAAAAACATACTGTGTGTGTATGTATTGTATTCGGTACCGTTGGTCCAAAAATTATTTTAATAGCAGGGATCATCAAATGTAGCTTTAAAGTATCTGATGCTTTAACTGTCAACTGAAATATCACAGCAATAGGATCCTCTGAAACCAATTTCATAACCTCACAAATCAGCAAGGCAGATGAACCATTAAAAACATCTTTGTTGATGGTTCACATCCAACAATCCCAAAAGAAAGTAATTTTAAAAATTAAAAGCTTGGCCAGGTGCAGTTGCTCACGCCCATAATTCTGGCACTTTGGGAGGCTGAGGCAGGTGGATCACTTGAGTCTAGAAGTTCAAGACCAGCCTGTGCAACATGGCAAAACCCTGTCACTATTTAAAACACACACACACACACACACACATACACACACACCCCAAAAGTTGTATTGTTCATCCATAACTACGTCTTGAATAACACTCTAAACATAGAGCCCTGTATCAAAAAGAAAAATGGAAAAAATATTTTTGGACAGTAATCCCAAATCCTATATATAATCTTAGCTTATGAGAAGACAGTATAACAGTATTAAAGGTACAAATTAAATGTGGGGAAATTTCTTCAAATAACTATATTTAAAGTCAAATAAAACCATTTCCTCCTATAGAATGGATCAAGAGAATTCACGAAACATTATGCAACTAGAAACTGTAAAACTCTGTCACAGAAATATATTCTTGGGAGACACAAACTAAAACATATTAAAATCTTCCCTTTTATAAAAAAGAAGTTAACAAATAACCATTTTTATAAAAGACAAGATACTGGGTAATGAAGAGAAATACTATACACAACATGTATGATCAGACAACCATGATGACTGGACGTGATAACATGCTATCCCAAGTGGCTCACCAATTTCCATTCCTGTCCTGTCTTTGCTCCTTTTCCCACTGAATTACAGAAACATGAAATTTATCTTATCACTGGTCTTTCCTGATAACTTTTCTAAAGCATTCACAGAATGCTTTATTCATAGAAATTGTGCTCAGCACAATCCAGTGTGGTGGGCTGGAGGTAACAGGCAGTCCTGACAAGTAGGTGTGCTGGTGGCAGATTTTACAGAGTTGCAAAAGCACCAGGCACATTTTCAAGGCCCTTTTATCAGCCAGGCCAATTTCCCCACGTGATGCATTAGTTACCAGTTTAATCCAATACATGTGAAATGCATTAGAGCTGAGGGTCTATTGTTCCTAGTCGAGCAAGAGCAGTCAGCAGTCAGCAGCCAGCAGCAGGAGCAACTGCCTCCATGGCCACCTGGGTTGAAGAAGTAAGCAGATCAGACCCAAAGGGGTGGACTTCATAAGAGAGCACCACTGAGACTCTCGTAGGTCACTTTTATGCTGCCAGTTGGCAGACTGGCATACAAAGTAAGAAAATTCCATCGTGCACAGATACACACGTTTTGTAGTAAATTGCTACACTTCTGAGGCATTCACTCCCAAGCACACATTTCAGCAGTCAATCTTGTCACCATAAACAAATCCCTTATAACCTAGAAACTATGCAAAGTACTTTGGATAGAACGGTTTCTAAACAGGTTTCTTAGAGGATTTCTATAATGTACAACTGACTTTAAATGAAAAGTGTCATATTCAGAATGTGGCCGATAGAAATAGATCCCATTTGGAAGCAACTAGCATACAAAGCACAAATAAGAATTTGGGAATAACAGACAGTTGGCTTTACAGAGAGGTATACACTTTCCATAACAGTTTTTTACATTAAGGGTTCTCAAGTGCTTTGAAGCATTAATTGATTCCATTCTCCCAACAGCCCCCGAAAAACACTTGGTCAAATTTAGGTTCATAATTTCAAACACATCCTAAGAGGCAGCTAAAAATGAGTTTCTCAGTCCTTCTGCTTAAGAAGAAATATATAGTATGGAGACAAGGTACTACAGTGATTAAGAATTCAGATTCTGGATCCAGACTGCCTGGGTTTGAATTTCAACTTTGGTACTTACCAGCTGTGTTATATTGGGGAAGTCATTTGTCCCATCTGTAAGACGGGAATATTAACAGCATGTACATCACAGGGCCACTGTGAGAACTGACATAATGTATGTAAAGTACTTAGCGAGTTCCCAGCACACAGCAAGTACTCAAGTTTAGCTATGCTGTTGTTGGTGTTGCCATCACCACGACCACGTTCACCACCACTGTCTTCACCATCATCATTACCACCACCACCAAGACCACCATCATTTCAGAACAGAGCTTAGGTTCTGAAGCCAGACTTGGCTTTTAACTCAGTTTACAAAACCAAACCTTCACAAAATAATCTATCAAATGAGTAGGAGTATCTAGCAAGAATAAAAATCCAATTTTTTTCAACAAATAAATAGCAAGAGAGAGAGAAAACCACTGTTTCTGAAAACAGACTCAACCAATTACAATGCACAGCCCTCTTTTATATTCTGATTCAAACTATTAAAAATACATAACCATTTATCACACTTATGAAACAACATGGAATGTTAAAATTGACTGGATAAGCCAGGTATGGCGGAATGCACCTGAAGTCTCATATACTTGGGAGGCCAAAACAAGAAGATTGCTTGAGCCCAGGATTTCAAGTCTGTAGTATGCTACGATTGTGCCTGTGAATAGTCACTGTACTCTAGCCTGAGCAACATAGTGAGAACCAATCTCCTTTAAAAAATTGATTTGATATTTGATAATATTATAGGAATTATTAAACGTTCCACTAGATAATAGGATTATGGTTTTTTAAAAAATAAAAAAAAGGCTAATCTAAGTTCAATATCATAATCACTACCCACATGAGGCTATCTAAACTTTAATTAAACAAGAGTAAAAATTTAGGTCCACAGTCTCACTAGTCATATTTCAAGTACTCAACATCTACATGTGGCTCAAGTCCTGTCCTTACAGAAAATTCTGTAGGACATCCCTGGGCTAGAAATACACACTTACTAGAACATTAATTTACAATGACCAGGATTTGCTTCAAAATAAAATAGGAATGAGAGAAGCAGATGGAGATGTGGATGAGGCAAGACTGGTTTATAGTGTTTGTTGTACATGGGGGTTCACTGACCAACTCTGATAACAGTTTTAAGTGAACTTGGTTAGGCTATGCTCCTCAGTTATTCAATCAAACACTAAGTGTTTCTGTGAAGATACTATGTAGGTGTGATTGAAGTCTATAAGCTGTTTACGAGATTATCCTAGACAATTTGGGTGGGTCAGATTCAATCCATTACAAGGCCTGAAGGGCAGAATTGAGGCTTCTGGGAGAAGAAATTCTGCCTGTGTCCGCAGCTCAACTCCTGTCCAGGAGTCCCAGGCTGCCCTCCCGAGGTGCTGCCCTATGGAAGTCAGACTCACTGGCAAGCCCACACAATCACAGAAGCCAAGGACTTACAATGAAACTGAATATATAGCACCTACTGGTTCTCTTTCTCTGGTAGAAGTAGACTGTACAGTACAGAAAGAGACTGGAGTGCTTGACTTTTATTTAAGAATGTCTATTTTACAAAGCCACTGTGACAAACAACTATAAATATCTTAACATAGTGCCTGCCACATAAGAAGTCTCAATAAATGGTAACTATATTATTTCCTCATTTATACCAATATAATCTTATTTTGCCAAAATTTACAATTCCTGAGACACAAGGCACTCACATATTATAATGACTTGGTATTACTCTTTTCATTTCAATCTTGCCTATCTGGCACAGCCTGACCACAGGCTCCCTTTGGGGCATGGCTGAAATGGCCCACAGCATGTCCAGAGTTGGCCCCCAAGCATAGATTCTCGAATTAAAACTGAGTTGAATCAAATTAAATTGACACATACACAAAAAATCCACAACTGAGAAAAAAGTTTTATGCAATTACATTTGTAAGTCTTCAACCTAAATATGAAATAATAGGGAACTGACTATATAAAATTGTAGTAAATATGGATAATAGATATACAGTGGCTGTTACATACCATGTTTGAACACATATTTAATGACACTTAGATATGCTGAAGATATGTTAATTTTTTAAAGTAGGCTGCAGTATTCTGTAAGATCTCTTTAAAAAAAAAGATACATTAGACTAGAAGGAAATATACAAAAATGTTAACCATGGTTGTCCCTGGGTACTGAGATTGTAGAATAATTTTTTATTACTGGATTGCAATATATTATTTATACAATGAAATGTACAAATCTTAAGAATACAGTTTGGTGAGTTTCAATTCACCATCACCACAGAATGTTACCTAATGCCCTTTTACAGGGAGGGCATGTGTGTGTACGTGTGTGTGTTTATGTGTGCACACGCATGCAGTGTTGTAGGATGTGCACAATGCTACAGGATGCATATATATATATACATATATATATATACACACACACACACACACACACACACACACACACACACACACGCACACATAAAGCCCCAGCAACCTGGGATGATTTTTATTTTCTTGTTATACTACTACATTTTCCAAATTTTCCAATATAAACACCTATGTATTTTATAATTTAGGTAGTTTTGATATTTTTTAATTTTTAAAATAGTGAGTTGAAATGGGATATAGTTAATTGATTTCACTGACAAGGACAAGGCAGATCAATGCATTAATGTAATAGTCTTAGATTACTAGAAAGACTAAGAACAAGACTGTTAGCCACACACTCCACAATTATTTTTGCTGTTTCCAAGACTGCCATCGTTTTGGGATGCCACATCATTTATTCACAAAGATATAACCATATGTTGTAATTCCATGAAACACACCTGGTAGAAAAAAATTCTTTAAAGTTAGGTACATTGCATTTTTTTTTTTTTTTTTTTTTTTTTTTGAGAAGGAGTCTCGCTCTGTCGTCTAGGCTGGAGTGCAGTGGTGTGATCTCGGCTCACTGCAACCTCCGCCTCCCGGGTTCAAGCGATTCTCCTGCCTCAGCCTCCTGTAGCTGCGATTACAGGCATGCACCACCACACCTGGCTAATTTTTGTATTTTTAGTAGAGATGGGGTTTCACCATGTTGGTCAGGATGGTCTCAAACTCCTGACTTTGTGATCCACCCACCTTAGCCTTCCAAAGTGCTGGGATTACAGGCATGAGCCACTGCGCCCAGCCTGTATGCTCTTACCTAACAAAAGAAACCAAAAGTGAAAGAACTAATAAAATGCCTAGAGGTTACAAAAAACTGACAGAAGTCAAACTTTGAGTATAGATCATTCTGGTTCTCACCAAAAACGTTAGCCCCAGTAGTTCATAAACAGAAACATGGCAACCATAGACCACACTGCAGAAATGTACAAGACTATCAACCCTTTGTAATGTTGTTTTATAGTCATAACCTAAAATAACTAAAACTAGGCTTCAGTAAAACAGAATTTGCATTTCATTATTTCCTTATTTCAGCAGTCAATACAAGTTTTAGCCACAGAAATCCCCTCAAGCTTTTTGGGCAATGGCTTTGAAAGAGGTGCTGCATGTCTACATGGTTTCTTAAGTCCCCAGTGCTCATTACAGCTTTCTGAACACCCAGGAGAAGGATCTGGGAGTAGGCGCCCAATATTTAGCATTTTGACAGTTAGAGTCCAAACAGCCAGCTGTATATCTGACCCTAAAAGCCAATAAACCAACTGTGTCCTGAACCACAACAGTGCTCAGTGTGCTAAGATCTACACAAAATTCTGTGAGGAAACAGCAAATGTCAAAGCATCTGAAAGCTATAAGCAGTATCAGCTAACCACAAAAGTGGGCTACAATAACCAATGGATGGATGCACGCACACACACATGCACACACATGCATTTTCAGAATGTGATCCATTAGGGGATCCATGAGGTCAAAACTATGCTTGTAATAATACCAAGAAGTTATGTGCCTGTTTCACTGTGTTGACATTTGCACTGATGGTGGAAAGCAATGGTAGTTAAAAAGATAAGGAAAATGCAGTAGAATTAGGTTGAATTTTAAATAACTGAGGAACATGCTGGCAATTCCCCAGTGTTGATCATTCATATCTGCTCACTAAAATGCAGAACTTAGGCTAGTGCTCACATTTTAATTACAGGTTTTTTCACTCCCCCACAATTCCATATACTATGGGCATGACTTTCCAAGCATCTCAGAGCCACAACATGGACTCACCTAAGAACACACGGTTGCTGAGTTTGTATGAAAACTTGCTTTTAGATGTTCATGCAGCTTTTAATTATTCACCCGGTAACAGAATTCTCTTCTTCCTCCCTTTCACTGTCTGAGCTTTGGGCTTCCCTTTAGAACATAATTGAATATTTGTGGAATACAGCAGTGAGAAAGAATGTGAACTAGTGGAAAATTAGAGAAAAGTTTAAGTCAAGCACCTGAGCAGCCACAGTAAAGGGGCATCCCCTGTGTCTTCCAGCACTCTAAAGACAAAGCTTCAGCATTACCACTCTCCGGTCCAGCTACCCAGCCACAGGGGCCCTGTCTCGACCCCTCCAATACACCCAACCTATTGCTCACTGCCAGATCCATCCTCCCAGGACCCAATCCTCACATCCTTCCTCTACGGGAAACCTTCAAAGGCTCCCTACTGCTTACCATATCTGCACTGTTTAGGTTAGCATTTGAGCTTCTCTACTATGTGGCTCAATTCCTCAGTCTATGTTTATCTCCAACCTGCCTCCACTCCAGTCAAACTCAAATGCTCAAGATAAGCCAACATGTGCCCTACCTATTACACTTTTCTCTATGTCACTCCCTCCACCTGAATTGCCTATCCTCACTCTATAGTCTCTGCCAGTTGAAGTCCGTACCCAGCTTTCAAAGTCCTCCTCAAGTCTTCTCCTTCATGAAACCATCTGCGACACCTCCACCTTTGTCCATTTACCACATCATGCCTGTATTAAAGTTATGCAGTATATATGATTTTTCCTAGTAGCCTATAAACCTCTCAAAAGCCATGGCTTTTTATTTCTTTGTATCTCCAAGAACACAGTCCTCAAATTTCTAAATAATCATTTTCAGATATGATAAATAATAACGTAGCCAAAACCTACTTTATGGGAAGCCATTTTGTTAGAAAGTTCGATTTTAAAACACAGTAATTCTGAATGTTTCTAGTTGCAGACAAAACCTAAAGCATCTGGGAAGTCCCCTGAATCACACTGCAGGGGAAGGGGAAACTCACATAGGGAAGCAGGTGGGGGAGGGGTGAGCTCACGGCAAATCTGCAAAGTAAGGCACTTCAGGGTGAGGAATGTGATCAGACACTAATGAAGTATTCAGGTGTTTTATGGAGAGAGAAAACGAACCTCAACAGTAAACTCCCAAATATCTGTTAGGGATTCCATATGTCCACTCAGAACCACATATGTGCAAATCAAAACTGTGTTTCAAGGAATTCCCAAACAAGCTATTTATTTATTCCTTGTACAAAATCTCACTAGAGCCCATCCCATTCAATACTGTTACTACGCACAATGTTGACACCAAATACTAGGCTTGATGCTGAGGAGTTTCAAATGAAGAAGACATGACTAAGACAGGGTTCAAATCATCAAGGGCTCTGGGGAGACAATGTACAGAGAATTCTGGGAAATAACTGGAAGTAAAAAGGAGAATGCAGAGCACAGACTGTCATGGACCCAACAGAGAGGAAACTCCCAGGAAAGTAGGAGTAGCCACAACTTCAAATGACACCGCAGAGGACAAATCTGGCATCGGAAGGTTGGTGATGACACAGAGGGGACAGTTTCAGTAGACTGGCAGGTGTGAGTGCCAGACAGAAAACAGTTTAAAAATGTTGAAGTCTGTCAAAATGGGAAAAGGGGGAATAAGGACATCATTTTACAGGTATGCAGAGGTCAAGAAAGTATACTTTTTTTTTTAGGATAGGAGACTTGAGCAAAGTCCCCTGGTACAGGAAGACAGGGCTCAGATAACCAACTGGAGAAGTGAACCTTGGAAAGAGGCAGGGCCTCTGCACTGAGACAAGGGCAAGAATAGAGGTGAAGGGAAGGAGGTGCAAAGAGTTTGTGCAGCATTGCCTGTAGATCATTTGCTGAGACCGAGGAGGAGTGGGAAGACCAGGATACCAGGGAGCTTAAAAGCCTATAACAGCTGCTATAGGGACAAACAGAGAGCTGCCTAAGAATGAGTGAGAGTACTGCCATGCAGATTTGAGTTTCGGAATGAGACTGAAAAATTATGCTGACACTGTTAGATGATTTTCTTTAGCAGTAATGAGATCAAAGAAGCAGAGAATGTAAATGGATTCACATTCAGCACAAGAGACGCCCACCATGGGTGTGGTGAGAAAAAGAAAGACACTGAAGGAGATGTCCAGAACAACATGGGGTCCAAAATGGCATGGAAAAGATAAATGAAACCTAGAGGAAGCTGATAGTGGGAAAACAGGCAGAGAGGGTGACATTTACGGACAGGACAGAAAGTTCTGGTCAAAGAGGAATGATGAGTTAAAAAATCTTGCAAAGCAAAACAAGTTCCAGGTGATGACATGGCCCAAAGTTAGGCCATGTGAACAAACTGCTATAAAAAGTAGTGGCAAAGATCATAGGGGCGAAGACGACGACAGTGTGAAGGATGGGAGACAGCATGGTGTAGAACAGCATTGCCCAACCGAACTGTTGCCATGACAGAAATATTCTGTAATATGCAGTCCAATAGAGCAGCCGCTAGCCACACATGTCTACAGAGTACTTGAAAAGTGTCAGGTATGACTGAGGGACTCAATCTTTATATATTTTGTTTAATTTTAATTCATTTGTTTAAATACGCATATGTGGCTAGAAGCTACCATGCTAAATAGTACAGATGTAGAACAATGGTTCTCAACTTTAACTGCACAATGGAATTACCTCAGAAGGCTTAAAAAATACAGCTAAGGTCTCACTCCCCAGAAATCCTGACTTTAATTAGTTGGGCATGTCCTAGGCACAAGCATCTTTTTTTGATACATAATAGCTGTACACATGTATGGGGGACATGTGCTATTTTGCAACATGCATAAAATGTGTAATGATCAAGTCAAGGTATTTAGGATATTCATCACCTCGAGGATTTATCATTTCTGTTCTGAATATTACAACTCATCTCTTCTAGCTATTTTGAAATATACAGCACAATTGTTAACTAAAGTCACCCTACTATGCTATTGAACATTAGAAGTTACTCCTTCCATCCAACTGCATGTTTGTACCCATTAACCTATCTCTCTTCATTCCCTGCAAGCTCCAAATACACCATACTGGGCCTCCAGTATCTAACATTCTACTCTCTACTTTCATGAGACCAACTTTTTTAGCTCCCACATGAGTCAGAACATGTGGTATCTTTCTGTGCCTGACTTACTTCACTCAGTGACCTCCAGCTCCATCCATGATGCTGCAATTGACAGGATTTCATTCTTTTTTATAGCTGAATAGTATTCTATTGTTTATACATACCACATTTTCTCTATCCATTCATCCATTAGTGGACACTTAGGATGATTCTCTATCTTTGCTATTGTGACTAATTCAGCGCTGCAATAAACAGAGAGATACACATATCCTTCTGGTATACTGATCGCCTTTCTTTTGGATAAATATCCAGTAGTGGGACTGCTAGATCATATGGTAGTTCTATTTTTAGTCACTTGAGAAATCTCCAAGGAAGAGAAAAATCTCCAAGGAACTAGAAAAACAAGAACAAACGAAACCCAAAATGAGTCAAAGGAAAGATATAATAAAGATCAGAGCAGAAATAAATGAAATTGAGACTAGAAAATACAAGGAGCAATAAAATGAGAAGTTGGTTTTTTAAAAAGGTAAACAAAATCAATAAACTGCTAGCTAAGCCAACCAAGAAATAATATGCAAATAAAATCAGAAACAGAAAAGGAGACATTACAACTGATAGCACAGAAATACAAAGATCATCAGAGACTATTATGAACAATAATAAGCTAACAAACTGGAAAACCTAGAGGAACTGGATAAATTCCTGGACACGTACAACCCCCCAAGACTGACGTACGAAGAAATAAGAACTTGAACAGACTAATAACAAGTAATGAGATTAGATCAGAAATAAAAAATCTTCCAACAAAGAAAAGCCCAGGCCTGGATGGTTTTACTGCCAAATTCTAATAAGCTTATGAAGAACAACTAACACCAATTCTAAAACTATTTCAAAAACCTGAAGAGGAGGGAATTCTTCCTAACTCAGTCTATGAAGCCAGCATTACGCTGATGCCAAAACCAGACAAGGACCCAGCAACAAAAAGAGAGAGACAGAGAGAGACAGAGAGAGAGAAAAACTGTAGGCCTATATCCCTGATGAACATAGGTGTGAAAATCCCGAACAAAAGACTAAAAATCCAAATCCAGCAACATATCAAAAAAATAACATGTCATGATCAACTGGGGGGATTTCTCCTAGGCATGCAAGGATGAGTCAATAAACGCAAATCAATAAATGTGATACGTTCCATCAACAGAATGAAAGAAAAGAACCATAAGATCATCTTGGTAGATGCAGAGAAAGCATTTGATAAAATGTAACATTCTTTTATGATAAAAACTCTCAACAAACTAGGCATAGAAGAAAGACACCTCAACATAATAACGGCCATGTATGACAGACCCACAGCTAACATCATACTGAATGGGGAAAAGCTGAAAGCTATCTTTTTAAAAAAAACACTTTCTCATTTCATTGGTCCTTGTATTTTCTAGTCTCAATTTCATTTACTTCTGCTCTGATCTTTCTTTCCTTCGACTCATTTTGGGTTCGGTTTGTTCTTGCTTTTCTAGTTCCTTGAAATACATCATTAGGTTATATGAAATATTTCTACTTTTTTGATGCGGGTGTTTATTGCTATAAGCTTCCCTCTTAGCACTGCTTTTGCTGTACCCATAGGTTTTGGTATGTCAAGTTTGAAGAACTTTTTAAATTTCCTTCTTAATTTCCCCACTGACCCAATGGTCACTCAGGAGCATGTTCTTCAATTTCCATGTATTTGTAGCATTTCCAAAGCTCCTCATGTTATTGATTTCTGGCTTTATTCCATTGTGGTCTAAGAAGATATATGATATAATTGCATTTTTTAAAAAATTTGTTGGGACTTCTTTTGTTCAGGATAGACTATATGTGAAGCCACAAAAGAATCAGTCTATATCTTAAGTGGAATATTCAATCTGTTTATATTCAAGGTTATTATTAATGTGTGAGAATTTATTCCTGTTGTTTTGTTGTTTTCCGTTTTGTTTATCTTTCATTCCTTTCTTCCTTTCTTATTATTATCACAGTTTGGTGGTTTTCTGTAGTGGTAGCAGCTGTAGTTGTAGTTGTTAAATCCTTTGTATTGTTGATGTGTGTTATATCTCACCAACCTTCTTCAATATCACTACATTGAATACTCTTTAAAGCATTTCATAGATTTTCATAGGAATCTGTTGTGGAGAATTCTTCTGTTCCTTTGGAGGGGTCCTGTTTCCTTGCTTTTCCATGTTAATTGTATTCTTATGTTGACATCTGCACACCTACAGTAACAGCTTCTTCTTCCAATTCTTTGGATTGGCTTTCATAGGGAAGGCTTTTTTCCTACAGATGTATCTATAGTGTTGGTTAGGTAAGGTATTATACTTTGGCTTTGATTCTGGATACATACAGCAGTGTAGTGCCCATATGTTTACTTCAGCAGTAATCAGCAGCAGTAATGTCTGATTCCTCAGTGGCTTAGGCTGTTATTAGTGAAGACTATGGTAAGGCCTTGCTGGGGACAAGGACACCAGCTAGACCAGTCCTCAGGCCTCAGCAGTGGCAGCAGTGAACCAAGCATGCCTGTTGGCATGCTTGAACCAAGCAGTGAACCAAGCATGTCTTTGGACACCTGGGTGGCATATGCAGGCACTAGTGTTAGTGGGTCCAAGCAAGCTGATTCTTGGGCCTCCAGGCAACTTGCTTGGGTGCCGGCAGTGGCGGGCTGAGCAGGCCCTCAGGGCACTGGGCAGCGTGCATGACATGGACAATGGAAGCAGTGGTGGTAGAACAACACTTGGCTTCCAGACAGCATGTGCTGAGGTTAGTGGTGGTGGTGATGAGCTGAGCAGGCCAGTCCCCAGGCAGCACAGGTAGGTGGGTAGCGTTGGTGGGGGTGGGGATGGTAGGCTCGGTGGGCCCATTTTCAGACCTGTGGGAGGTGTGTACAAATCCCAGCAGTGGTACACATGGCAGGGTTATCCCCAGGTTTCCAAGAGGTATAATTAGGCAACAGAGAGGTCTGTTTCAGGTGGGGCAGGCCTGTCTTCAGGCCCTGATAGTTTGCATGGGTATAGGCTGTGGTGGGTGGAGTGGGGAATCCTTGGGTCCCCAAACAGCACACTTGGGTGCTAGCAGCAGACAGGCTGGATCTTTTGTGAGGCATCCTGATGGTGCACACACATGCCTAGGACAACAGATGGGACAAGGCAATCCCGAGGCCCCTGCATAGTTGTGTTTGGGCACTCGGAGAGGTGGCACCAGGTAATGCAGGCCTGTTCTCAGGAGCCCCCAGTGATGTACACGGCAGCAGGCTGTGGGCATCAGCATTTTTTAAAGTTTCCAGACACAGGCAACTTTGAAAACCATATATGTAGTAAAGAGCATGGACTCTGAAACCAGATGAGTTCAAAACCTAGACTTGATTTTGAGTTGTCTGACTTTGAGCAAATAACCTCATCTGCAAAACAAAGATAGTAAGAGTACTAACCCCACAGGGGCTATTCTGAGCATTGATGTGTATACAAAGGTGCTTTATAATAGTGCCTGGCACATAAGAACTCATTATACGTTCCTCATCATTATTCCAAATGGATGTTGGAGAGTTGCTAAGGCTTATGACAGCTACAGGGGAAAACAATGGGTATGACTCGCCAAAGGCCTAAATCTATGTTGAGGTGGGAGCTAGAAGTCAAAAATTAACAAAGTTGAGTGTATGGACAAAGTAAAATAATGCAATAAGTAATAAAGGGAAAATAAACAACCTGGAACAGATAGTGATAAGACAAGAAAATATAGACTCAGCTCTCCGGCAACACTGCAGATAGGCATAGAAAAATGAGGGAAGCTCTGTGGTAAGGAGAAAGTCAAAATTTAGTTAGATAAGGAAGGGTGTGGAGGAATCATTACTTCAGTTTTATACAACCCCCACCTTACCTCGCTTCCAAAATTTAACATAAGTTATCAGTCGAGTAATGTTTTTCTGTGTTTCCCCATGCCATCTAGCTCCCCATTTACAAACACCATCCAGAAAAGATTTTTCATGAATGAAAATAGCATTTTTGAATCTGGATTCCACAGTAATAGTCATTTCTCCACAGATTAACAGTATATACTTTATGATTCACAATTGATCTAGTTCAAACCTGGCTTAATTGATGTTGTAGTCTTTGCAAACCATATGCCAAGACTCTACTAGAAAACCTATTTAATTTGCATTTTAACTACATCTTTTATTAGTCTCAGAGAGCATTAATAGCATTAATAATGACAGTATGCTACATTTATGTGTAACTCTGGAAAGAAGTATTTTATCTGATTTTTTTTAAAGTTGCCAAAATAAACAAAAGGAGGAAGGGGGAAAAAAATTGAAATAGGACCAGAAAAAGGCAGGAGGAATGAAAATCTGACCAACAAATGCCTTAGGTTGCAGTTTTGTTGTTTCTCTAAAATTTCACATAAAGACATGAACACAGATTTATACTCAAATTTCATTTGTCACTACCAAATATAATCTATTTCATTAACTTGCAAAATAAAATACATGATAAAGTATTCTCACTTACTTGGAACTTGTAAACCACTAGAAACCGAAAGCTATTTCAAAGATAGTTTCTATGCAACTAAAATGGTTGAAATTAAGCAATGCAGTGCATGCAGATCAAGGGTTTCAGATGAATCCACTATCTTCAGATTTTTACCAAAATAATTTTTTAAATTAAGTATGAAATTTCTTCACAGACTAAAGATCCTTCTCATGAGAAAAAGAAACACCTATAACCTCCTTTCCACAAACATGTTTCACACTTCAAAATGAGGTTTCACAGGCTTCTGGAGCGCTAAATGTGTTTATCTATCAGCACAAGTTGAGTTTCACAGTTGGAACACAATTTCCAATATGATGAGTTCATTTCTGGTTCCTCATTAGAAGTGAGGTTTGAGACCACTAAGAATGTGGAAAACAATACTCTTCCGAACCCTCTCCCGATACAACCACAAACTCTGCAGGAACTATGTTTTGCCGAAGAACACCACCCATGGAGAATTCCACTCCTTCACCTCTTCTCCCTCAGTGATCCCCCAGGGATGCTCTTCTTAGAGATATACTGAGAGATCTTAGAACTGGAAACAAAGCCATAACAAATACACATTCTATTTGCTTTTACTGCCTCAGAGAATCCTTACTTTTCTACTTTTAAAAAGGTTGAGTTTCACTAGATCCTAGGGATCTAAAATGCCTCTATCAGTCAAAGTAAAGTTTACTGTGTTCAAGTGATTCATGAAGCTTTGGCCTCTCGCATCTCATGGATCCAGTAAGTCCACGAACCCCTCTTATGGTTATTTTGCAGTTTTTGAATGTATTATTGCAGTAAATACACTCCACTTGGGTAGCTGGATTATGTTACTTGACTGATTACTTGAGAGATAACTTATGTTAAATTTTGGAAGGGGGGTAAGGTGGGGATTGTATAAAACTTAATACTCCACTTGACAGTAAACGTACTCCACATTGTGGGTAGAAGTCCCACAATGGCTCCCTGACGATGGAATATGGGCTATTACAACAGATAGGAATGACCAACTGGAAGACTGAACTTCCCCTCCCTACCACAACAGAAAACCAAAATAAATACTGCATCCATGGGAGAACTGTAGAGGTTAATACTATCATCAAAAACTTGATACTTAAGGGTGGTAACTCCTATTACATCACTGTCTAACTTACCACTTTGGTCTATGCAGAAAGCAGACAGATTGGAAAGTGACTGGATTAACACAAACCCATTCAGACAGTGACTCTGATGTGGCTGATTTACCAAATGAAGTACCTTTTCTAGAGCGAATCTAGCCTCTAGCACCTGATATGAAGATACTATGCTAGAAAGTGCTTTAATAATATGCAAGAAACATAAGAAAACATCTGCTTTTATTTCAAAAGATCAAAAATACACTTCTGCATTATTGCCCAGAGCTGTAACAACTCTCCCCTCTGCCATAATCTAGTCTCCAGAGACCTTAATCACCTTAACATCCTACAGACTCTCATGTGGGTCTATTGCATTGAGTACACTGTGCTGACTGCAACTGATGAAATGGAAGTAACAAATCTGACAGCGATCTCAGTAACACACATGCAAGCTTGATGGTGAAAAAGAAAAATCAAAGGCTGCAACCTCAGCATTTCTGGGGATGCAGTGGTCTGGAACATGTTGAAATATCACCTCCAAAGTGACATACAAGTTGCTGCATCTTGAACTGCTTACTACTAAAATAAAATAGACACAATATTTCACAGGCTGCTTTACATTTTAAAGACAATATATACCAGTCTAAGATATCCTGCTCTGACTCCTTGACTAGGTAACCTATAAGATGGCCGGTGCTGAGTAGGGCCCAGAGCGAGAGATGGTTCTGCAACAAAGATAGACTGCAGCACAAACTACTACCCCACTCGGTCTTGTGATGCAGCAGATCCAATCAGTTGAATCCAACAAGATCCAGAGAATCACAGCACAAACCTCTGAGGTTCTGAAATAAAAGCCATACCCCTTTTCTGGAAATAATAATTGTCATTTTGAGAAATGGCTCCTAGCTTGCAACCAGGCTCTGGCAAAGCCTGATTAAACGATTTCAAATGAACATGCGACCTGAGCTGCCCATAATAATCTGAATGTTGCCTGACCCACCAAGCTATAAGGTTGGGCCTTTACAGAAATGTTCTATCAAAAGGCAATGGTATAAAGAGATTGGGCTCAAGCCAATATACAAGGCACAAGAAATTGCAAGAGCAGATGTCTCAGGTATCTCTAACACCTACTCCTAGCATACAACCACACCTGTGGCTTCACAAAGATTTCCTTAAGACCAGGTGCCTGGAAAGGAAACTTGGGCCCGGTTTAGAGAAGGTTTGTATAATGTCTGGTACCAAGCAAAAGTGGACTTCTACAGCATGACATCTCCAATAATGAGCATCCCTCAAATGTGAAATCATCCCAACAGAACTGTAACTAGTACATTTGCTTGTCCTCTTTACCTACACTGAGAAATGGCCAGAATTATGGCTTTACACTGAATCATGGGGTAAAGGTTAACACTCAATGTGGATGGATGGTTAAGGACTTGGAAGAAAATAGTATAGGAACAGAGCATACAAGAACATCTAGGGAAGAGCTATGTGGATGGACCACTGAGAATGAGCAGTATGTAAAAATTATTTTTGTCCCTTGTAAATGTACACCAAAGGCATCCACTACAGATGGGCTTGTCAATAACCAGGTGAACAAAATTACAAGGCTGTGGAGAAGTTATCCTTTTTCATCAGTCACACCGGTCTTCCTCAATAGTCCAAGAACAAGTGACCATGGTGGAAAGAGTGGAGGCTACATACGGACTCAGCAAAGGACTTCTTCTCATGAACGCTGACCTGGCCTTTGCCAACAATGAGTGCCTGATCTCCCAACAGCAGAAGCCAATCCTCAGTCCAAGATGGCAACATTCCCCTGGAAGATCAGACAGCCACTTGGCAGCAGATTGATTATATTGGATCCTTTCCATCAAGGGAGAGGTAATGATTTGTCCTTACTGTATATGTCCAGCTGTGAACTTACACACATATATTACACATACACACATGAATTTATTTTTTACTCTCTTACTCCATGTTTTTCAGGGATTGGTTATGGTGGTTAACTTTATAATTTAGTTTCTATGTTACAGATTAGTCCTATAGAACTCTGGATAAACTGGAAAAGATAATTTCACAAAGACTGTAACTGTCAACCAGAAAAGAATTTCTTAATCTAAGATCCTGATACGTACCCATGGTTGATTATTAGGAAATCTAGAATCCCCTTGCAATCACAGAAAAAGGATCACCCATCAGGACAGCAAAAGTTTAACAGCTGGATGATACTGAGTAATGGCAAGGATGCAGAGCAACTAGAATTCTCACAGATTGTTAGCTGGAGTAGAAACTGGTATATCCACTTTAAAAAATAGCTGTCAGTACCTTCTAAAGCTAAACATACACCTACCCTATGATATAGCAATTCCACTTCTAGGTATACACACAAAAGAAATGAGTGCATATATCCAGCAAAAGATATATACAAGAATGTTCAGGGCAGCTTTATTTGTGATAGCTAAATACTGTCCACTGACAGTAGAATGGATAAATTATAGTATATTCACAAAATGAATTACCAAACAAAAGTTAAAGAAAAAAAGAACTTCTGCCACAGACAATAACATAAAAGAATCACAAACTTCAATGCTAGGTGAAAGAAAACAGACACAAAAATATATATATTGTATTATTCCTTTTATACAATGTCAAAATAGGCAAAATTAGCCTAAAGGGCTAAAATTCAGAAGAGTAATTTACCTCTGGGTAGGTACTGTTTGAAAAGGGACCCAAGGGAACTTCCTGGAGTACTGAAAATATCCTACCTCTTGATCTGGATGGTGTTTACACAACTATATCTATATGTAAAAACTCATTCAGCTATGTATTTAAGATTTGTATACTTTATATTCTACTTCAATAAAACTGTTCCTGAAAGATATTATGTATATGTACACATGTCTTAGAAGAGAATCCAGGGGTGTGTTTTCTTTCCCAATTTCTCTAATAGGTCTGTGATCCAACAAAGGTAAAGAACACAAATAAGAAATTCACTAAATTTTCAGTTGAGTGCTTGCTTTCCAACTGAGAGAAACTGCCTAGCCAGAGGCACCCAATTATCCAATATATAGCTGATTTCAAAAGCTTTTTCTTCCTAATGCTCCCCCTAAGGTTAATATGGTTGGAATAACAACTGTTGATTGAGTTTAGAATATGAAAAAACTCACTTCCTGCTTCAGATTCAAGGATACATAGAAGAAATATCCTTGAAAGTCTTCTTTTTTTTTTTTTTGAGACGGAGTCTTGCTCTGTCGCCCAGGCTAGAGTGCAGTGGCGCGATCTCAGCTCACTGCCAGCTCCGCCTCCCGGGTTCACACCATTCTCCTGCCTCAGCCTCCCGAGTAGCTGGGACTACAGGCGCCTGCCACCACGCCCAGCTAATTTTTTGTATTTTTAGTAGAGACGGGGTTTCACCGTGTTAGCCAGGATGGTCTCCATCTCCTGACCTCGTGATCCACCCGCCTTGGCCTCCCAAAGTGCTGGGATTACAGGCGTGAGCCACTGTGCCCAGCCAAAAGTCTTGATGAGTTTATTTTAAAGGTAAGTTATCTATTACTTTATTCTGAATAATTATGATACAGCATTTTCACTTTCCATCTCAACATACATGTTGCAAAACAAAATTTTCATCAGAACTCTATAATTACTGACGTGTATGTGCTTTTTTCATTTTAAAAAATATTTTATCCAGGCTAACAGATTCAACGGAAATCCAATAATTTGTAAAAGTAACTATCAGGCCAAGCATGGTGGCTCATGCCTGTAACCCCAGCTACAGATTCAATAGGAATCCAACAATTTGTAAAAGTAATTATCAGGCCAGGCACCATAGCTCACGCCTGTCCCAGCACTTTGGGAGGCCGAGGCAGGAGGATCACTTGAGTCCAGGAGTTTGAGACCAGCCTGGGCAACACAGCAAGACCCTGTCTCTACAAATAATAAACTGACCCTCGACCCTCTCCCCTCTCCCCTTTGCACGGTCTCCCTCTGATGCTGAGCCCAGGCTGGACTGTACTGCCGCCATCTCGGCTCACCGCAACCTCCCTGCCTGATTCTCCTGCCTCAGCCTGCCCAGTGCCTGGGATTGCAGGCGCGCACCGCCACGCCTGACTGGTTTTTGTATTTTTTGGTGGAGACGGGGTTTCGCCATGTTGGCCGGGCTGGTCTCCAGCTCCTGACCGCGAGTGATCTGCCAGCCTCGGCCTCCCGAGGTGCCGGGATTGCAGACGGAGTCTCGCTCACTCAGTGCTCAATGTTGCCCAGGCTGGAGTGCAGTGGCGTGATCTCGGCTCGCTACAACCTCCACCTCCCAGCCGCCTGCCTTGGCCTCCCAAAGTGCCGAGAATGCAGCCTCTGCCCGGCTGCCACCCCGTCTAAGAAGTGAGGAGCATCTCTGCCCGGCTGCCCAGTCTGGGAAGTGAGGAGCGCCTCTTCCCGGTCGTCATCCCGTCTAGGAAGTGAAGAGCGTCTCTGCCCGGCCGCCCATCTTCTGGGATGTGGGGAGCGCCTCTGCCCCGCCACTCCGTCTGGGATGTGAGGAGCGCCTCTGCCCTGCCTCGACCCAGTCTGGGAAATGAGGAGTGTCTCTGCCCCGCCGCCACTCCGTCTGGGAGGTGAGGAGCGTCTCTGACCGGCCGCCCCGTCTGAGAAGTGAGGAGCCCCTCCGCCCGGCAGCCGCCCTGTCTGAGAGGTGTACCCAACAGCTCATTGAGAACGGGCCATGATGACGATGGCGGTTTTGTCAAATAGAAAGGGGGGAAGTGTGGGGAAAAGAAAGAGAGATCGGATTGTTACTGTGTCTGTGTGGAAAGAAGTAGACATAGGAGACTCCATTTTGTTCTGTACTAAGAAAAATTCTTCTGCCTTGGGATGCTGTTAATCTATGACCTTTCCCCCAACCCCGTGCTCTCTGAAACATGTGCTGTGTCCACTAAGGGTTAAATGGATTAAGGGCGGTGCAAGATGTGCTTTGTTAAACAGATGCTTGAAGGCAGCATGCTCGTTAAGAGTCATCACCACTCCCTAATCTCAAGTACCCAGGGACACAAACACTGCAGAAGGCGGCAGGGCCCTCTGCCTAGGAAAACCAGAGACCTTTGTTCACATGTTTATCTGCTGACCTTCCCTCCACTATTGTCCTATGACCCTGCCAAATCCCCCTCTCCGAGAAACACCCAAGAATGATCAATAAATACTTAAAAAAAAAAAAAAAGAATAAAAAGAAAAAGGGATATCATTTAAACACAGTATGTAGAAAAGAATAATTATTGAATCTGTACTGGTCTTTAACTTTTACACTTTGATCTTTAATTCTGTTATTGTGATTGAGTCCAAAGAAAAATAGTAGAAGTAAAATAAAAAGAACACCAAAAATGCTAAAAAAAAATAATAATAATAATAATAATAATAAACTGACTGGGTGTGGTGGTGTGCACCTGTGGTCACATTTACTCGGGAGGCTGAGGCAGGAGGATCAACTGAGCCTGGGAGGCAGCAGTTGCAGTGAGCCATGATCATGCCACTGCCTTCAGCCTGGTCAACAGAGCAAGACCCTGTCTCAAATAAATAAAAATTAAAAGTAATTATCAGAGAAAATAAGAGAATCTAATTCTAAAAAGTCTTATGTTAGCCTTTTTCCTTCCTTCTTGATAAACCAAGCCATTGATATAAGCTATTTTAAATTCTTGGTCTTGTTGGCAATACCAACCAAAGGGCTAGTCTACCATTAGACAAAGGATCCCATTTTAAGTATGTAACACAATCATAGCATTAATTTTATTTAGTTTTCAGAGACAGGATCTCATTCTGTCACCCAGGCTGGAGTGCAGTGGTACAAGTACAACCATAGCTCACAGCAGCCTTGAATTCCTGGCCTCAAGCAATCCTTCCACCTTAAGCCTGGCAACTGGTTGGGACTACAGGCTCATGCCACCATGCCCAGCTTAGAGCATTAATGTTTTTTTTTTTTTTTTGAGATGGAGTCTCACCCTGTCACCCAGGCTGCAGTGCAGTGGCACCATCTCGGCTCACTGCAACCTCCAACTCCCACATTCGAGCGATTCTCCTGCCTCAGCCTCCCGAGTAGCTGGGATTACAGGTATGCGCTGCTGCGCCAAGATAATTTTTGTATTTTTAGTAGACACGGGATTTCACCATGTTGCCCAGGCTGGTCTCAAACTCCTGACCTTAGGTGATCCGCCCACCTCAGCCTCCCAAAGTGCTGGGATTACAGGCACGAGCCACCGCACCCAGACTTAGAACATTAATTTTAAAAGTCAACCAAAACATTAGCCTCACTTTATCATTAATAGCAATTCCATAAAAGTTAATGTCAACAGCACACAAAATTAAACCTTGAGGAACAACAGATAAAAGTCTTCTGTGCCAAACTGAAGTTCTCTAAAGTAATCATTAACAATACTTTACTGTTCTCTTAAATACACTGACATCCTAAAGACAAATCATTTTTTAAATAAATGCAATATAAATAATATCAAGTCTGACGATTCATCTCAAACCTGATCTGATGGCTTATGATGTTTCCTAAAAGTAGCAGGTAGCTTTATATGTATTTTTATTTGATTATTATTATTTTTTTTTAAAGGCAAGATTTCAGAAACCTTTATTTTGGAAAATATTTTTGGTCAAGAAACCCTGCCCTTGAAATCTATTACTTCAGGAAGCCAATTCCTACCTGAGTCCTGACTTCTTACAATGCAATTGGCCATATCATTTCCATTAGCCACTTTCAAGGCTTGAAAATGTCCTGTACACAAGTTTCAGCTGGTCTAGTCAGAGCCCAGTGTGAGTGGGACATTCAGGGGCTAAACCCTGCAGCACCTCCTGGCCTAATCAAAGGAGGTTCTGCAGCTGGGTAATAAGAGTGGTAACTTTATTATAGAAGAATTTTATTCCTTTATGTTCCCCATATAACTTATAAAAGACAAGTTATTTCATATTATATATTTTCAATTCAAACAATCCTGACTGGTGATGTAAGAAACAAAAAAATCATGCCCAACACTTTGAGAGGCTGAGGTAGAAGGATCACTAAGACCAGCCTGAGGCAAATAGTGAGACCCTTGACTCTACAAAAAAAAAAAAAAAAAAATCAGCCAGGCAGGATAGGTATCTTGTTTTCACCTTCCAGTTCTTCCACCTCAGTCTGTGTTATAAGGGAGATCTTTGACGTTTTTCTCAAGATCAATGAGAGTATTCATATCATCAATTTTTCCAATGATCTGGTCAGACATGTTCTGAAACTTATTTCACACATGTTGCAGGAACATCTCCACCATCAATGTGAGATCCTGCACAATCTTGGGGTCAGTCTCAGCCACCTCACCAGTTCCAGCTTCATAGTGATGTCTCAAACCATCACTTACCATTTGATGATTCTGATAGCTTAAATTTTTAAATATTAAGTTTACAGTTTAAGATTATTAACCAGTTACATAACACAGCTGCATGCACATTCAGCGGTTTCTATTAAAACTGTAGGTTAGTGTTTTCCCTACTTCAAATACTCACTTAAACACTGAAACCATTCATGCCATATTTTCATGTAAGTTTATAGAGTGTAGCATTCAAAAAATAGTCAATAATGAAGTTTACTTTCCAAAAAGCAGTAAATTCAGTATCAACTCTAGAAAAGGTAATAATGATCCTGTGCCAATATTTGCTTTCATTCATTTATTCATTCATTCATTCATTTATTTTTAGACGGAGTCTCGCTCTGTTGCCCAGGCTGGAGTGCAGTGGCGCAACCTCAGCTCACTGCAAACTCTGCCTCCTGGGTTAAGCAATTCTTCAGCCTCAGCCTCCCGAGTAGCTGGGATTACAGGCACCCGCCATCATGCCAGGCAATTTTTTGTATTTTGGTAGAGATGGGATTTCACCATGTTGGCCAGGCTGGTCTCGAACTCCTGACCTCAGGTGATCCATCTGCCTTGGCCTCCCTAAGTGCTGGGATTATAGACGTGAACCACCACACCCAGCTGCCAATATTTTCATGCAAATATTTGTTATGTGTAAAACATTTATTGATATTCACATTAGAGTTACAATATTTAAATTTCAGTTTTATTGCCTTGATCTGGAATTGCTGTGAGTATTAATTTCTCGCCAGTAATACTGGTATTACTGCCAAATTCCTACATGATAGACACCATGACATGAGCACATTTTCACTGGAAGTAAGATAAATACTTGTATTCTAATGGAGAAACTCAGTGGGGCAAGGGGGCTTTCTTATTTCATGAGTGTTTCACTCAAAAGAAAATCATGCTATAGTTAAGCATTTTTTCCCTCCTATCAAATTAATGTCTAAAAAGTTTATCTGATTTCTTTAAAAGGCTTTCTCTAAATCCTAACAAAACATCTAAAAACTCTTTTCAGCCTTTAAGTGCTTTTGTGTACTAAGTACTGCAAATAAGTTTACAGCACAAATATTTCCCAGTTCATAATTTGAATCTCTAAGAAGAATCTCTAAATCCAACCTCATTTCTTAAATTGAACAAATACTGCAAAATAAATATGCAGCATAAATATTAGGTCTAAATGTAATTTATTACATATACCCTTATATTCATAGAACCATATGTGAGTATACAGTATTATTTGATGGGGTAAAATAAATCTAAGATTAAGATAAATATCCTGGAAAATTAATAAAAGATACCTATTTCTCAGTTGCCAAGAACCTTGCCTGTCTTGTTTGACCGCTGTGTTTCCAAAGCTTAGTTCAGCTTCTGGCATAAAGCAGATACTAAATCAATGCTTGTTGAATTATGAATATTCCAGACAAAAACTGGGGATCTTAATAGGCCTGAATTATAAAGATTATAGCATCAATTTTTATTATTTTAAGTGTTTCATTTTACAGAGAGGGTCTCGCTACATGGCCCAGGCTGGAGTGCAGTGGCTATTCACAGGCATGATCATAGCATACTACAGCCTCAAACTCCTAGACTGTAATCCTCCCACCTCAGCCTCTTGAGTAGCTGAGTCTCCAGGCACACCTAGCTTTCATGAATATTATACTTCATTTTGTATCTCTTCCTCAAATACTGGGCATAGGGAAAAAGTATGTAAAGGTTTTAATAAAATATTTCTGATTTAATATCAACTCCCCTAGACACTAAAGACTGATTTTTTTTAAATCAACTTTGTTTTAGAATAGTTTTAGACTTCGAGAAAAGTTGCAGAGATAATATAGAGTTCCTATATACCTGGCACCCAGCCTCCTCTATTAATGTCTCACATTACCATGGTACGTTTGTTACAACTAAGGAACCAACACTGGCACATTACGATGAAGTGAGCTCCACATTTTATTCAGATTTCACTAGTTTTCTCCTAACGTCCAAGACCCTAGCTAGGGTATCATATTACATTTCATCATCACATTTCCTTAACCTCCTCAGATCTGTGACATTTTCTTACACTTCCCTTGAGTTTGATGACCTTGATGGTTTTGAGAAGTACTGGATTGAGAGATGCCCCTCAATTTGAGTTTGTCTTAAGATTTTCTCCTAAAACTTGATTTAGAAAACATCGGATTTCAAAATGATCAGCGCAAGGATCTCTGATAAGACAAAGTACAAGGTAAGAATGTTAGCCTTTATCTCCCCATTTATTCAACAACGAAAAAAGCCCTATGCTGGGAAGAGAGTAAACTACAAGTTTAATATCAGTACTACAGAGACTCTACGCAATAGAAAACTAAACTTAGCAGAAGGACAATTCAAAAGGACCCCAGGTAAAGTGACCCAGAGACAGACTAAGGAGCTAAGGAGCAAGGCATTCTTGTCCCAGGCATCACTCAGCAGTCAGTTCAACACAGAAACTGTAGTGACTACTGCCCCTGCCACCTGCAACCACAGCTCCACTCTCCTCTCCTTTTTTATTCCCAGTTTTATTTGTTGTGGTATACTTGCCCATGTTTGTAAATTGTCTCTAATCATTTTTAGAAAAAAAAAAAGAAAGAAAGAAAAGTATATAGTCAGGTCCCAGGAGGAAACAGCATTACCAGCAAAGCAACTGAGGAGAGTTAATCTATGAGGTTAACTATCTACAAAGGCAAAGGCAGACAGCCCAACAAGAGATGGTGGAGTACCCCGAGGCTGGCAACAACAGGGAGCTGCTCCCAACACCACACTTGGAAGAGCAAGGGGTGGGAGGTATCATCAGAATCCAGGGAGACCAGTGATTGTGAAAGGGCCATGTGATAGGAGCCGTGGCCTCTGCTGAGACACAGCCCACCTGCAGGGAGGACACCGAGAAATAAGCACCCTAACCTCACTTTTCCTCTTGCCTTCCAACCCTGCTTGTGTCTTCCATTGGCTACAACCAGAGGACTTAATGTTGTCCACAGAGGTCAATATCTCAAGGCACAGAGCAGCATGGGTTAGGATGGACAATACAACCAGGGGGACAAATGAAAGGTGCACTGCAGGAGGAAGGGCAAGCCAAACCTGTACCTTCAGCTATTTGCATTTTTATATTTGTGTGTCTTATCCTACTGTACTATGAACTCCTCAAAGGCAGCAACAGTGCTTTACAGAGTCTGAGGTCACATACTCCTAGTAAGCCCTCAAAGTATATCTGAAAGAAGACATGGAACAGAGCCATCTCCGCCACTGGTCAGAACAGAACTTGGGTCCTTCACAATGTGGCTCTGCTGCAGGGACAACACACAGAGGACACACCTTTGAGCCTGACTCTGGCAGAGCACCAGAAACAGGCAGATGAGGCTAGCCCTTTCCACATTAAAGACAGGGACAATCAATACTTGCTCCAGAACTAGAGAGAGGCTCCTCTTTCAACAGCCGGACCAATCTCTCAGCTCTGCCCCTAGAGGAAAGAGTTTGCACCTGTAGTCACAGGCAAGAACCTAACTCCTGGATCATCTTGCCCAATACTTTGTAAGCTCCAGTACTGCACCTCATATCTGCTCTTGACAGATGGAGAATAAAATAAAACCTGACATTTCACTCCATTTCTTCAAATAAGTTATCTTAAGAGCCGATGCAACCTCTTGTCTCCAAGACCTTTAATGAAGCACTAGTGCTTCTGTTTATACAAATGCCCTATCTTCCCTTATCACTCACTGCTTACACAAACCTCCCTGGGAAATGTTCAAATCATCCCTGTGGAGGCCTCATCTCCTCTCCTTCCAGGTCTTGATGCTCTTGCCATCTTTATGGAATTTCCCACTCCGCATCCCCCATCTGGCAGGGCTCCATGACCAGCTCCTTCCAGGACAGGGAGGTGCCTTCCTTGATTTCCTCCCAAACCAACACCATCCTGGGCAACACAGCAAGTGCGTCACAAATTCACAAATCCAACATGCTGTGCGCAAACGCCTCTGCATTTAATAAAAACATCCATTCCTTCCTCTTCTCAGAAAGACAATGAAAATATGAAAGGTTGAAGAATCACAGGAATGACATTTGCATTTCATTATGATTGTGCTGTCAATAAAGTCCTCAGTACCTGGCTGAACAAACTGAACTCAGTACCCGGCTGAACAAACTGAATTGCCTGCTCCACGAAATAAAGACCACCAAATACTATAACCCAAAATTGAATCTTTGCAGTGCTGTGGCAACGAGCTACTATGTTTACCTTACCAGGAAGATGAAGCAAATGATTTAATATTTTTATAAAAAGAAGGTGATCAACAATTGTACTGACCTTATCAAAATGGGTTTGTACAGAGACTACTTGAGGGAAAAATAACTTATAAAGCTTACAATACAAAATAATCGAAATGCAGCAAAGGAAACACATTTTCTCGTAGCTTTTAAGTCTTTTATTATATTATTACTCAACTTATTATCTTTAAAGATATGGGAAGTAACACTTGAAAACAGATTGCCTTCTAATGCAAAGTCTTCATATTTACCTCATCTCTTTGCCCCTTACTTGTAAAATATTCCCTCATCCCCTTGCACTTGAGAGCACGAATTATCTTGTCTGAGGCCATTCTTTCCACCGTATGTGTGACGCCACTCCCTCCCACCTCTTCTGATACCTACCCCATCTGTTGTCCCCTCTCCCCTATTGCCACCTTGGTCCCATTAGCTTGCCCTTTCATACTAGACAATATATACCTTAGTCACTCAAATCCTTTTAAAAATAAAAGCCTCCAGGTCCCTATATAAGTCTTTCCAGCTACCACCCACTGCTTCCCTCCTCATTTGAGACTCTTGGTGTTCCAGCCTCTCTGCATCTCTAATTCCAGACGCCTCCTTTCCTTGAGCCCAGGCCCAAAACCACTGTTCTACTGCACCTGCTCTCCCAAAGCCCACCACTTTCTTGGAGCTGCCACATCCACTAGATACATTTCAGCCTGTGTCTTAGTGGATGCCTCTGCTGCATCTGGCATCATTGACCTGTCCTCCCCACAACTATTAGATGCTATTTGCTTTTCTGGTTCTTCTGGAGCTCTCTCACCTTTCCTGCTCACTCTCCTTTCTTCATTTTTTTCTGCCCACTCCTTCAATGCTGCTGTCCCTAATGGTTCTATCTTTTGTTACAGTCTTTGTCTTTCACTCTGCCTTCTCACTCCTCTGTCTCCAATTCTCGTCCACTCCCACAACCCTCCAGCCCCCGTTCTCATACTCTCCATGCTCTCCTTGGAGCAGAAAGTTGTATCTCCTTCCACGGTTCTAACTCTTACCTTTCACTAAGGGATCCAAAGTCTTCTCTCCAGCTATAGATATTATATTTAGATGGCTGTTTGGTTTCCATAGTATTATCGGCTCAACACAAAGGTCCCTTAGCCACCACAAGTCTCTTGAGCCAGCAACCTGAAGTCATCCTTAACTCATCCCCCTTTCTCATTTCCAACATCCAGTCATTACCAAACCTTACAAGTTTTACCTCCTAAATGCTTTTGACATCATTCCCTTCCTTTCCACACCAACTTCCCCTGTACCAGTTCAATTTCTTATTATCTCTTGTGTGGACCACAGCAGTCTCCTAACACAGCTTCCTGCCTCTAGTTTAAGCCCACTCATTTCACTTCCCTGACGCAATCCAGCAAGATCTATTGAAAATACAAATGTCTTTATCACTAGCCTAGTTAAACCCTTAAAAAGATCTTTCATTAATTGTGCATACAGCATGTAAAAATTCTTCCCTTCCAGGTCCCATCTACTTATCCTATCTTATATGCTATGTATTCTATTCTTGGTCTTCACTCTCTCAATTACCACTTATTTACAATAATGGAAACCATGCACTATGCTGGTTATTTTTTTAATTGACTTATTGAATATTTATAAAACTCTTAAGATAGTTGTTTTATCTCCATTGTATAACTGCAGAAATGGTGAGAATTTACCAGGTTGCCACTAGGAAGCAGGAGGAACTTGGTGAGGGAGGTGGTGTAGCTTACCACCTGGGAGCCCCTACCTTCCTGGGTGATACAAGATGACAGCTGAACACAGTCCCCTTGGCACTACTTCAGACTGGAACAAAAGCCACTGACATATGGAGAAGGCTCACTGGCCTCCACACTCTGCATTCACTCAGATGAGCACTCCAAGGCACCAACCTGCTTCTGGTGCTTCCCACCTCTGAGGTGTAGGTCTGAAGAACTGTTTCCACCTTTATGGAAATCCTCTGCTCCCGATTTTATCCACTTGTTTCTATACACAACTGGCAACTTTTCTGTCTTCCAAAAAGTACTCAGTTGGTTTTTGGTTTGAGACAGGGTCTTACTTTGTCACCCGGGCTAAACTGCAGTGGCACAAACACAGCTCACTGCAGCCTCAGCCTCCCGGGCACAAGCAATCTTCTTGTCTCAGCCTCCTGAGTAACTGGGATAACAGGTACACACCACCAAGCCTGTCTAATTTTTTTTTTTTTTTTTTTACATTTTGTAAAGACAGGGTCTTGCCATGTTGCCCAGGCTGGTCTCAAACTCCTGGACTCCAGTAATCCTCCTACCTTAGCCTCCCGAAGTGTTGGGATTACAGGTGTGAGCCACCACATATGACCAAATTACTCACTTTTAATCTCTCGATGGTATTCTATATCTTTCTTGAATTTTAAAGAAATTTTTCTTTAAAAATATTTTTCCTGTCATTTTGATTTTTGATAGCATTTTAAGCATATGATGGTAATGTGTCCAGTTTACAATATTTACAAAACACCCTCCTAATCAAATTAGACATTTTGATTGATGATAACCAATCCAGTCATCAACTTCATCTATATTAAATAAAAATATACATGGATTTTTAGAAAAGTTCGATTTTCCAGTTACAAACCCTCAACTTAAAAGTAAGTAACGAGGCCGGACACGGTGGCTCATGCCTGTATTCCCAGCACTTTGGGAGGCTGAGGCGGGCAGATCACCTGAGGTCAGGAGTTCGAGGCCAACCTGGCCAACACGGCAAAACCCTGTCTCTACTAAAAATACAAAAATTAGCCAGGCATGGTGGCACATGCCTGTAGTCCCAGCTACTCAGGAGCCTGTAGTCCCAGCTACTCAGGAGGCTGAGGCACAATAATCACTTGAACCCAGGAGGTGGAGGTTGCAGTAAGCTGAGACTGCACCACTGCACTCCAGCCTGGGTGACAGAATGAGACTCTGTCTCAAAAAAGTAAGTAAATCATGCTACCAAAGTTTGTAAGCTGTTGTTTAGAACATGGAAATAACCTCACTCATTCGTGCAATACCTTCTATGCACTAAGCACTATTTTAGGTGGTGGAGAGACTGTAGAAATAAAAGACAAGCTTCCCATATTATATAATTTCTGTAATTTAATTTAGGAAAACTGTGGTATAAACAATACATATTATGTGTGTATACCCTTGTGTGTGTATTTACATTTCAGAACTTATCAACGCCCTAGCAGCTGTTAGCTAGCATTTCTACTACTGTTATCAGGAGCCCACATTCCTGCTTAGCGTTTTAAATATCATTATTTACAAATACAAAAGATGTGTTAGTTAGCAAAGGAGCTATTAGAAATAATTTTCATTTGTGAAATGAGTGTTCTCCAAGACATCTGGTTGGTTAAAATACTGGACAGGCCCCACCATCTCTGCAAAAACAAGACCAAAACATCTGGTAGCACCAAAAATCTAAAGCTGCAGTGCAGTACTTAAGATATGGAATCCCTTGGCCCCACTTCCCTCCGTTCCTCAGAGGACTCAGTTGCCTGCCTTGAGCCACATCTGGCTGGTCTTGCTGTCAGGACATCATTATTGTAACTGCATTGGAGGAACCCATTCATGCAACTCCCAGTCAGAATGTCCAAGGACAAACAGTTTGACTTGTCCAAAGTGGCAAGACTGTCTGTGGCTCTTTACTGCTCCTGCTTGCTAAAAGATGACTATAAACGTGGCAGAATTCAGACTAGAAATTGCTCTCATTGTTTATTTACCAGCTGGGAGCAAAAGACTATAAAGGAAAGGATGAAGAACACTCACCTCTTTCTAAATTCTGGAAGCTACCAAAATTGAACAAAAGAACTCAACAATGCTACAAGGCCAGATTGGGTTAAGTCAGTCTGCAACACTGCCCTCATGAACATTATATTCTAGTAGAGGAGATGGACAATACAGGGTGTGGTGGCATGCATCTGTAGTCCCAGCTACTCAGCAGGCTAAAATAGTAGGATGGCTTGAGCCCAGGAGTTTAAGACCAGCCTAGGCAACAAAGCAAGACCCTACTTCTGAATGTTTTTTTAAAAAAGACAATAAAGAAGTAAACACATATCAACAGTGATAAGTATTAGGAAGTGTATTAGTCTGTTCTCATGCTGCTATGAAGAAATACCCATGACTGGGTAATTTACAAAGAAAAGAGATTTAATTTGCTCACAATTCTGCATGGCTAGGAAGCCCTCAGGAAACTTACAATCATGGCAGAAGGCATCTTTTCACACGGTGAAAGGATAGAGAATGAGAGCCAGCAGGGGAAATGCCAGATGCTTATAAAACCATCAGATTTCATGAAAACTCACTCATTATCATGAGAACAGCATAGGGAAAACCGCCCCCATGATCCAATCACCTCCACCTGGTCCCACCCTTGACATGGGGATTATTACAATTCAAGGTGAGATTTGGGTGGGGACAGAGAGCCAAAACAAATCAGGAAGGAAATAAGCAAACTGTTACGGAAGGCTCTGTCTGAGAAGATAGCTGAACTGAGAGCACTAATCATAAGAGAAGGAGAATCTTCCAGACACAGGTACAAAGACCTGAAGGCAGGAAAGTATAGGATACATTTCAGAAATGAAAGACCTAAGTGACTGAGGATGGTGGGTGGAGGGGAAAGTGGTCCAAAGTAACAGTGGAAAGAGGAGAAAGAACCAGATAATACCTTACAGGTCTGTCTTGATAGGTGGCAGTAAGGAGTTCAGATTTTATTCACAGTGTA
Organism: Homo sapiens; assembly: GCF_000001405.40. Classification (NCBI taxonomy): domain Eukaryota; kingdom Metazoa; phylum Chordata; class Mammalia; order Primates; family Hominidae; genus Homo; species Homo sapiens. The sequence continues at coordinate 112,372,733 of NC_000005.10, forward strand.
ATGGAAGCCACTGAAGAATTTTAAGAACCTGACTCACTATGGTTACTATACAGAGAAATGAACTGTAATGGTCAAGGAAATAGAGGAAACAGATAGGAGATTGTTACAGCAATTCAGGCAAGAGATGATGGTGCCTGACTAAAGGGTGGAAGCAGAGATAGAGAGGGGTAGACAGATATTTTGAAAGTAAAAGTGACAGGGTTCAGCAGCTCTCAATTACTTAACCCTTAAAATACGTGACATATGACACTAATAGTTCCATATATTCTTTTTAAGAGCAATCGCTATTTAGCAACCAGGAATAACTCTGTCTATTCTTAAAAATGTATTCAGATATAAACTCAGGGCCCAGGAATACAGATCCCCACACTGCAGACTGAGCAGGAACTCCTGCTCTATCCACCTGCTCAATAAAGGAAGGCAAGTGAGGATGCTCCCATTTCTAATCTCCTGGCTGTGGCTCTGCTGGCCTGGGGCAAGCCTTATGAAGGTCACCAACAGTGAGGGATGGGACAAGACCCCAGAAGGGTTAAGAGCTGACAGAACCGGAAGTTGCTACAATGTTCCCTTCAGGCCAGTCCCCTGTCAACATGGTTCTTCTTTTCTCCTCAGACTCCATGAACCAATCTATCTGCTTCCCTTCCCACTGCCAGCACTAGCTCCTCTGGTATGGTTTCCTCTCTCCCTATAGCCCAACCTGAAATTCAACTCATTTTCACATAAATGACAAAGGTACAGAAACCAGCAACCACCTATATCTTATTTCCATTAAAGCAAAAATAGCTAATTTATCAAACACTTGTTATGTGTCATGTGTTATTTTAGAGCTTTCAATGTATTAACTCATTTCATGCTCATAAAAATCCTATCCCCATTTTACGAAGAGGAAACTGAGATACAAAGAAGTTACTAAACTTGCCCAGCCAGCAAGTGGCAGAGCCAGGGTTAGAACCCAGGAAGTCTGGCTGCAGTCCCCACTTTTGAGCTACACTGCCACTAGAGTCCAGCTTCAAAGTCAGGTGCTTCAGGGAGACAGTGAAACAACTGCAGTCAACATCAGAAAGGTCCAAGACTCAATTTAAAGATAGTATCTAACACATATTTTAATGGAGAAATGTTCAAGTATATATTTTTATGGTTTCCACAGTGCTGAAATTACACAAGTTTGTTTTCACCAAGTTTTGGAATACTTCCAGAAAATCAGATTAATATATGAAGAAGAGAAAACATTCATTTTTCATGAATACGTGGTAAAAGAGAGCAACTCATGTATACACTTGTCAGTTCTGTCAGAATGTAACCCTGCAGGGTAGGAAGCACCCATCTTCTGTGAGAACTTCCCACAAAGAGAATTATTAGTGTGGAATGAGTGCTCAGTTTAGAAATAAATAGCATTCTTCAAATGTCAGAGGCATCCCCATGGAATAACTCAGGTCCCCAACAAGACTATTAAGCTGATATTACAAACCGTAGCCATGAAGAAAGGAGTTCATCTATGCTGACAGTGATTGGGAGTGGAAACAAAAAGGCTGAGAATGTTCTCATTACCCAACAGTTTCCTGGATTAATCTTCTAAGAATGAACAGAAGTTTAGAATTCAGAGCCATGGGATCACCCAAAGCTGTAGATCAAAAAGAAGAGCAAAAAGCAGCATTATAAGAAATATCTATAGTCAGGGGAATAAATACGTTGACAGTTAAAGATGATGAAAAGAAGTTAAAGTCTTCTAAATAAAAATGATTCGCACTATAAAACACTCTGGCCCAATCACCTAGGTTACATAACAATAAGAGTTATAAATATTACTCAGCAATATTTTGCCTTCCAGGTCTTCATGGTGCATCTTAATACAGTTCCAAAGTTACCCCAGCAAAAGAACTCTGTGAACGCACACTCCTAGTGCTGGAGCTCACCACAAACGTGTGCTTTCTCAAGAATCATACCTGGTTTGGGTTTTATTTTCCTTCTTTAAAAGTGCATGCAAATTTTACATTCTATTCTATAAAAGATCGGTTTTGATTTTTGCCTGGGGAAGGGGTCAGAAGGTAATTTAAAACATTATTTTTCTCAGGCAAGACTGTCACTACTAAAAGAGGGGCCAAGTCTATCCTGTGGCCTTTCACATTTCCCCACCATCACCTAGAATGGATGTAGAAAACTCTGAGTTTGACAGCAAACTTCTACGTTTTTTAAAAACCACAAGGTGATGTTCAACATTCAGGTTCTCTTTGTCTGCAGAGCAGCAGCTCTGAACTCCAGCTACACGTAACAATCACCTGGAAGGCTTTTTATGAATACCAGTGCCTAATCTCCACCCCAGATCAGCAGGATCAGAATCTCCTAGTGCAGGAAGAAACCATTCTGTTTTGTCGTTGCTACTTTTAGCTCCACTGGGTGACTTTAAAGGACAGAGTTGAGACTTACTTGCTCAGAGGATCCAAAAGAAACACTACGGTCCCAGAGTGAGCCCAGAGTGGTGCAGGAACACCAGAGTCAACCCCTGGGGATGATCACGTTGTCCCTTCCTAAACCTAACTATCTTGAAGACACTGACCCACAGACCATAACAAGGTCAGTCTCTCTCTCTCTCGCACACACACACATACACACACACACACACACACCCCTTCCTCTATTTAAAAAAAAAAGCTACCTAAAACAGAAAGTTTACATGAGATCCAGAGTCTCAAACACAATGCAAAAAATGTTCTGGTTTCAATGAAAAAAATCACACCAAGAACCAGGAAAATCCATACTGAATGAGAAAAGGCAACAGATTCCAACACCAAGATGGCAGAGATGTTAGAATTATCTGATAAAGCTTTTAATGCAGCCATGATAAAAAATTCATAAAACAAAAATTCTTCAATGATCAGTCATAAACATGCTAAATGAACTAAGAGAAATGCCATTATGCTCCTCAGGCCCTTGAGGTAGTTGCACTGCTGGCCCAGCCAGGACTGTGTAGGTCTGGGCTGGTGAAGGTTGGGAAGTTTGTTTTGGTGGTGGGAGCTCATGGACCCTAATTACACTGTACATTGCAATGACGATGATCTGCTGGTAGATGTTCACTGTAATTTGCCTTTGGATTGATGGATCTAAACTGACTTCACGAATTAGAGTGGTCATGAGCCAAAGACAAGAATCCTTAGAGAGGAGCAACATCCCTGGGGAGTGAATGACTGACAATGTCTGTGCCTCCAAGGGGTTAGGGTATGAAAAAGAGGCAAGATAACTGTCCCCAGGGGTTGGCTTTAATAATACCGAAAGCATAAATAAAAACAAAAACCAATACACTGGATTTCATAAAACTTAATAACTGCTGCTAAGCAAAAACCCTAGGAAGAGGATTAAAAAGACAAGCTACTCAGAGAAAGTTTTCAAACTACATATCCAAAGAGAGGACTAACATCTAGAATATGTAAAGAACTCGCAAAACTCAACAGCAGAAAAATAATACATTTAGAACATCAGCAAAACACATAAGAGGATATATGACACTTCACCAAAGAGGATACAGATGGCAATTAAGCACATAAAAAGATGTTCCACATAATTAGCCATTAGGGAAATGAAATTAAAACCACAATGAAATATCACTATATATCTAACAGGATGGCTAAAAATTTTTTTAAATAGTGACGCCACCAAATTCTGCCAAGGACACAAAGAAATTGGGTAACTCATACATTGCTGGTGGGACCGTAAAATGGTATCGCCACTTTGGAAAACAGTTTGGCGGTTTCTTAAGAAATTAAACACACAACTGCCATATAACCCAGCTTTTGCTCTCTTTGGTATTTAGCTCAGAGAAATGAAATTTTATTTTTAAACATAAAACCTGTACATGAGTGATCACAGCAGCTTTATTCATAAAGTCAAAATGATAAACAACCCACACATCCTTCAGCAGGTGCATGGTTAAGTGTTAGTACATCCATACCATGGAACATTACTCATCAATAAAAAAGGAACAAACTGTTGACACGTGCTACAAACCCTGGAACTGCTGACACATGGAACCAACCGTGGAACTATGATAAGTTAAAAAGCAACCCAAAAGGTATGATTCCATTGATATGACATTCTTGAAATAAAATTATAGAAACAGAGAATAGATTCTTGGTTGCCAGAGTTTAAGAGGTGAAAGAGGCAAGGAAGAGAGTACGTCTATAAAAGTGCAACACGTGGCTGGGTGCGGTGGCTCATTCCTCTAATCCCAGCACTTTGGGAGGCTGAAGCAGGAGGATCACTTGAACCCAGGAGTTGAAGACCAACCTAGGCAACACAGGGAGACCCCGTCTCTATAAAACATAAAAAAAATTAGCCAGGCACTGTGTCACACACCTGTGGTCCCAGCTCCTCAGGAGGCTGAGATGAGAAGATCACTCAAGCCGTGGGGGTCAAGGCTGCAATGAATCATGATCATGCCACTGTACTTCAGCCTGGGTGACAGAGCAAGATACTGTTGTCTGTTTGTTTGAAAAAAAAAAAAAAAAGACAATATGTGGAATCTTTGAGATAATGGAAATGCTCTGTACCTTGAATATATCGATTATCAATATCCTACTTGTGATAGTAAATACAGTTTTGTAAGAAGTTACCATTGAGGGAAACTGGGCAAAGGGACACAGGATCTCTCTGTATGGTTTCTTAAAATGGCATGTGAATTATCTCAAAATAGAAAGTTTAATTTAAAAGAAATGAAAGGTTACTGGCCCACTGAACCCTGACTGCAGCAAACAGCAAGTACTTGGAAGTGACCTTTAAGTGTGCTCCAGATTTTCATTTACTGGCCATTTTCAGCTCTACCATTTCATCCATGATTCATGAGGCCCAGCAACTCAACCAATTTTATTCAATAAAAAGGGGGCATCCTGTAGTTTTGCCAAGACCAATTATTCCCATGGCGACCCTCAACATAATATTAACTATCAAACCTAGAAAACACCACAGCCTGGAGTGGACCACTTTCTCTGCTGCTACTCTCTTTGTTCTCTTGCACCTCTTCAGAGAAAGGTGCTAAAATAACTCAAACCCCTCTCTTCCCAGTACCATTACCTTTCCAGAGCTGCCTTCCAGAAACTAACTTAATCTTCACACAAATTGGGAAGAGAAAAAAAAAATCACACTGCTAACCCCCCATCTTTTACATTACAACAAACCCAGTTCTCAGGGGGAACAAAAAAGGATACTACTCTACAGCATATCTAGGACAAGAAGAATCCACCTGTGACTTAATTCATATTTGGACAACTCTGAATGCATAAACACCAGGTCCAAAAACAAAATAAGATGCAACCTTGGTTTTCTACCTACAAAGTACAGTCCTTAAAACAGATATAAGGATTCATGTTTCCATCTGCACGGAGAAATTTATTTCAACATAAAAAGATGAAAATCTATCCTAAATTGAAAGCTCTCCAGAGATGGAAAATTCACAATCTATCCTGATACTCCTGGTATTTCCCAGCCTCTGTCAGGCCACACTACCATCTGCATCCTATCTTGGTAAAAATTATGTCTGTTCCTCTCATGATTGTAGGAATTGGTCTATATAGCTTGCAAAATTTTAGTCACTCCTAAGAATGCAAGTTACCTAGAGCAGAGAGTAGTTTCTCTAGCCCTGTAATCTACCCTTTAATTTATAAATCTTTTCTATCCGTCAGAATTCAGGAGTTCCATAGTTGATATAATCTTAAAAAGCAAAAAATTCAGGATGATCAGGATATAAATTATATCTTAACAATACAGATTAACAGCCATAAGAAATATAGAGAAAGTTTCCCAGACATTGTTTCCTCGATAAATTAACAACAAAATTTGTAACACAGAGAAGACATCACACAATCATTTAACTCATGCAAATTAAGGTAGATCCACTGGGGTGGAGGGCTGTGGAGAAGACAGGGAAACTCCAGAAGTCATCCTTATTCCCTCAGTTTCCCTGATGCTTTCCTGAAATGCACTTAGAAACACTGAGTCTTCTTCTAGTTCAAGTACATTTTTTGTGCATGTCCTCTAAAACAAACTTCTTCACTGGATGCTCAACTGAACATACAGTCGTTATTCCAGGAAGGAGGAAACATGGGCTGTTTGAATGGCTGGTAGGGTGGCCTCCATAGTGGAACCTTTCTAAATGGCTTAAGTCTAGTTCTAACCCACACTATTTTTGTATCAAGGGCTGAATTTGGAAGCCATTCCACTGTGATGTGTTCTCCAGCAGTCCATGTCCACTCTCCTGTGAATTAGTTATATGCAGGTGTCTATGAGCGTGCAGGGGTGTACAGATGTGCACATACACAAACACCTTTACAAAGGTGGTGGAACACACTGAGCTAATATCAAATCAGTGCATTCTCTCAGTGGATACTCATTCCAAGAGGCGAGCACCCTGGGGGGGTCAAGCTAGCCCACTGGCTTTCAGTGGGCATCAATGAAGGCAGAAAAGCATATACATGTCCCCCCATTTAGAATTTTTGCTTAAAATTAATAACTGCAAGTTTTTTAAACGCTTCCTTTTATGTACTAAACCTATAAAACAATTAGAAGTCCCCAAAATTTTCCCCACATAGGCTGAACATCTAAAATCCCTTCATTACAAAATAAAGTCTTGTATCCCACAACAAAGCCTGAGTATAACATCAAAATACTTTTGAAAATAAGAGTAGAGGTCTAAAATCATCCTTCCTAAGGGCAGATTTTGATGAAACAAGAGGTAAGGAACACAAAGGCCAGCCTGAACATTGAAGAAATGACAGGGAAGAGGAGAAAGGTTATTAGCAGGAGACCAAGTCTGTGACAGCACTCTGATCATCCTGGAGTTTGGCCATAAGGGAGAAAACACTAAAATGCTTACATGCCTAATCCCTCCTGCTTTCTCATCTGCAAAAGGAAGATGAGATCTCACCAACAGCAAACTGCATAAGAAGACGACCAACACTTAACATAAAACCTCAGCCATTCTGAGAAGTCCTGGCCAGCATTTACCAAACTCAGACTTTGATCTAAGGCTTACCCGAAGGCACAATACATTCCCTAGCAGTAACAGAGAGTTGTCAAGACAACTGCTTAATGGAACATGTCCAAATCTAGAATCAAGCACTTTTTGCCAAAATATGATTAGTTATATGTAATCCTATAAGACATAAGAAAGACACTATGAGCCACCTTTTGCTCAAAGCACTGACCTACTCAAATTTAAGACGACTATTTTAAGGAAATTAAAAGCCATACAATTTCTCTATTTTATTATCTGAGGTAGGAACTCAAAACTTAAGAGTCAAAATGGAATCTAATTTTCTGAGCAGATTAATCATTGTTACCCAAAGGAGAAGTGCTAGGTCATCAGATGTCTCCCTGCTCTTGGAGAGCTTAGCCCTACTCCCAGAGAACAGCTGCAGGAGTGAGGGACCACACAGGAGCAGTCAGAGGGTCAGAAGGTCTGACACCAAATGAAGAAACTCGTGCTACCAAATCCTGAGAAAAACTAGTCAGATTTAGAAGGAACTGAAAACAAGGATCAGAGAGAAAAGCATACAAAGGTATCAACCTATTTATAAATAACGTTTCCTCTCCCCCTGCTTGTTCAATAAAACTATTTTATTAAAATGTTTTTCATTAAAACAAAATAGTACTTAGTTGTAACTTTATTCTGTTAAATATTCTACAGAATTAACATTCTACAGAATATATGTTATATATTCTACAAAATGATAAAATAACTCTAAAGATAGATAGGAATTGACCATAGATGCTACTTTTTCTCATCCATAATGCTACTGCTTAAAAATCCTTTAACCAAGAGATAAATTTGTGGGAAAATACTTGAATTTACCAGTTACAGGGGAAGATTTAGTTCTTCAAGTCCCTAGAGAATAACTTCAAAAACAGAAAAACTAAGTTTTTAATGTATACTCTTCCAAGCTTTCAAGAACAGTTAAGTCTCTGATTATATATTACAAAGCACAGGGGAAAAAAATGAAATGTCCCCAATTATATGATGCTGTTATAACTTCAGTACCAAAAAGAGAAACCCATCCTCTGCACATCACACACATACACACACACACACACACACACACACACACACACACAATTCAGCCAAGGGGAAAGGAGAGCAGCACATATCTCAGTCACCCAGAAGCCACTGATATTTAGAAACCATCCCCCACCAGACCATTCTTACATTCCTTCTGGTTGCAGGCCAGTATATGTCAACAATCCCTCACAAATCCCTTACCCAAAACTCATGGGGCCAGATGTGTTCCAATTCAAAAATTTTTAATTTCAGAAAGGCACCTTCTGGGGATATCCAATATATTTCACATACCATCAGAGAGCGTGAGGCGGCTATGATATTCTGCCGTAAAAATGCATGAACAGTTACACTAAATGTGATCAAGACTATAATACTGCTTCACAACAGAGCCAGGTAGTTTCCTCAGATATACTCAAGTCTGGTCAGGTTTTTAAATCAAATGAGATATTAAAAAATTCAAATCAGAACTTTTGGATTGCAGAATTGTAAGGAATTATTAACCTGTGATAGATCACTCTGTAAATAATAATGATAATTGCTTATAATTCATTGACTGCCTAGTATGAGAGATTATATGTTTGGCATACGTTATCTTTAACCCTTTCTACCACTCTCTAAGGTTTTATAAATGAGGCTTAGAAAGGTTAAGTGACTCACCCAAGGCCAGTTACTGAAAGCAGCAGGATTTGAACCAAGATCTGTTTATATTCCATCCAGTGTGCAATTCTAACAGGTTCTTGATTGCAAGCTACAGAAAGCATGTCTAGCAAACATAAGCAAATAAACAATTTTCTGGAAGCATATTAATATCTCACAGAATGGATGGGAAATCTAGAAAACCAAGCTCACAAAGTGAGCCAAATCCAAACAAGGCTGAGTTGCAGAAGCAACGACAAAGGTCAAGTCCTGAAGCTGGGATGCTGCCTTGACACTGCCAACAGCAGGACACACGTCATCATGGCCACTGGGCTCCCACAACCAGACACAGTTGAGAAAACTTTCTGAACTCTCCCCTGTCTTCGTAAGAATCAAAGTCCCACAGCCTTCCATAATGTGAAAATGACAGTATGTCCCACCAATTCCACACTGAGGAGGGGGCTCCTCCCAAAGTGAAGGAGGATCAGAAGACTGGGTAACCTCCCCCTTTCAGGTGACAAATATCTACTGCAGCCACTCTAATTCTAAAAATGTCTGCAAATCACAGTCAATGGCATGTAATAAAGTAGGATTTCTTCCAGGAATGGAAGTATTTTTTCATTTTAAGAAATTTATAATACGGCAGTGCACATCAGTTAGTCAAATTTTTATTTAAAAACTCAATTAGCACTTTTAAAAGGTACGTGATATAACTTAACATCCATTCTGGCTTTTAAAATTCTTGATAAATTAGGAAGAGAAAGCTCTTTCCTTTAATCTATTTTTTAACCACAATCTAAACATATTTTAAAGAGCAATATTTCAATTAGTCACCACCATTTCTTCACATCATTCGAAAGTTCTAACCTAAGTTCAGGCTCAAGAAAAAAAAAAGTTCTAACCAATAATGGTTAGAAAAGAAAGGAAGCAAGTGTCAGAAACTAGGAGCAAACCTGCTGTTATTTGACAGATGATATGACTATACCTGCAATGACGACAAAGACTGCAGCCCAGAGTGGAGGCTCACATCCATCCTTGGGAATGGCCAATGGTAAATCCTGCATGTGTGAGTCAAGCACCTGGCTACTCTTGGGGAAATTCTGACCCAGTAGAAAAATTCAAACGTAGCTATTCAAACTGTGGTGTTAACTGTTTCATCAGTAAAAATATAGCAGGAATATCTCTTCCAGGATAATTATGACACCTTCTGATTGTTTTGGTCTTTGGAGGATTCAGCAAGGAGACAGAAGAGAGCACTGTCACTTGATGTGGGAGGGTTGGGGGAACAGTCCCAGTAACAGGACTGCAGAAGGGGAATTAGGGAGCAGCTAAAAGATACAGTATATAGGTAGCAGGTGTGTCTGATACCCAGTTGTGGAATTTTCCTTCCTGGCTTCTAACTCTTTCCACATTCCTAGTTACTCTCCAACCTCTTACTGGGCAATCACTGCATCTATTATTTGTTATGTTTTCCTCAAACCTGAGAAATAAATCTGGTTACATGTAGCCCAGACTTGAATTGGAACTGTGTGGAAAAGGAAAAATGCTTCGGAGCAAACAAGTTGTAAGAAGCCAGCAATGACCCTTTGAGAAGCTAGAAAGGAAAGACCAAGGCAAGAGGTAATAAATGCCAATCAAGACAAGTCAAGGCTCTCCCCAGAGGATCCTCAGAAGTGCATGTGAAGGGTTAGATGAATACTCTCCAGTCATACAGGACGTGTATTCCATTTAATGTAACTTAGGCATTTAAAGAAACAATGGCTCCCAAAGGCTGGGGAACTTGGAATAGTCAAGAAATCTCAAAGGAGTCAACTAAAGATTAAGTGGAGCCAATAATGAAGTTTAGCAAAATAGAGAAATACAAGATAAACTGTTTTCTTTAGCTTTCTTATAAACTAGCAATAAACTGTTTTAAAAGAATGAAATAAAAATAGCATTTAAAACGTAACCAAAAAATGTGACATTGCAGGATAACCTTAAAAAGATATAAGATTTCAATGACAAAAGACCGTAAAACTGTACTGAAAGAAAAATTTGAACAAATGGAGAGGCAGAGCATGTTGTTGGATGCAAAAGCTAAATCTGGAGTTCTTTCAAAATGAAATGACAGGTTTAACACAATCAGATTGAAATCCCATTGGCAATTTTTATAATGGCAAAAATTAAGTCTTAATTTAAAGAAAAAGGACACAAGGGAACTACTAATAAATTAAAGAGCAATACAAACAAGTGATCAGGATGGGTGCTGGCCAAATCAAAGAATAAAAGCTTTTATAAATTAATTGTATTCAGACAACTTTTGGTACACTAACAGACAAATCAATAAAATGGGGGTGGGGGAAAAGCTGAAATAAATCCAATATATAAGACCTTAAAATTTAAACAAACAAATGGTAAATGAAAAAACAGTCAACAAACTATATTGGGACAAAAAGTTATCTGTCAATAAATAAACAATTTCCATTTGTATATCTCAAGATAAATTCTAGATAGGTTAAAAGTTAAGTGTAAAAAAATAAAGTTAGCCATAAAAATGAAGTACTGATACCTATTATATTAAAAACTCTGAAAATATTACGCTAAGTAAAAGAGCTCAATCACAAAAGACAACATATTATATGATTCCATTTATATGAAGTGCCCAGAAAATGCAAATCTAGAGAGACAGGAAGTAGGTTAGGAGTCGCTGGTGGGGAGGATGGGGGTGATAGCTAAAGGATACAAGGTTTCTTTTCAAGGTGATAAAACAAGTTATAAATTGACTGTGGTGATGGCTGCTCAACTCCATGAATATACCAAAAAACACTAAACTGTACACCTTCAGTGGGTAGACTGATATGTGAACTCCATCTCGATAAAACTGTCAACAAAAGATGATAATATAGATGACTATTCTGAAAAGGAAGGGATTTTAACTTAAAAACATTAAGAATCCATTAAAAATCATAGATTTAACTACATTAAAATTAGAACTACTTTAACCTGAGTCCAAAGGCAAAAAGTATATAACATTCGCAATTAACAAGGCAGACCAAAGGCTAACTTCACTATTTTTTTTTTAATGCAAAGATGACTCTGTTGCAACCAATCATCAGTAAAATCTCCACTCAGAGCCTGAGAACTTTCTGCCGCAGCCAAACACATATTTTTCCTTCTCATGGAAACAGATGGGAGCAGAAGGTATGTACTACCCGGGAAGATAGTTTAGACATGGGCATATTCAAACTAAAGAAGATGAGTACCTGTCAAAATCATGCTTGAAGCTTCTTTTGAGGAAGAAAGGAAGGAAGGAAGGAAGGGAGAGGGAGGGAGGGAAAGAGAAACAAAAAGAGAAAGAGAAACAAGGAAAGAGAAACGGAAGGAAGGAAGGAAGGAGAAGAAAAAAAGGAAGGAAGTTAAAAGAAAAGAAAAGAAATAATGGAATCACAATGGAATTTTGCCTCTGTTTTAGAGACATAATTTTTTTCCTAGGCCTCAATATCTGCTGGGAAAGATAATGCAAAGAGAGCTGAGCAGCCCCATCCATTTGCTAGGGTTGCCAGTCCTGATCACTGCACAAGCAATTCAGGCTCAGAGGCCCATGGCCCCACTTCAGGAAGACACTGGAAGTAGCCCGGGTGACCCTTGGATATGGTTTCAGCTTTATCTTTTTTAAGGAGCAGGCGAAGCCCTTGCCAGCAGAAGCCTCCTGCCACCAGAGCCTGCTAAGTACTCCCTCCTCAGCCTACAGCCTGACAATGTGACCCCGATCCTGACCAAAAGGACCAGAGGGAAAGCAAGTCCAACGGGGAAGTGGTGCTTCCAGGAAAAATGCTCCCCTCTGATAAAAAGATGCATAGCTGTATCAATTGGGGACCCGGAAAGAAACACATAGATTCAACTTGGGAAGTTTGGAAAAAGTCCAATAAAAGGCATAAAAAAGTATGGGCATAGTATGGAAAACCATTACAGAGAGGGCAGAATCCCAGAGCTGGTAACAAGTTTTTAATCAACACTAGGCAACCATTTTTAAAAAGGCCAAGAAAATCACAGAAAAGCCAATCCAGAGTCCTACGTTGTTAAGCCTCTGAACTGCCAGCCTTCATACTGGTTATTTTCAAAAAAAAAAAAAAAAAAAAGTAAATCCCATTACCTAAAGCCAAAAGCACAATCAATTAAAAAATCCTTTAACCAGTCTGTCTTGTAATCCACTAAAATTATCTCCTTATTGAAATTAGAAGAATTGTAGTTCAAGTCAGAAGAGATAGCCTCAAATCTGGAACATGTTAAGAGAGACTCCAATAGACCAAAGGACACAAAACTCAAATGGAAACCGAAAATTGGTCATATCCAACCTCCCCAATATATTTTTTTACATGCGTATTTGTACCTCTCAAATATTCAAATACATAGCACTAGAGATAATAAGGTTTCAGTCTCACAAGCTCCTAGTGGGTGTTCAAATCGGTAGGATGTTTCTGGAAATAATGTGGGCAACATGCACTGAATTACTTGAAACTAGGACATTACTCCTTTCTTCCTCTAAGGTTTACTGTTTCAGAAATAGTTGTGAGCTCATTGTTAGCCAAATAATTAAATTTTTAATATGGTTTAATTAGTCCATTCAACTACTCTTATTTCTAACTACTTTAAAAATTAAGCCCTAGCATTCTATCTTTTTAAAGGCATAATGGAATGAAGTGATGCACTGCATCCTTTCAGCCTGTTAGTCACATCTTTAATAAGCACAGCTGTTTGTACTGAGACATAACGAAGGCATTATCACCCACTGAGGGGCATCATATGCTGAATCCTGGAAATGTACAGTGAAGAAATAATCAGCCTCTGAAGTGCTAACCTTGTAAACCCAGCCTACAAAATGGCTCAAACCTTACATAAAATACCCTTACAGCAAATTACTCCTGTCTAATGCTAAATCATTTCCAATGGGACATCAAACCTTCATTAATAAATTTTCATTGGCTTAAAAATTAATAATGTTGATTTCCATATATTTTAAAAGGTTTCATATTTATAGTAATTATTTTAAGAAAGAAAAAAATAATTCTAATTTCCTCTACATGGCCCAATACTTATTAAAAAGGATGCTCGGGGAATGAGGTTTTCTGGGTAACAGAATATTTCAGTTTGTTTTAATTCAAAATATTATTGGATGTAACCGTCAGGCTCTGATCTGCAAAAGATGTAAGATATTGGAATGAGCACTAACTTCAGGACAGACTATAGAAGAAAGTTTTAAATGAATCGATTGTATCAACTTTCTTTTTAATCCCATATTTAGGATAATAAATACAGGACACAGCTCAAAATTTAGGTTACAGATTCAGTCATTTTGACTGGATATTAGAGTAAAGAAAGATACTATATACATGACACTGGAAGACTGAATAGATGGAAAGGCACAACGGGAATAGAAAGTGATTCTCCAGCAATAAAGGCAAAAGCTATCCAGTGAAGAGGAAAACAGACCAGATGGTGATGGTCGATCCTTTCCCTTCTGCTATCCATCCCCACTCCCACCGACCTCACCACTGACAGTGTTCCTATCTGTGGGTCCCTGCTTTAGCTGAGTTGCTGCCTTCAGCTTTGTCAGCAAGTGCTGCCACCTTTGGATACTGATTTAAGGCCTCTATTGCTTCAAAGTGAAGCTCTCTGAATCTGGGGGCCTGCACACTCCCCGGCCTCTCCAGTCAGATGGAGCCTAAGAATTCTGCTCAAAACAATTCCCAGAGGGCTACTGGTGACAGCGCCAGTTCCATCGTGGCCAGATCCAGCTTCAGCCAGGATGTAAGGCAGATGCACGAACTCCTCATGTCTGAGAGACCACGTCCAATAGAGCTGCCCTCCCGGACCCTGTGCAAACCACCATTCCAGCTTCCCATCAATTTAAGTATCTATAAGGTAAAGAACTGCCACTGAAGAACTGCATGGAATGGGTTGGGCACGGTGGCTCACGCCTGAAATCCCAGCACTTTGGGAGGCCGAGGCGGGCAGATCACAGGGTCAGGAGATCGACACCATCCCGGCTAACACAGTAAAACCCTGTCTCTACTAAAAATACAAAAAAAAATTAGCCAGGCATGGTGGCAGGGGCCTGTAGTCCCAGCTACTTGGGAGGCTGAGGCAGGAGAATGGCGTCAACCTGGGAGGCGGAGCTTGCAGTGAGCCGAAATCATGCCACTGCACTCCAGCCTGGGAGACAGAAAGATTTTCATATCAGGCAGCAATAATTTAAAGTAACTGTATTAAATAATTTCCAAATTTTCCTTTGAGCTGCAAAGTAATATTTACAGCTATCACAAGACCTCCAAAGTGCAGAGTTGGGAAGTTTCTACATTTTCAAATATACATTATCTGTAAAAGAGATTGTATATAAAACAGGTTTGTTAATTGTCCATTTTATTAAAATGCTAAGGCACTAGTATACAATCATATTAAAGAGAAAAAAGCCTTACATTTATGCAGAAGTCATAACATACACTTTCTATCTTCCTCACTTAAAAAGAAATGTAAAAGTTACCCACCAAGTTTTTAATAACAATAAAAGAAAAAGGAAGTAAAGTATCTCAATTTTCTATCACTGTAGGAGGACTGACAGAAATTTTAAGGCACCAAACCCCAAAAGTTCCTCTCTAGGGGCCATGGCACAGAGAAGACTTAGAAATTCAAGTTGTTTCAGCAGAAATTCACAGATCATTAAATTAATTCAAAACCCAACAAGGCGGCAAACTAACAATTTACCCTTACAGTATCTGGTTACAGCCAGCAATTTTTCACAAAAATACGCTTATCTCCTCCCTTCCCATCATTTAAAAGGGCAAGCAGTTAAGGTCACAGTTTAAAAGTGCAATGCAAAGCTGATGCCAGCCAGAGTCAGCCTTAAATATACAGAGCTTTAAAGGAAGTGCGGTGAGGCAAGAGAGAAGGAATCTGGAAACAGATCGGCAGACCTACCCACCTGGCCCAGGTCACTTGGCTCTCAGGCTCCTCTATGTATCTGACTCAGCTAATGGAGGTTTTTAACTTTATCCAAACTCAGACCCCACCCAGATCACCTTCAATTAGAATTTATAGTTGGTCACTTTCATAGCTCCCACAGGTGACTGTAATGTGCATTCAGGGGTCAGAACCACTGAATTGAAGAGACCGAGAGAGAATGGGAGAGTCAGGATTATGGATAGACAGCCTGTGTATGAAAAACCTCAAATGCGAAGGCTGCCTTGACACAAGACACTGCTCTGTGCCCCAACTTTGCAGTGGACAGCTATCTCAAAGATCTGGTCCAGGCTTCCCATCCACCTGCTCAACTATTACATGCAGGGATAGCTCAGGGGCTCTTTTTTCTCCCCGCACTCTACCTCTATCATTATTTGGTTTGCAGAACAAACTGTCTTTCCTTTTCAAAATGGAAACTTGGTTGGATAACTGGTCTCTGAGCCAGCCAGGCAGGAGACAGCCTCCACACTAACAAGGGAGTTTCCAAGCCCATTAACTCTCCCCTTTAGCCCCCTGCTATGAGCTCCCAGAGGTAAATACACACTTAAGAGTAAATTATTGGTTTACAGGCCTCTAAAGCAGTTGGTTCTTAAATTAATTTAATGAGCTGTGAACTTATGCTAAAGTAATTTCTGATCCCAGGAGAGGAATTGTTGGACGTGGAAAAAAAAAATTCTATGGCTTAGCAGAAGATTCGGAGAACAACAACAGGAGAAAAAACAAACACATGATCATTTAAAAAGCAAATCTCTAATATTTTCAAACACAAGAAAATTATTTCATTCAAAATTTTTACTCCCCTGTATTAGATCTGTATTGGCATTTTAAATATTTTTTAATGTATTAAGGATTTTATAATCCTGACACTGTACTAATAAGCATTTAATATTGTTAAATAAAAATCATAGGAGGCCACTGTTTTGGACTAAGCTCCTACACTAGGCCCCAACAGACCAGACTGAAAAATCAAAACAGACTCATCCATGCTAAAGTTCCAGGTCACCAAACAAAACAGAGTTGTTATCTGACCTTTTCAGAAATCAGGAGAGACAGAAAACGGCCAATTTCTCAAATAGGCCAGTTTCAATCTTACACTGGCATAATAACGAAGTTCCTCTGTTTTAATCCTTAACCCAAAGTAACCTGATGTTAACCAGTTATTTTTTCTATTATACTATCTCTCTGTCCCACTTTACAAGGAAAGTAACTTTGAAATGATCAACATTTTTGTTGTTTCTGCCTTCTTTAGCTTTTTTTCCCGTCTATAAAGGCAACTTCCTCTGCCCCACTCATTGGAACACTTACTCTACTTATGGAAGGGTTGCCCAATTCCAGAATTGCAAATAAAGCTAATTGAGACCTTTAAACTAAATTTGTTATAATTTCATCTTTTGACAATGTAATATACGTTATCTCACTTGATCCTCACAACAATGCTAGAATTAGGAGATGTTACCACCACCTCTTTACAAAAGAGGAGCCTGAAGGAAACTCGGAGGCTACACAACCAGGGCAGTTTCACACAATAAGGAGGGATGGCATGAAGGTATAAAGGCGGTTCTACCAATGCCAAACTTCCAAAAACTAAGCTCTAGTAAATAAATTCTGCATGTCTCAATGCCTACACAATATGAAAAATGTTAGAAAACCATTTCACACTTTAGGAAAAAGAAGTAAGATGGCTGAATAGGAAGAGCTCTGGTCTGCAGCTCCCAGCGTGATCGACACAGAAGACGGGTGACTTCTGCATTTCCAACTGAGGTACCTGGTTCATCTATTTGGGACTGGTTGGACAGTGGGTGCAGCCCACAGAGGGTGAGCCAAAGCAGGGCGGGGCATCGCCTCACCTGGGAAGCACAAGGGGTCAGGGGATTTCCCTTTCCTAGCCAAGGGAAGCCGTGACAGACTGTACCTGGAAAATGAGGACACTGCCACCCAAATACTGTGCTTTTCCAACAGTCTTAGCAAACAGAACACCAGGAGATTACATCCCGCACCTGGCTCAGTGGGTCTCACACCCACGGAGCCTTGCTCACTGCCAGCACAGCAGTCCGAGATCGAGCTGTGAGCTGACAGCCTGGGTGGGGGAGTGGCATCTGCCACTGCTAAAGCTTGAGTAGGTAAATAAAGCGGCCCAGAAACTCAAACTGGGTGGAGCTCACTGCAGCTCAACGAGGCCAGCGTGACTCTGTAGACTCCACCTCTGGGGGCACGGCATAGCTGAACAAAAGGCAGCAGTAACTTCTGCAGATTTAAACATACCTGTCTGACAGCTCTGAAGAGAGCAGTGGTTCTCCCAGCACAGTGTTTGAGCTCTGAGAACGGACAGACTGCCTCCTCAAGTGGATCCCTGACCCCCATGTAGCCTAACTGGGAGACACCTCCCAGTAGGGGCCAACTGACACCTCATACAGCTGGGTGCCCCTCTGAGACAAAGCTTCCAGAGGAAAGATCAAGCAGCAATATTTGCTGTTCTGCAATATTTGCTGTTCTGCAGCCTCTGCTGGTGATACCCAGGCAAACAGGGTCTGTAGTGGACCTCCAGCAAACTCCAACAGACCTGCAGCTGAGGGACCTGACTGTTAGAAGGAAAAGTAACAAACAGAAAGGAATAGCATCAACATCAACAAAAAGGACATCCACACCAAAGCCCCAGCTGTAGGTCACCATCATCAAAGACCAAAGGTAGATAAAACCACAAAGATGGGGAGAAACCAGAGTAAAAAAGCTGAAAATTCTAAAAACTAGAGCGCCTCTTCTCCTCCAAAGGACTGCAGCTCCTCGCCAGCAACAGAACTAAGCTGGACAGAGAATGACTTTGATGAGTTGACAGAAGTAGGCTTCAGAAGGCTGGTAATAACAAACTTCTCCAAGCTAAAGGAGAAGTTCCTTGCAAACCCATCGCAAGGAAGCTAAAAACTTTGAAAAAAGATGAGATGAATGGCTAACAAGAATAAATAGTGCAGAGAAGACCTTAAATGACCTGATGGAGCTGAAAAGGCCATGGCACAAGAACTACATGACGCATGTACAAGCTTCAGTAGCCAATTCGATCAAGTGGAAGAAAGGGTATCAATGATGGAAGATCAAATTAATGAAATGAAACAAGAACAGAAGTGTAGAGAAAAAAGAGTAAAAAGAAACGAACAAAGCCTCCAAGAAATATGGGACTATGTGAAAAGACCAAATCTACGTCTGATTGGTATACCTGAAAGCGATGGGGAGAATGGAACCAAGGGGGAAAACACTCTTCAGGATATTATCCAGGAGAACTTTCCCAACCTAGCAAGGCAGGTCAACATTCAAATTCAGGAAATACAGAGAACACCATAGATACTCCTCAAGAAGAGCAACCCCAAGACACATAATTGTCAGATTCACCAAGGTTGAAATGAAGGAAAAAATGTTAAGGGCAGTCAGAGAGAAAGGTCGGGTTACCCACAAAGGCCCATCAGACTAACAGCAGATCTCTCGGCAGAAACTCCACAAGCGAGAAGAGAGTGGGGGCCAGTATTCAACATTCTTAAAGAAAAGAATTTTCAACCCAGAATTTCATATACAGCCAAACTAAACTTCATAAGTGATAGAGAAATAAATCGTTTACAGACAAGCAAATGCTGAGAGATTTTGTCAGCACCAGTCCTGGCTTACAAGAGCTCCTGAAGGAAGCACTAAACATGGAAAGGAACAACTGGTACCAGCCACTGCAAAAACATGCCAAACTGTAAAGACCACTGATGCTAGGAAGAAACTGCATCGACTAATGGGAAAACTAACCAGCTAACATCATAATGACAGAATCAAATTCACACATAACAATATTAACCTTAAATGTAAATGAGCAAAATGCCCCAATTAAAAGACACAGACAGGCAAATTGGATAAAGAGTCAAGACCCATCAGTGTGCTGTATTCAGGAGACACATCTCACATGCAGAGACACACATAGGCTCAAAATAAAGGGATGGAGGAAGATCTACCAAGCAAATGGAAAGCAAAAAAAAAAAAAAAAAAAAAAAGCAGGGGTTGCAATCCTAGTCTCTAATAAAACAGACTTTAAACCAACAAAGATCAAAAGAAACACAGAAGGCCATTACATAATGGTAAAGGGATCAATTCAACAAGAAGAGCTAACTATCCTAAATATATATGCACTCAATACAGGAGCACCCAGATTCATAAAGCAAGTCCTTAGAGACCTATAAAGAGACTTAGACTCTCACACAATAATAATGGGAGACTTTAACACCCCACTGTCAATATTAGACAGATCAATGAGACAGAAGGTTAAAAAGGATATCCAAGAATTGAACTCACCTCTGCACCAAGTGGACCTAATAGACATCTACAGAACTCTCCACCCCAAATCAACAGAATATAGTTTCTTCTCAGCACCACATCACACTTATTCCAAAATTGACGACATAATTGGAAGTAAAGCACTCCTCAGCAAATGTAAAAGTACAGAAATCACAACAAACTGTCTCTCAGACAGCAGTGCAATCAAATTAGTATTCAGGACTAAGAAACTCACTCAAAACTGCTCAACTACATGGAAACTGAACAACCTGCTCCTGAATCACTACTGGGTAAATAACAAAATGAAGGCAGAAATAAAGATGTTCCTTGAAACCAATGAGAACAAAGACACAACGTACCACAATCTCTGGGACACATTTAAAGCAGTGTGTAGAGGCAATGTTATAGCACTAAATGCCCACAAGAGAAAGCAGGAAAGATCTAAAATCGACACCCTAACATCACAATTAAAAGAACTAGAGAAGCAAGAGCAAACACATTCAAAAGCTAGCAGAAAGCAAGAAATAACTAAGATCAGAGCAGAACTGAAGGAGATAGAGACACAAAAAAACCATCAAAAAATTAATGAATCCAGGAGCTGGTTTTTTGAAAAGATCAACAAAATTGATAGACCGCTAGCAAGACTAATAAAGAAGAAAAGAGAGAAGAATCAAACAGACGCGATAAAAAATGATAAAGGGGATACCACCACCGATCCCATAGAAATACAAACTACCATCAAAGAATACTATAGACACCTCTACGCAAATAAACTAGAAAATCTAGAAGAAATGAATAAATCCCTGGACACATACACCTTCCCAAGATGAAACCAGGAAGAAGTTGAATCCCTGAATAGACCAATAACAGGCTCTGAAATTGAAGCAATAATTAATAACCTATCAACCAAAAGAGTCCAGAACCAAACGGATTCACAGGTGAATTTTACCAGAGGTACAAGGAGGAGCTGGTACCATTCCTTCTGAAACTATTCCAATCAATAGAAAAAGAGGGATTCCTCCCTAACTCATTTTATGAGGCCAGCATCATCCTGATACCAAAGCCTGGCAGAGACACAACAAAAAAAGAGAATTTTAGACCAATATCCCTGATGAACATCGATGCAAAAATCCTCAATGAAATACTGGCAAACTGAATCCAGCAGCACATCAAAAGGCTTATCCACCAAGATCAAGTTGGCTTCATTCCTGGATGCAAGGCTGGTTCAACATACGCAAATCAATAAATGTAATCCATCACATAAACAAAACCAAAGACAAAAATCACATGATTATCTCAACAGATGCAGAAAAGGCCTTTGACAAAATTCAACAGCCCTTCATGCCAAAAACTCTCAATAAACTAGGTATTGATAGGATGTAACTCAAAATAATAAGAGCTATTTATGACAAACCCACAGCCAATATCATACTGAATGGGCAAAAACTGGAAGCATTCCCTTTGAAAACTGCCACAAGACAGGGATGCCCTCTCTCACCACTCCTATTCAACATAGTGTTGAAAGTTCTGGCCAGTGCAATCAGGCAGGAGAGAGAAATAAAAGGTATTCAATCAGGAAAAGAGGAAGTCAAATTGTGCCAGTTTGCAGATGACATGATTGTATATTTAGAAAACACCATAATCTCGGCCCAAAATCTCCTCAAGCTGACAAGCAACTTCAGCAAAGTCTCAGGATACAAAATCAATGTGCAAAAATCAAAACCATTCCTATACACCAATAACAAACAAACAGAGAGCCAAATCATGAGTGCACTCCCATTCACAATTGCTTCAAAGAGAATAAAATACCTAGGAATCCAACTTGCAAGGGATGTGAAGGACCTCTTCAAGGAGAACTACAAACCACTGCTCAATGAAATAAAAGAGGACACAAACAAATGGAAGAACATTCCATGCTCATGGATAGGAAGAATCAATATTGTGAAAATGGCCATACTGTCCAAGGTAATTTGTAGATTCAATGCCATCCCCATCAAGCTACCAATGACTTTCTTCACAGAATTGGAAAAAACTACTTTAAAGTTCATATGGAACCAAAAAAGAGCCCACATTGCCAAGACAATCCTAAGCCAAAAGAACAAAGCTGGAGGCATCATGCTAGCTACCTGACTTCAAACTATACTACAAGGCTACAGTAACCAAAACAGCATGGTGCTGGTACCAAAACAGAGATATAGACCAATGGAACAGAACAGAGCCCTCAGAAATAACACCACACATCGACAACCATCTGATCTTTGACAAACCTGACAAAAACAAGAAATGGGGAAAGGATTCCCTATTTAATAAATGGTGCTGGGAAAACTGGCTAGCCATATGTAGAAAGTTGAAACTGGATCCCTTCCTTACACCTTATACAAAAATTAATTCAAGATGGGTTAAAGACTTAAATGTTAGCCCTAAAACCATACGAACCCTAGAAGAAAACCTAGGCAATACCATTCAGGACATAGGCATGGGCAAGGATTTCATGTCTAAAACACCAAAAGCAATGGCAACAAAAGCCAAAATTGACAAATGGGATCTAATGAAACTAAAGAGCTTCTGCACAGCAAAAGAAACTACCATCAGAGTGAACAGGCAACCTACAGAATGGGAGAAAATTTTTGCAATCTACTCATCTGACAAAGGACTAATATCCAGAATCTACAAAGAACTTAAAACAAATTTAGAAGAAAAAACAAACAACCCCATCAACAAGTGGGCGAAGGATATGAACAGACGCTTCTCAAAAGAAGACATTTATGCAGCCAACAGACACATGAAAAAATGCTCATCATCACTGGTCATCGGAGAAATGCAAATCAAAACCACAATGAGATACCATCTCATGCCAGTTAGAATGGCGATCATTAAAAAGTCAGGAAACAACAGGTGCTGGAGAGGATGTGGAGAAATAGGAACACTTTTACACTGTTGGTGGGGAATGTAAACTAGTTCAACCATTGTGGAAGACTGTGGCAATTCCTCAAGGAATCTAGAACTAGAAATACCATTTGACCCAGTGATCCCATTACTGGGTATATACCCAAAGATTATAAATCATGCTACTATGAAGACTTATGCACACTTATGTTTATTGTGGCACTATTCACAATAGCAAAGACTTGGAACCAACCCAAATGTCCATCAATGATAGACTGGATTAAGAAAATGTGGCACATTATACACCATGCAATACTATGCAGCCATAAAAAAGGATGATGAGTTCATGTCCTTTGTAGGGACATAAATGAAGCTGGAAACCATCATTCTGAGCAAAATGTCACAAGGACAGAAAACCAAACACCACATGTTCTCACTCATAGGTGGGAACTGAACAATGAGAACACTTGGACACAGGGCAGGGAACATCACCCACTGGGGCCTGTCGTGGGGTTGGGGGAAGGGGGAGGGATAGCATTAGGAGAGATACCTAATGTAAATGACGAGTTAATGGGTGCGGCAAACCAACATGGCACATGTATACATATGTAACAAACCTGCACGTTGTGCACATGTACCCAAGAACTTAAAGTATAATTAAAAAAAATTAAAAAAAAGAAAAAGAAAACCATTTCACTTTTATACAAAGGCTTTATCCATATTGCTTCAATATGCAGTTTCTTCCAGATACATACTCAGTTTTAGACTATGTCATATTGAGTTTTTACTTCAGTTTTAAATGAATTCACACATCTATCAGACACTGGAGGACAACTACATGGCACTACTGCTGTATAACAAATTACCCCAAAACGTAATGGTTTAAAACAACAAACATCTATCTCACACAGCATCCAAGAGTCAGAACTCCAGGAGTATCTACATCAAGCTGAGTGGTTCTGGCCCATGGTCTCTTGCGACGTTATGGTCAGAGTATCAGCCAGGGCTGCAGTCCATTGAAGGGTCAAATTCCAAAGTAGTCCAGGTACCTGGCTATTGGCAAGAACTCTCAGTTCCTCACCACACAGGCCTCACCACAGGTCAGCTGGCTTTCCACTTAGCAAGGTGATGAGAGAGAGAGAGAAACAGACAGACAGAGACAGACAGAGACACCACCGTGCCTTGTATAATCTAGTCTCCAAAGCAATGAGTCCAGCCTATACTCAAGGGCAGGTGAATTAGCTTTTACCTTCTGAAAGGAGAAGTATCAAGAAATGTATGGGTATACTTTTAAGCTGCAATGACCAACATGGTGCAAGTAATATGATTTTTCTTTTCTTTGTAAAATATTATTTTATTTTAAATTCAGTAGGTACATGTGCATGTTTGATTCATGGGTATATTGCATACCCATGGGAACTGGGCTTCTAGTCTGCCCATTATCCAAATACTGAACATTATACCCAATAGGTAATTTATCAGGCCTCACCCCCTTTCTACGCTTCCCTCTTTTGGAGTCCCCAGTGTCTGTTATTTCCATCTTTATGACTATATGTACCCATTGTTTAGCTCCCACTTATAAGTGAGAAAATGAAGTATTTGGTTTTCTGTTTCTGAGTTAGTTCACTTAAGATAATGACCTCCAGCTGATTTTTCATAAGAATTCCCAAGGAAATAACTTTGAGAGTTTCTCTGAAAAGTAAAAATACTAATTTTATAAAGAATTCATAGACTTGATCTAAGAACAGAAACAATGATTTTTACCATAGCAAAATAGCCTTCATATTATACATGTATTACGTCTTAAAAATGTACACAGTATCTACTAAGCACCAAACTGTGCATTCTTAGTGCTGTGTTTGATGCTGTGCAGAATATCAAGTGCATGTAAAGTGAGTGGCAGATGCAATATGAATATGAATTTAGAGAAGAGACCACTACTATAATAAAGTAGTAATTCTGAAAAAAAATTTACAAAAAATGAACATAACCCATACACATGAAAAAATACTCAACCTCAACAGTAATCAAAAAATATAAATAAAACTTTACATTTTCTTTGTCAATTTGACCAGGATATTTTATATGCTAATATTCTACACTCATGGAAATCTAGGATTATAAAATAAAATAGCAATTAGAGTACATTCTCAGTTAATCTTCATAAAAGCCCTATATGATTATTATTCCCCATTTTTTATATGAAGAAATGAAGAGAGTCAGGGACTAAGTAAATCCTCAATCACACGGCTAGTAAGTGGCAGGTCAAGGATTTGACCGCAGTTTTCCTAGCTCAAAAAGCTAACCATTAACCATTATTCTGTAGTGCAGCCTGCCTAGAAAACATGTGGCCCCACATATCAAAAGCTTTAAAAATCTCCATGCATTTAGATCCAGAAATCTCCCTTCTATGGTACTCAGGCTGGAGACAATTGTAAGCTAAGCCACTAAGCTAAGAAATGCACACAGCATGTTCATACAATGATGCATAAAACAAGCTGGCGAAAGCACAGCATGTAGACAGGAAGAGGATCACACAGCTTTCGAGATGGAAGGTAGTCTTAGAAATTACTTAGTCCAACCCATTCAATGTGTAACAATAATCATTCAATATATTAAAAAAAAATCTTTTTCCAATGTCAGAAAACACAAGGGAAATTTTTTCTTTTTTAGGATTTTCCTTTCTTTTCTCTAGGCCTACCAAATCTCTATCCTGGCAGTTAGTAAGAGTGAAGCGCTATCAGCCTCCATAATAAACAGCCCCATAATAAATGCTTCTTTAGAATGTGGGGTTTTTTTTGTTTGTTTCTTTGTCTTTGAGACAGTCTCACTCTGTCGTCCAGGCTGGAGTGCAGTGGCACCATCTCATCTCACTGCAACCTCTGCCTCCCGGGTTCAAGTGATTCTCATGCCTCAGCCTTCCGAGTAGCTGGGACTACAGGCATGCACCACCACACCCGCTAATTTTTTGTATTTTTAGTAGAGACGGTGTTTTGTCTTGTTGCCCAGGCTGGTCTCAAACTCCTGAGCTCAAGTGATCCTCCTGCCTCGGCCTCCCAAAGTGCTGGGATTACAGGCTTCTGAACCACCATGCCCAGCCTAGAAGGTGGGTTTTCTTTCTTTCACCTGAGGTCCTCCCAGCCTGTCTTTGCTATAGACTCAGGTATCAGATCAGCTAGCCCCTGTGAGTATTAACAAAATAAGACTGCCAATCTTATTCGAGTTCATAGGCTCTGAGTGAAATGTATATGGGCTTCAAGGTGACACGTCCAGGGCCTTAAAGACCTTTCTTTCACTGCCAGGATGTTTTCTGGAAGAAGCTAAGGGGAGTCTATCCTAGAAAAAAAAAAAAAAAAGTATGACATTAACATCTTAATTAGAGCCAGAGAAATGAGAAGTTAGCCCCATGTTAAAAAGAGGTATTCATCCAGTAAATGTACACTGTGAGACCAACGTGCGGAGCGGTGAATCCATCACCCTCGCCAAAATCAAACCATCTAAACCACCCACTTTCCACCAATATTCCTCTCAATACACCCTCCCCTGCTATGATCATCACATATCACCAGCTCTTTCCTTTCTCCTCCTTATACCCCAGCCACACTGGGTTCTTTCTGTTTCTGCCTCAGGACCTTTGCTCAGGTTGCTCCCTCTGCCTTGAACTTCTGCCTCCTGTCACCCCCATTCAGCCCAAACATCCCATTCTCAGGAAGGCTCCCCTCCCATTCAATCAGATTCCCCTGTTGTATACTCTCATGTCACCACAACCATATCCTCCCAGACCTGTGTAATCACCATCCAGGTTCCCCACTAAGTTGTAAGCTCCATACTGGGAGGCAGTGTGTCAGCCGGCTTCATGGCTGCATCCAGGGCCCAGCCCACTGCCTGGCACCTGGAAGGTTCTCGAAATATATCTGTTTAAAGAATGACTATCCAAAACATCCTCACTATCTTTTTTTCTCTACTCCACTTCCATGCTGAATTCTAGCTCTCATCACCACACATAACACTTTCTCAGACTCCAGATTCCCTCCCTAAAGCTCTAATCCAGCCTGCAGGTGGTAACTGCCAGCTTAATTTCCTTAAATACCACCAGGGTTCTTCTCTGCTTTGACCTATCACACATCACGTCTTAAATCCCCTTAATGGCTTCAGGCCCTTCACCTACCTAGTAACACCAACTGTATGCAAGCTGATACTCCTCTTTGCCTCTGGGCTCAGCCAGCAGCCCACTGACCTAGGAGCTCCAGTGGGCATCCCTTCACCCCCTTTGACTAATCCTTCAAAGTCAAATTCAAGACACTTCTCCATGGGCCCATCATGTCTCCCACTGGTTCAATATCACACTACCAGCCCTAGATTACATTTATGTGTTAGGCCGTTCTTGCATTGCTATAAAGAAATACCTGAGACTGGGTGTATTAGTCCATTTTCGCACTGCTATAAAGAAGCACTTGAGACTGGGTAACTTATGAAAGAAAGAGGTTTAATTAACTCACAGTTGCACATGGCTGGGGAGACCTCAGGAAACTTATGATCATGGCCGAAGGTGAAGGAGAAGCAGGCACCTTCTATACAAGGTGGTAGGAAAGAGAGAGGGGGGTGAAGAGAACTACCAAACACTTTTAAATAATCAGATCTCATGAGAACTCACTCACTATCACGAGAACAGCATGCGGAAAACCGCCCCCATGATTCAATCACCTCCTACCAGGTCCCTCCCAAAACACGTGGGGATTACAATTCGAGGTGAGATTTGCGTAGGGACACAGAGCCAAACCATATCACTGGGTCATTTATAAAGAAAAGAGGTTGCATTAGCTTACAGTTCTACAGGCAGTACAAGCACGGCACAGCATCTGCTTGGCTTCTGGGGAGGCCTCAGAGAGCTTTTACTGATGGTGGAAGGCAAAGGGGGAGCAGGCAGGTCACACAGTGGGAACAGGAGCAAGAAAGAAAGTGTCAGAGGGAGGTGCCACACACTTTTAAATGACCAGGTCTTGCAAGAACTCATTCACTAATGCAAAGACAGGACCAAGCCATGAGGGATCCAACCCCATGACCCAAACACCTCCCACCAGACCCCACCTCCAGTGTTGGGGAGTACAATTCAACATGAGATTTGTGTAAGGACAAACATCCAAACTCTATCAATTTTGTTGTTCTAATTTAATGTATGTTCATTTTGTATCCCCCACAACAGCCTGACTAGTGTCAAGAAGGCAAAGGTATTAACATTTACTGAACACCACTGGGTGTTAGACATCACATGGAGACACAAAATATCTTGAGTGCAAGTACTGTTAAAACTTCCATGGAACTGACTGGCTCCCTATTCCTTCTGGATAACTTTTAACTATATATGGTCTTACTCTATGAAGTAGCCCTAATGATGAAAATAAGAAGTTCCAAAAAATGAGTCATTAAAAAATCAAAATACTCATGAGTCCAAGAAAGAACAAACAGCTTCACTCTTCTTTCCCTACCAAACAAGCATCCACATTGTTGAAAATAGGAAATTTCACTGATTTTCCTGGCCCCTATCTGTCCCCTATCTATGAGAGGAAATGAAAAAGTCACAGTAACCTGCAGAACCTGAGTAATAAAAAGTTGATTGTGACTCCAGACTAGGTAAGCCACAGACACTACCTCCAGGCTTGAAAACTAGCCACATCCAGCAGACCTTCAGAGCTAGAAAAAAGCTTGGCCATTTATCCTAATCATCAAACACTTGCATCAAACATGCATTTAACGTATTCACTACCCAGGATCTGAGGAATTCTTTCTTCATCCTTCACTCAGTGAAGAACTAAAAGTTCCTACATAAGAGGAAACTAATTCTCAATGTTCTCTCATTAATTTTAAAGAATTTTTAAAAATGTTACCCATGTGAACTGATACACCAAAAATACCAGAATCATGTGACAGCAAATATGTAAATATGTATATGGATTGCATATGCTTTATTCTCCACCCAAATGTCTTAATTTAAGAAGAAGTATAAAATCTACTGGTAAGTATTATAAAAAATTATAGCTATTTCCAAGTAATTGTATCTTTATTGACTCTCACCCTTTTTCCTCCTACAACAGAAATCGAACACAATGTAACCCAAGAAATGCAGCTGAATTGACCCAACTAGTGTCAATGACTCTTCCATGGAGACGAGATTAGACAAAAAGAGAGCCAATGACAGGTGCATGCAGTAAAACCTCAAGATACACTAGTCAGCCTAAGCAATTTTTACTGATCATTTTTGGTTGCGTATGATTAGAAAACTAGCAACTTGGCATGTCTAATAAGCCATGAATTCCACTTAGAGCAGCAAAATGTATTAAACACAGGGGGAAATGGTGCATTTTGTTGTCACTCTGTAACCCCAACACGTTAGGTGGAAAGCAATAAATTAGCCACTTGCAGATGAAGGTAAAAACATACACCAGTGATGTGGTTTGGATTTGCGTCCCCGCCCAAATCTCACCTTGAACTGTAATCCCCAGTGTTGGAGGAGGGGCCTGGTGGGAGGTAATTGGATCTTGGCGGCAAATTTCTCCCTTGCTGTTCTCATGATAGTGAGTGAGTTCTCACTGGTTGTTTAAAAGTGTGTAGCACCTCCTCCTTTTCCTCCTGGTCTAGCCATGTAGAATGTGTCTGCTTCCCCCTCACCTTCCACCACGATTGTAAGTTTCCTGAGGCCCCCTAGCCATGCTTCCTGTACAGCCTGCAGAACTATGAGCCAATTAAACCTTTTTTTTTTTTTAATCCAGTCAGCAATGCAAGAACAGACTAATACAACTGGTAAAACCAAAACAGAGGAATGCCTGTCTTTCACTTTGTGCTGAAAACCACAGCAGCCTTTGCTAACAACATGACTTTGGTCAACTCACCAGTTACTGCAGCAAGTAAAAAAGCACGGGAGTGCTTGCTTCAGCGGCACATATACTAAAATTGGAATATACAGAGATTAGCATGGACCTTAAAACAAAAAAAAGAAAAAGCGTGGGGAAAAGTACGTGGAAGACTCGGCACTACAGACATTTATCACATAAAATCACCACCCCTCCCCTGGGGAGAAAAAAAATCCTTGCCTCCTTTTCAACTTTTCTATGACACCAGATGGGAAGCATTTCAAAACATGAATCAGTTCACAGCAAAACTTTTCAAAAGCACATTTTTTTGGTAAAGCAAGGCACATCTTCTTGAATACATACCTGTTTTCAGTACCTCAATTTTCATACTTCAAGAAAATGTTGTTTCAATACATAAATATTGCTCATCTTTTGAGAACAATATTTAAAAGGAAGATTAAGCCTTCCTAGAAAGCGGTTAGTCGTATGTTTACTCTTAAACACAACTGACCCAAATATTAATATGGTATTTAAATGTCATGTCACTTATTTTTCTCCCTCTAGCTCACACACACACACACAAAACCCTCAGCATTTTTAAGTTGGAAAAAAAAAACAAAGATTTTTAACCCAAAAACATATGAGGAGCCTCTAGTTTTTTCACCCCCATTCACAAAGAAAATCTGTGCCATAAGGGGATTGATCCACTGTCAACCTGGAGGCTGGTTTCCTTTATAGCTGTTCTCTGGGAATCTGTGTCTGTTTCTATGACACTGTCAAAACCTGCTTTCCCAATGCATGTAATGGATGAAAGGCAGTCTAGGATCAAGCTCTTCTTGGTTCGTTGAACAAAGATTTTTAGGAAATAATGATTTATCAAGGTCCTCATAATCCTCAGCAAAAAAAAAAAAAAAAGGCAAGTCAGAGTCTTACAAAGGCTAAATCATAATTAACTTAATGTCTTCATCACTGAAATTAACAGAAGAACTGTAAGTCTCCTTTTTGACATATAATTTACTAATCACATGTCAAATCTAAGCTTGCCTTTCTTTCTTTAGAGACAGGGTCTCACTCTGTCACCCAGCCTGGAGTGCAGTGGAGCTTACTGCAACCTCTAACTCCTGGATTCAAGTGATGCTCCCACCTCAGCCTACAGAGTAGCTAGGACTACAGGCTCACACCACCATGCTGGCTAATTACTTTTATTTTGTAGAGACGGGGGTCTCACCGTGTTGTCCAACCTGGTCTCAAACTCCTGGGCTTAAATGATCCTCCCACCTCGGCCTCCCAAAGTGCTGGGATCACAGGAGTAAGGTACTGCGCGAGGCCTAAGCTTCATTTTTGAAACACATCTCCATCAAGTGAACAAGGCTAAGTAAATTAAATGTACCTCTTTATGCTTGGGCAGGCAAACTGACCAGTTCATTTTTGACTATTCTACTGGAAATACAAAGGAGTTATTTTCAGCTACGACCTCCAAAAATTTGAAAAGCTGTACATGAAGGTTGACATCAAAAAAGGAGGAAGAAGAAAAAAAGAGAGAAAGCTGGTTGTTGTTTTCAAAGTAAGCTCTGTTCCATGCAATAAATCAGTTTTCTAATCGGCAAATGCAAATGTAAACATTAAGAAGCCTTCTAAGAAAAACTGCCCCTTGCTTCATTGCTTAGAACCTATGTCTAAGGACATTCTGTCATGATTTCACCTCCCATAAGGCACAGCACTATCTAACTATATCATCTCTCATGAGGCATGGCATTATATGACTATATAATAATGGCAGCTAACACACATTTGGCATTTACCATGTTATCATGTGCTAGGCACTATTCTAAGCCCTTACATGTACTATTTAATTCAACTCTCCCAACAATCTGTGATGCAGATAGTGTTATTCTCATTTCACTGATGACAAAACTCAGGCACAGAGTTAACTTGCCAACAGTGAGTAAATGATGGAGCCACAAGATAATGATTTTTAAAAATCTATGGCACCTTAACATTTTGTAAGTTTTTTCAACCATTATCTCCCTTAAGCCTCCCAATACTTGTCATATTAATGGGATAATATTAGCATCAGTTTAATTTTATAAATGGATAAACTATGACTGCAAAACATTAAGTGACTTCTCCAAGCTAGGAAATGAAGGAGCTGGAAGCAGAATCCAGATATTCGGAGTCTATATTCTCTCCTTCTTCCACTACATAGACTTTTTCTTTCTTATTGTAGACACTCAATGAAAAGTATTTTCATCAAGCTGATTATTTCTCAAAGCATAACTCTAGATTTAAGTTCCGGATGGTTAGAAGCAATCTAATTCACCTCTTCACGCCCTGCATCAAGTGCAGGGCCTGGTGCACAGGAGGGACTGCTAGTTCAAGCATTCCCCAGATCCCCCGTCTTCCTCCACAAAACTCCCTTCTCTATGTTCATGCTACCTCTCCATGCTGCATGGCCTTCAGAGACACAGTCCATCCTCACAAGGCCTCACTTTCAACTTTCAGGAGGCCAAATCTCTTCTCCAAATCTAAAATCCAAAAACTCATCTGAGGACTATGCAGTCTGTCTTCCAGATGGCTTCAAGGGAGCCCTTGTTTTCATACCCTTGTTTAGTCCTCTCTCACACGAGTGGTGTGACCAAAAAACTACAGCAGAAATGACAGGATGTTATAAAAGACTGTGGCTTCCATCTTGAGCTCGCATTCTCTCATATTCTCTCGGGTCACTTTCCATGGAGGGAGGTCAGCTGCCATATTGCAAAGTACTCAGGAGTCTATGGAGCAGCCCACATGGTGAGGGCCTATGGTTTTCTGTTGAAGGCCAGTGAGGAACTGAGGGCTGCCCATATCCACCATCTCCAGATGACTGACGCCTCAGCCACAACTTGAGTGCAACCTCATGCGAGACCTGGAACCAGAATCCTCCAACAAATGGCTCCTGGATGCCAGATCCACAGAAATTGTTGATGATAAATACTGGTTCTTTTAAAGCTGCTAAGTTTTGTCCATAATTTGCCACATAGCAATAGATAATGCAGGAGCAAAATTTGTTATAAACTAGTATAAGGCTACTTAGAGTCTCTACTTTTGTGAATATCCAATTTATGTGCTTGTTTTATGAGGTGCCTCCCCAGAGGTGATTGGGGATGCTATATAATACATACATTACATTACCACCCTAGAATCTGAAATATTTTAGATCTTGAAACAGAGCCAGCCACGAGGGTTTCAGATAAGGCACAGTTCAACCTGTATTCACTTTTTCTAAAATACCTTTCCTGATTAACTTCACCTTGGCACATAAGAAACAATTTCTTACAAGAATTTCTGTACCTCTTAAGAATCTCCACCACATGATTCAATACTTGATTATAAATTGTCTCATATCATACTCTGTTGTTTTATAAATAAATGTCTCCCCACCTAACAGTTAAACTTCTACAGGCAAGAGTCCTCCCTTTATTTCACTATCCCACCAGAAATCCTGGATGCTACTAGGTACACAATAAGCTCTGAATATATTCTTGTAGAATTGAGTTCACAAATCCAAACCTACAATTATGGTCACATAGCATTGGTCCAGACCCCAATATACCCTCACACTCAAAACATATTTATCTTCAAATAACTGCTGGAGAACATGATGTAAAAACAGTGTCTGAAAGAAAAAGAAGCAGGCTCCCTAAGGAATTCTGGAAAATTTGCACATCCTCCAAGCGCCCTTGTAAACAGCAGCAGAAGCACAAAATAATCATTATCAAGGGAAAAGATCTATTAGCCTCCTAATGATTGGTCCATCTGAAACCTTTCAACGAAAGAGCAATTTTACCTTTCTGCTTTCTTCTCTGCATCCTTCTTCAGGCAATAAGAAGAGTCACTGATCAGTTTTTAATTTTATTTCCTGGAGAGATATGCAGCATGGAGCTTTAAAAACTCAGGGAAAAGGCTTTACAAAATAAAGACCAAGGAAACACTCAGTGACATAAGCTCTAATACTAAAAATTAAAATGCAGTGCAATAAGTATCATTCTGAAAAGAAATTCCACGCAAGCCATCTCTTATGTAATTTTTTTAAAGCTTCCCTCGAGCAGAAGACACTCTCTCTCACAGAACCTAACCAGGAAGAGTTCTACAAATCCAAATGCTAAGGTCATAGGAACAGACCAGAGGCCTGAGATGGCTTAATTTAAGGGCTGGGGGTGGGGAGAAGGGAAGGGCGCAGTTAGGAGTATGGGAGGTGATGGGATTGGCAGTGAAATCTACATGATGTTCGGCAAATTCTGACTTCTGCCTCTACAACCAGTTCTCAGTTCTTCCCTCCCATGCTGCAAAGACACAGTGAGTGAGCACCAAAAAAAGAACCAAGAGAAAAACCAGAGAGAAGAGTCTAGGCCCATGTGCTAAGTCTCTGTTCCCTCCCCTGTAGAAAGTGTGGGCTGGATTAGATGACTCCAAATGTCCATGTCAGGCCTAACTTTCCATCATAACTGAAACCCACTCTGTTGTAATTATGTCAGCTCTTCCACACTCTTGCCCTGGCTGTCTGCTGCACTTTGGGTAGCATCGTGGGGCTGAATTAACTGAGGATATGGGACTGCATGCAGCTTTGGTGCAGAGGATCAGACAGTAGAACTACTGGGCAAAAGCATGAGTGGCTGACAGGAAAAAGCAATGACAAGCAGAAACGAGTTCGTGTGAAAGATTTTGTGAAGCTACCACATTATCTAGATTCTGAATGCTTGAGATTCTCTTGACAAAGGGAGCAGTAGCCCACACATTTATTGGGATTTTTCAAGCGTTTGAATACTATTGACTTTTAAAATGTGCCATCCAGAAAAGACTGTAAAGCTTATATTATGCCAGTTTTGATACCACTAAGATTTCCTACAATTTCCCTCAGTCATAGAGGATTGTAGTTCAATTCCACAAAGCCACAGCTGCTCCAAATGCCTTAACCTACAATCCTGCTAGAAATCCCCAAAGTTCAAGGTTGAAAGGAAGTCATGGAGGTGGGAAGGGTGTGTGTGTTTAGAAGCAGTCTTCCAGCTGTCTACATTATTTCCTGTGAGGAAAGCAGCACACATTGCACTCTAAAACCTGCTAAATATGTTTCAAGATAATAGATGAAAATCCATGTATATTTAAATGACATTAACATCTTCACCTGTCAAACCTACCAAAAAATTATTCATAAAACCTATGCAAATACCCTTTTTTCCAGTCTTCCACCAAGTGATTTACAGAAAAATCCTACAAGAACCAAAGCCAAATCCTTAACAGAACATAAATAACAACACTCAGAGCTTATAGAGAAAAGTTTTGGAAGTCTAAATATTCAAGCACAGTTTTAAGTTACAAAAGCATTAGCAGCAGCAGGACTAAAACAATCCTTCAATCAGTCTTTTGACAAATATTTACTGAGCACCACCACGTGCCTGGCATTCTTTTAGGTTCTTGAAGATTTAACAGTGAGCAAAATATACAGTGTCGCTGCTCCAGGAAGTTTACAGGAAATTTTTCTCAAAATATTAAATGTTTTTAACTAGGAATGTTTTCTCTGTTGAATTACCCACATCTACCTTACCAAGGAACTAGTAAAAATAAACAAGATGCATAAAGATAGTCATGTAGATCAATGGGATAGAATTCAGAGCCCAGAGTTAACTCCTCACATTTATTTTTAATTGATTTTTTTTATAAGGGTGCCAAGACAATTCAATGGAAAAAAACAGTCTTTTTAACAAATGGTGTTGCGACATGTGCAAATGAAGAATGGGTCATAGACCTAAATGTAAGACCTAAGGCTATTAAAAATCTTAAAAGCAAACATAAGAGTAAATCTTCAGGCCTTAGGTTAGGCAATGGTTTCTCAGATATGACACCAAAAGCACAAGCAACATAGGAAAAAATATAGATAAACTGGACTTCGTCAAAATCAAAAATTTGTGGGTATATAAGGAACCCTTCAGAAAGTATAAAGATGACCCAAATGGGAGAAAATATTTGCAAATTAAACATCTGATAAGGAACTTGCATTCAGAATTTTTAAATTCTTATACTCAAAAAGACAAATCAGTTTTAAAAACTGGCAAACAATGTAAACAGACACTTCTCCAAAAAAGATATACAAATGACCAATACGGCCAGGTGCAGTGGCTCATGCCCATAATCCCACTTTGGGAGAATCAGTTGAGGCCAGGACTTCAAACGAGCCTGGGCAACATGGTGAGACTCCATCTCAAAAAAAAAAAAAAAAAAAAAAAAAAAAAAAAAAAAAAAAAAAGGGCCAGTAAGCACAAGAAAAGATGCTCAACATCATTAGTCACCAGAGAAAAATGCAAATGAACACAATAAGATGCTACTTCACACCCAATAGGATGATAATAAAAAAAGATTTATAACAAGCGCTGGTGAGAATGTGGAGAAATTAGAACCCTTATACATAATGATGAAGTCATGGTGGAAAACAGTTTGGAAGCTCCTCAAACTGTTAAACTTTATGACCCAGCAATTCCACTCTTAGGTATATACACAAGAGTAATTAAAGCATTATTAAATTAAATGAGAACATACATCTATACAAAAACTTGTACATGATTGTTCATATCAATACTATTTGTAATAGCCAAACAGTGTAAAGAACCCAAAAGACCATCGACTGATGAAAGAATAAATAAAATATAGTACATCCATACAATGGAATATTATTCAGCAATAAAATGACAAAGTACTGATATGTGCTACATTGTGAATGAATCTTGAAAACACTATTCCAAGTGAAGGAAAACAGTCACAAAAGATTACATATCATATGAATCCTTTTATATGAAATGTCCCGAATACACAAAACTATAGAGACAGAAAGATTAGTGGTTACACAGTGGTGGGGGCAGGGGATGGAAGGCTGGAAGGAAGTGAAGAGTGGTTTTCAGTTTCTTTCTGCAGGGACGAAAATCTTATAAAATTGATTGTGGTGATGGCTGCACAATTCCGTAAATATATGAACAACCACTGAATTGGACAATTTAAATGGGTAAGTTGTACAGTATACAATTTATATCTCAATAAAGCAGTTTTCAAAAATTAAATAAGAAATTGAGGAGTCAAGCAGTTATACCAAGAACACCTAGAAAACGGAAAGGAGAGAGATGCCTTCTCTTTCTCAGATTATGTCAACGTAAAGATACTTTTTCTTATTCAGATTAATTCAACATTTATTCATTGATGCCTACTACTCTTTAGGAACTAGGCTTGACTGGGAATCCCATAAAAAAGACCTAGTTCTCTCCCTCAAGGCTTTCCATCCCTACTAACAGCTGCTACCACTCACCGGGAAAGGAGCTAAGGGTTTCATGTATAGCATCCCATGATGAGGTGGACAGCCTTACCCTTATTACTGATGAGAAAGCCAACTCAAAGAGGGTAAGTGATTTGGCCATGTTCACAGCACTAACCAACAGGAGGGAGACTCGAAGCCAGATTTGTCTATGACAAAAGCCTATGCCCTCTTCACCTCACTGTATTCCTCCCAGGTCAAGGTGAGCAGGAAAGTACAAAAACTACTGCAATGAAATGCAGTCTGGATTAGGGTCAGAAGAGGGCCTCTCCAGCTCCGCATCAAGGAGAAGTCTTCACAAAAAAGTGAAACCTAGGCAGAACTCTCCTTCATGAGAGCTGATACATCACTCAAACAAAAGGAGGTGGGTGGGGCTTTCTACACACAGAAAAAGGTGAGAGGGAATGTGGAAAATTCAGAGACTAGGAAGCAGCTCCATCTGGCTAGAGTATCAGACAAGTATGAGGAGATGGTGGGAGAAAGAATAGAAAGGAGGTTGGGACTTGAAAATGACTGCCACTCGCAGCTAGGAATTTAACCCAAGCACAGAGGCTGACTAGACATTAAAGTATTCTAGGCAGGAGGCAAGAAAGAGCACTCTAGATGCAGGTGGTTAATGCTGGAAGCAGGGGCCTTGCAGGGATTAGGAGGCCCTGCAAATTGTCCAGCTGAGAACTGAGAAGGGCCTGAAGTGCAGCAGCAATGAAAACAGGGGAAAAGAAACAATTTGGAAGATGTTTAGGAGGTGGGAATTCCAAGACCTGGAAGGATGTGGAAACTTAAGGATCCTGACCCAAGAGGTAGACTGGACACTGATGGTGACAACAGTACCCACAACTCTCCTCCTTCCTTCCTGAGCCCCTCCCCCATGTAGCCACTGGCCTCAGGGAAACTGACCCCACTCCCACCCAGCTTCAGGAAAGACCCTTTATTCTTCTACAGGTGATCCCATTGCCCTTATCGCCCAAGAATGGCCATGAGACTCATTCTAGCTAAAAGACTCAAGGGAAGTCTGCTGGAGGACTTCAGGAGAAAGCCTTTCTCCTAGAAAAGACTGTCTCTATTACTATCCTACATATTGCCATATACAAATATCACCTCTTCATCTCTAGAATTTGGCCATTGCTACCACCTGAGGATGGCACTGGCTCCAAGATAGCAGAGCAAGGATGAAATGAGAGAAGCTGGGACCTTGATGTCACTGACCCGCCCTGAACCTCCTTTCCTTGCCCCTGGATTCCCTGATAGGTGAGCTAATAAACTTCCTCATGTTCAAGTAGTTTGCAATGGTATCTCCATAACTGGTGACCAAAGCATCTTTACTGATAGAGTGTGAGATCATTCATCAAACTTGGAAGCACAGGAAGATAAGCAGGTCTGGAGGAGGGTAGTGATGGCTGGCTTAGGCATCTAGTGCAGAATCTAGTAAGTGATCAGAATCCAGAAAATAAGGAAGTTGGGACTACAGGTACAGATGTGGAGTTTCAGCATTCTAGTGGTGGTTGAGGCAATGTGAGTAGATGCACAAATGGAACATGATACTATTTCTCCTACAGACAGATCTGACAAATATATATGAATATCAAATCACCACTGCTCTCCCACTTCTAACAACCACTCATACCCCTCGGAGAACCTGTGCAACCTTAGGCAGGGGTGGCAGAGATTCGATATCCCAAACTGAAATTCAGAAATAAATGTATTTGCAAATAATATATCATACATACTAATAGCTATCATTTATTGAGCACCTTTTATCCTATGTACCTAAAATTCTTTCCTCAAATTCTCACAGTCATCCTATGAGGCAGATATCATGCCCCTCAGCTTACAGATAAGGAAACTGGGGCTGGCAAAAAAAAAAAAAATCACTTGTCCAATCACAAAGCCAGTAATTACAAGGCAGACAAGGATTTGATTGAACACAGGACAGGGAGCAGGGAGGGGAAAGACTGATGGTGACCATACAGCACTCCCATTAGGAGGCTGGCCCAGGTGAAAGGGCCAAACTAAGTCAGGAGCAGCGAGGATGGCAGAGAAAAACCAATTTCGACAAGTCGCAATTAAGGCAGCAGAGGTTCCAAGCCTGCTTCTCAAACACAGGTCTGATGAAGGTCAAGGTGGAACCTGAGTGATTTAACAACTCAAATAGTCTCTCTGGGCTAGCTCAGCAACCTGACCCTCACTCACGGCCCCCACTGTTCTCTAAACAAAGCACTTTCTAACCAACCGCTGAAACATAGTCCCCCTCAAGATGAGGACTCCACATTACTAAATGCGCTTTCCCGAGGGCTCAGAAGGTGTCGTTCCTAAACAATACACTGCAGCACATGGTTCCCTCTGCAGTCTCGGTCCACCAATTCCTCCTTTGCCATCTGACCTTTTGGTTATTGTCTGTGTGAGCTATCGCTCAGCACTTCTCTGTTTTCCCTGCCTGTCCCCATCTCTCTTGTTCTAACTTCCTCTTGGCATGTCAATATCCTGTGCTGGAAAACAAACTTCTCACACATTTTGGAAGGGCTGCAGGCCCTTTATGTCTTCAGCGATCATTAAGACAGCCTCCGAAGGAACTATTC
The DNA here is from genome assembly GCF_000001405.40 of Homo sapiens. Lineage (NCBI taxonomy): Eukaryota > Metazoa > Chordata > Mammalia > Primates > Hominidae > Homo > Homo sapiens. Next base: position 112,412,348 of record NC_000005.10, read on the forward strand.
CAGACCTTGATGAATCTCTTTGCAAGAGTGTGTAGTTATAGAGAAAGGGATTCACAATACGCAGCATTAAGACATAATGACTATTTCACTTAAAAAAGAACACAGGAAATACATGCATGGCTCAGAGGACACAGGAATGCAATCACATTTTTTACAATGGTATAGACACTCTAAATTGTACTTACAAGGTTTTTGAGTCACAAAGTAAACTGACTGGTTCCTGAATTTAGCACACTGAGTCTATGCCCAGGACATGTGATAACAGGTGCCTGTTTAATCTTAACATATGAAACGTGGAAACAAAACTTATGGTGCAGAAACAAACGGTGGTTAGTCATCACAACCCAAAGCAGGATGACCAGGAGCAATATGCAGGAGCTTCAGATGTGATTAAAATTGTCAGAGATAAAGCTGAACCAAAGCAGTCAATCTCAGAGAGGCAGGAGCCGTAGATGCAGCCAGTTTGATCTCTGACTTGTCATGTTTACAACAGGCCTGCAGACAAACACACTTTGCATCAGAATGAAAAATATAATTTTTTCATAAAAACCCAATATTTAATGTATTTACACCATCTTTTCCAGTAAGCCTTAGAGCAGTGTCAGATTAGGTTTAAACAGCTTCAAGAGTAACACACAGGTGATTCAGCAAGATTAAAAATTACAGTGCTGGTTCACAATAGCATAAACCCCCACTGTGAAACCAACCAACATGGTTCTCAGTTTCAAGAATGGGAGACAAGGAAGAAAAGTCACTAAAGTATGAGGATCTATTTTCCATTTGGGAAATATGCTCTTCTTCGGAAAGACTCAGGTTGGAAGGGGAGCATTAAATTTAGAAGAGAAAGATTTGGTACTTACAAAATACAAAAACGGTGTGATTCATGTTTTCTGAAATAGCTGCTAGTCAGCTTTTCAATGTACTGCATGCATTCAGTCCACTGCACCGTCTCATTTTCTACCCATTATCAATACAAAAATTAGAGTATCTTGACAACAGATTTTTCACAGTGGGATTCACTTTATTCTAGGGTCTTTTCTAGTAAAAATAAAATAGCAAAGGAACTCCATTATCTAGAAGATTTTCAATACAGCCTATTCCAGCTGTAACACTCCACTCATTCTTCTATCAAATTATAGTTAATAAGCATCTACCACATGAAGTATACAGCTCTGACTCCTGGGGATCACAGGTAGCAGCTCACAGGCTGCTGGAGGAGACAGATGTGTCCAGAAATAATGCATGCAGTGTGACAGATGCTGTAACAGGGATGTGTGAGGCACAAATAGGCACCTACCTCCGCTTGGTCAGGCAGAAGTGAAGGCTGCCTAGCAGATGGGACACTTGATTCAAGGATGCTTCCGATAAGTATGTGTTTATGGAGAAACAAAATGGTACACCAATCAGCAGGAATCTCATGCATAAAGTCTCAAAACAATCTGGAATATTTGGGAAACCGTGAGCAGTTTCTGCATACCTAGAGGGCAAGTCACTTGGACTGGCAGGGCTAGATCAGGTAGGGTGCTAAGTCAAACAATGAAGCTTGGACTTTATCTCTAGGAAGGAATGAGCCACTACAACAAGGAGAAGAGGAGGAAAGGTGGAATAAAGTTAAAATTTGCTGGGTGCTTATCATGTGCAAGACAGCATGAATGTAGAAGGTGAATACTGTACATCATTTCTCTTCATTTTACAGATGGGGAAACTGAAACTCAGAAACGACTCGGCTAGTAAGTAATTAGCGGTGCCAAAATTTAAACCCAGGTAATCTGACTTTAGAGCCTATGCTTTTAATCACTGCAGGTATTGTTTTGTGTATAAAGATATGAAGCACGTGTAAAGATACTTGAATATGAAGCAAGATAAAGATAACATATTGTTTTCACTGAATATGAGGGTAAACAACTCACCATTCCAAAAGAGGGGGAAAAAAGAAAAAATAGAAGGCATCTAAAAGTTACCCCGCATTCAATATTGAAACTGTGCAACAAAGACATAAGAACAAAGGAAGCTGCTATCCTCTATGAGAGTGGTTCTCAACGGAGGGTGATTATGCCCATCAGGGAAGATCTGGCAACATCTGGGGAGATTTTTGGTTGTCATTATTGGAAAAGAGGTGCCACACATCTGGTGAGAGGAGGCAGGGAATGCTGCTAAGTATCCTACAAGGGACAGGATAAACTCCCACAGGGAGTTCAAGATAGTTCAAGCTTACCAATACAGAATTCAAGAACACACACAGTAACTGGACTGCAAAAAGTGTAGTTCACTATCAACCAAGAATACCAGAAGCACCTAGGGAGGGACAGCCAAAAGCTGTTGGAGGTAACCAACAATGCTTTCCCCCTTAAACAGTTATTAAATCACATTCAAGTCATGGATGATAAAAGGTATTTTTAATAATTTTTTTCAAGAAAAAGACTTCTTGTAAAATTGAGGGGCTATTTATACACAGTTCATCTTATGCGGCCACAACCTGGATATCACTTTTGAATTTTAGAAAACTGGATGTAGTTATGCAGGAGAGACACTTTCTAGCCCAGTCACATCTAATTTAATACCCAATCAAGACCACAGTGAATCTTACGTTTGTGTGTGATTACTTGCTTCTACCTACGTTTATATGGTTCCTGACTCTGTACCTTAAGTAGCTGATACCAAAAGATATGAGTATTCACATATAAACTTAATATAATTTGTGAAACTATTGCTTTTCATTTTTTCCCAATCTTCTGGGATATTTTATTTATTAGTCCAAATTGAATGAAAATTGTAATTTTTGGTAAGTGAGATGCATAAAATTTAAGCCCTCGCCTTATGCTTGTTTTCCTAGCTTATTAGGAAATTTCTAACCAAAAGCATCAAAACTGACTCACAGTATTCCCTCAGGAATCTCAGGATGATTGGGAAGTAACATTATTTAGTAGTTAATGGATGAACTATACACTTTAACTGGGCGAAATGTATGGTATACCTTAACAAAGCCATTTAAAAGAAGGTAATGGAATTTTCATCTTACTGCCATATTGGTTTCATTAGTTTAGTCAATACTCATAGGGAAAAATGAGCACCTAAACATTCATCATGCTACTCAGAGGATTAAAATCTTGCCAAAATGAAAATACTAATCTATTTCATATTTGTAGCAGCAATTTTGAGAATTAAATTTATAATCAAATCTTGTGACTTTTGTTTTCCTGAAAATGTTTTGCTAACCAAATGAAAAACTAGAAAAGCAGTCTGAGCCACATTCAAGTTTTGCTAAGAGAACAAAAAGAAAGTTATCTACCTCCCTCAGCACAGAGAACTAGAAAGGATACAACAAAAGTTTCCCAGAACATTACTCAAACAACTGAGACCAACCATACCAAATATCCTTACTTGAATAAACAACAGATAGCAGCAAAAGACAAACAGCTAAAAGCTATTGTAGGGCTCAACACACAACCAATAGCTCTCAGCTTATGTAAACTTGAGTTTTTAAATCTCGGATAAGGTTCAAACTGTGAACTGCATGAATAAGACTTTCTGCTATCAAGGTGAGGTTGCCCCTAAAGCAAGTAAAAAAGGCAAATACCTCCGTAACATTAACAGGGATGCAAAGATACTGTGTTTTATTTTTCTGGTATTTTTTTTTTAACAGAAAATTATTTTCCATTTAAATGGAAATTAAATGGAAATAAAATTATTTTCCATTTAACTGATATTCATCTTACCATATAAGATGAGTAACTGTTGTCTTCAGGCTGAAACACTTTTCATGATGACACATTAATTTTTTTTCTAACATCGATGAAAAACTTTATCTAAGTTGAAGAAAAATCACTTCAAAACTAACTTTTCTATTTGTAATTTGGTGCTTAAATAAATCCAAAGAATGTTTTTCAAAATGATACACAGAAAAAATGTTTACCAAGATTCTCTCATATTTCTTCCACCTTAACTTGCTATAATTAATCTTTTCTAATTCACAGTGCATTACTGTAACAATAATACAAGCAAATTCTCAAGTAACCATTTAGGAATCAGTAAAATTATTTCTACTAAGAGATGAAATGTGTGCATAATTTTAATGTAAAATTAGCCATCTTCATCTAAGATAGAATAGGAAAAAGGATAATCACAAAATAAATGTTAGGAAATGCTTTTGAAAAATAGAGATTTTTCTAGTTAATTTCAGAGAACAGTAGGCTAATTGATGTTGCCTGCTTAATTTTGACTTTAATTAGTGGTAATCAAAATTACTAAGTATACTATCTCAAGGAAAAACACCATAATGGTAGCTACTGGCTATTAACTTTGAAGTAACTGTTTACTTTTTCATTTACAAACTAAAGTAGGAGTTAATTTTAAGTAATTAATGCAACACACATCAATTGTACCTATGCACCATAATACAGGAAGGTTAGGAAAAAGTTTTTTAAAATGTCAAGTATGTACAGAACATAAACATGTTCATCCAATGTTTGAATACCTCTACATGCAAGTTTTTTTATACACACCATTTATAAATATGCAAATATATTTAATTTAGTACACGCCAAGGGTGGGTAGGTGTTTAACACATACACTTTTAAGGTAGCATAGAAGATAATGTGATTAGCTTTAGCAGACAACATCTGTGTTACACACATGGCCATCAAAATAATTGTGGCATGCTTTTGTGACAAGGACAGAGGCCAAGCCTGTTGTTAAATGATTATTTCCAACAACAGCCTGCTTAAATTATTGTTTAGTTATATGGCCCATATCCAAAGTAACAGTATTACATAGTTGCTGTTGCCTTTGAATCACTCACCAATTTTCAGCCCATTTGTAAAACAAGATAAGCACCACTGGATTATAAAAAATAATTATGGATCAGGATTTTTGATTCATGTTTCTTTGACAAAATTATTCCATTTGATCCCAAGTCCTGGCTGCTCTCTTGACAGAATAATGTACACGCTCTACAGCTGATAGGCATGACTTTGATGATTAAATAGGAAGCTCACATTCCAGATGACTTTAGACTCCAGATAATTTAGACTTTGCACTTCAAAAAGATTTCTTTACTGTCTTAGTATCTGATCATCAGTTACCTTTTTCTAATTGTTTCTATCTCGACACAAGAATCTATATATTATCTACAATTTAGGATGTTTTTGTGATTTTTGCCTATTTTATTCATACAGTACACCAAAGAATGTTACATCATCTTGTAAGTTACAATATTTTCCTGATTTCATTGGGCGGGTGAGAGGAGAAATATTTTGGAACATAAAGAAAAGTTAAAAATACAAAATGTACACCCTCCCCGAAAAGAGTCTATTTTATTGGTCTTGAAAGGAAATACCGAATGAGAATCGAACTGAATTTTGCTCAGTATAATTACTGGGGAAACAATATTCAAAACAACCTCCTAAAGGAAAGGGTTAACAATCTTGTAGCTTTAACTGATTATTTTTGCTCCTTTCTCCCGCAAAAGAATTACACCTATGAAACTGGAATTCTGTACACTAAGAATGGCAACATTAACGCTGAAACTTTTAGCCAGGAATAGTTATCCTAGTGTGCATAAAACTATGTAAAAACTGATTCACAAAAGGAAATGCCCAGGGCCTACCCCATTATGATTAACTTCTGAGATGAAGCGACTAAGAGAGGATACTTGGCAGCCTGAACTCGATTTCTCAGAAAGCCAGCTCTATCAGAGCGGGGGCGGGGGGGCGGTTTCCCTTCACCAGACTCAGCTGTTGCCTTATCTAAAATGCCTTAGCGATCTAAAACTGAAAGAGAAAGATAAACAAAACAACAAAACGCTCCGGATTTAGATCTCCTTTAGGTAGTTAACACTGTTGCAAAAGCAAAACAAGCACGCAGGCGCGTCGGTCAGGTTGTCACTACAAACATACGTACCTTCTCATCCAATGTAAGGAAGAGGATCTCTGCGAGCTCTGCTGCCTTTTTGTTTGGGCTCTCTAGGTTAATGTAGTGATTGCATTTTAATGACCCACAAACAGGAGCAAAGTTATTACTGGGTCGCTTTGAGAGATGTTTACTTAAATGTGAGGATAAACCCAGGTCGCTGTAGAAAGGGAAAATATTTTCCGTCCAAACGTAGCATTACCCAACTACGAACCCACGCAAAACAATCACAATGACCCATTAATGCGTTTCAACGAGTGAACTAGTTCACTTCCCTAATAACACTGTCAAGGAAAACGCCTTCAACAAAGTCGAGGGAAACCATGCCTTCCACACTGGTGGGACGCAGCTGGTATAACCCATTCTGCCCCTCTTTGAGAGCTGCGGGGCACCCAGAGGCTTTTGGAGAAAACCGGTTTGGGGAAGAGTTTTGGGGTGCTGCTGGGAGCCGGTGTGCTGAGTAAACTTAGAAACGTCAAACTCAACTTTGCTTTATGAAGGAACTCAAAGTTAACTCACCCTGGTACGTCCACCCTCTCCCTGCGCGCAGGGGACAGCGGCCTCTCCTCCCCACCGCGCAGAGTCGCGGCCGCCGCCCTCGACCCACCGGTGACAGCCCTCAAAGCGATGGACCCCCGCACCCGCCCTGCCGCCAACCCCCGGAACGCGCTCCGGGCCGCACCCACCTTGATGCCCTGCTGCTGGGTGGTAAGGGTTAACTTGGATTCATCCAGGAGCAAAACTTCGCAGTAAAATTCTTCCGGAACAGCGCAGAAACAGCCCATGTCGGTTGTGGTCGTCTCCAGCCAGGAGAGAAAGCTACCACCGAGGCGCCCAGCCGCCCCCTCCACTCAAGCGCGATGCATTAATTTATTGTCCGCGCCGTGGCGAGGGTGAGACGAGCAGCTCCCGGCGGGGTCCGGGGACCGGCCGCCGAACCGCCCGGCGGGGCGGGAGCGAGAAAGGCGGAAAAGCCCGGGAGAGTCAGCGCCCGGGAGCCGCCGGGGAAGCGCCGGCGGAACTGGGCGCGGAGGGCGGTGGCGCGTCCCCGCGCATCCTGCGGCTCGAGCTCCTCCGAAGGCGGGGGCGCGGGGCCCCTCCCGCAGTCCTGGGGACGACAAAAGTCTCCTGGCACTGGGGGCAAGAGACCAGAAAAAGGAGTGATGGGAATTCGAGGCTCTCCCCGGCCTTGGAAAACCCTGGAAGCGCTGCACCTCCCTCCTGCCGCACGGATTTGAGCGCGGCCCCGACGTCCTGGCGTCCGATCGGCCTGCGGAGTCCCCCGCGGGCGCGCACTTCCAGCCGCGACCCCGCCCCGCAGCCCCGGGTCAGATCCGCCGAGTATGAAGCGCTCGGCTTTTCTTTTGTGTGAGGAGCACCCACGACGCCCCGACCATGGGCGCAGGGGCAGAGGCGAAGGTCGTCGCTCCGTCCGCTACCCCGTCCCCCAGCCGCAAGCGCCGAGGAGCCGGAAGAGAGGCGGAAAGGGCAGCAGGCTCCTTACCCAGACCAGCGAGGGGAGGTCAGCTCGTCGCGGGGTGTGGCTCCCGTCCGGGGACTCCCGAGCTCATTACGGGTGGCCGTGTGTAGCCAAGTTCAAGCTCTCCCTCCGGGAATGCCTGCCGCGGCGGCGGAATACGGCTTCTTCAGGACATTCAGCAAAGCGGGGAGGCGGGGACCTGCGGGCGGAGGAGCGACGCCCCAGCTGGGAACGCGGCGGACGGGCGAGCGGGGGGTGCGCCCTGGGCGCGCCAGGCCGCAGAGGCTCCGGGGAAAGTTCTCTTGGCCGCGCGAGTGGTGGCGCCCCGGGCGGGAGCAGCCCAGGTGCATGTGGGCCCGGTCCAGGCGTCTGCAAAAAGCCCTGGAACGAAGCGGACCCCCCAGTCCAGCGCTGGCCGCGGCAGGGGAGCCCCTTCTGGGCGGGGTATCAGCTGGGGGCGGAGGGCGGGGCAGAGACCGTGGTCCCAGCGGCGAGGTGCCGGCGAGTCCACGCTGCCAAGCCGCACACTGCGCCCAAGCCGCGGGGCAGTCCAGCGCTCGCTGCGTCCTTCCCCCGAGAGACCTGGAGGCTGGGTGGGGAGAAGAGGACGCGGTGCTGCTCGGACCCCACGGTTCGGCGGTCCCAATCCCACGCCCTCCGCGCGGTCGGCCGCGTCCAGGACTGAGGGGCACAATAGCTCTGAAGCTGCAGTGACCCCTGGTGGGTCCCGATGTCCGTGCACAGGCAGCCGAGGTTGAGCTGCGGACGACACTGAGCCCCGCTGGGCTTCGGAGCAGGTGCAATCTGTGCTCTCCAGCTGGGAACCAGCAGCGAGTTAATGCGAGTCGCAGTTAGGGGAGACACGAGGGGAGGTGTCACAGAAAAAAAACTCTATATTGAGTTTTAGAGTTAGAGCTTTGGCATCAGACGTAGTTTTGAGTTGACTATTCTACTGCTTGTTAGCTGGGTAGCCAAAGCTCAAAAAAAATTGCTTAAAACCTAGGACGTTAGCCCTTAAAACAAAACCAGGCTTCCGTAGCACAGTAGAAATGAAATGAACAATTGGCGACTTTTGATGGAGTTTCCTCTCATAGTGATTTGCCACAAAGGACCTTCTGTAGGAAGCCTCGGCCTTCCCTGCTATTGTGACCCCATCCAAACACAGGATCAGCATAACCGCCAAAGTGCAATATAAATTTCTGAACTTTACCTAGGCTATGAATAAAACTATTTTATCTTCTGAATTTTCTGTGAAATTGACTCAGGTTTTGAATTTCTGATCAAATTTCGTGTCCAGCTTTGTTTTATTGTCAAAGTCTTGCCTGCCTTATGAGGTGACACCTTATTATGCTAGATTTTAGCATTTCTGCTTGTAGAGGCTTTTCTTTTCTGTAATACAGTATTCCTGACAGGAGTTACCAAATGTGATTGAAAGATGGCTTAACATTTTCATTCTTTACCTCCATATCCAACCGAGACACTTGAGGCTGCAAAAACAAAAGGTTCAAGCAATCATCTGTTCCCAGTTTTTTTGAGTTTTGCTCTCACCTGTTTTTTGGCCCTTTGATTTGGTTTTTTTGCTTTCTGATTTTTGGTTTTGCTGTTGTTTGTTTTTGTTTTTTTACCTCCAGTGGCAGTGAGAAGGCTGAGGGTTTTGGATGGGCAGGGATTCTGTTCCCAGCTCCTCATAAGGTAAGTTACAAAGCCATAAGGTCCCATACATATGACACTCTTTCCTGAGTGAAGCATTTTCTTTTCCATTTCTTTATCGGAGACTGGAGAAAAGAACATTTAAAATCTATTTAACACAAAATTAGAGATTACTAGTGACAAGAGGATTCCACAGAGTTTCTAAGGATAGCTTTATTGCATATAATTTACATACAGTTCACTGCATAATTTTTAAGTGTACAATTTGATAAGTTTTGACATAAGTGTGCACCCATGAACCCACCACCATAATCAAGCTAGTACACATATTCATCCCTCCCTAAGGTTTCCTCCTGCACTTTGTCATCTTTCTTTTTTTTTTTTTTTTTTTTGAGACAGAGTCGCGCTCTATCAGAGTGCAGTGGCGCGATCTCGGCTCACTACAACCTCCACCTGCCGGGTTGGAGCAATTCTCCTGCCTCAGCCTCCCAAGTAGCTGGGACTACAGGAGTGCGCCACCATGCCCTGTATTTTTAGTAGAGACAAGGTTCCACCATGCTGGCGAGGCTGGTCTCAAACTCCTGACCTCATGATCCGCCCGCCTCAGCCTCCCAAAGTGCTAGGATTACAGGTGTGAGCCACCGCGCCTGGCCACTTTGTCATCTTACACTCCCATTCCTCAGTACGACTCACCTCCCAGGCAACCATAGATCTGCTTTCTGTCACCATCATTTAGCTACATTTTCTAGAGTTTAATACCAATTGAATCATACAGTGTGAACTCTCCTTTTTGTCTGGTTTGTTTCACTGGACACAACTGAGATTTAACCATGCTGTTGTGAATATAAATAGTTCATTTATTTTTATTGTTCAATAATATTCCATTGTATGTATATACCACAATTTGTTTTTCCATTCATTTAGGTGGTTTCCAGTTTTTGACTATTACAAATAAAGCTGCTATGGGGATTGTATTAGTCAGCTCAGGCTGCTATAACAAAATACAGCAGACTGGATGGCTTAAACAACAGACATTTATTTTCTCACAGTTCTGGAGCCTGGAAGTTCAAGACTACTGTGCCATCATGGTCAGTTTCTGGTGAGGCACCTTCCTGACTTGAAGGAAGGCTCCAGGTTACTGTGTGCTCACATGACATCTTTGTGTGCTTTCAGAGAGAAGGGGAAAGGGAAGAGGAATAGAAGGAGAAGAGAGGGAGAAAAGGAGGGTGAGACAGAAATATTAAGGAGGGTTGGGGAGAGAAAGACACCAAGATAGCACCCTCGGGTCGATTATTACAAGAACATTAATCCTATGGTATCAGGGCTCTACTCTTAGGATCTCATTTAACTTTAATTGCCACCTTATAGACCCTATCTCTAAACAGTCACATTGGGTTAGGGCTTCAACATATGAATTTTGAGGGAACACAATTCAGCCCATAGAAAGGATCCATGTCTTTATATGTACATGTGCTTTTGTTTCTTTTGTAATACAGAGTAGAATGACTGGATCAGAAGATATACAACTGGCAAATAAACACATGGAAAGATGATCAACATCATTAGTCACTAGGAAAATGCAAATTAAAATCACCATAAGATACCACTAGACACCTAATAGAATGGCTACCAAGCTACCATATCACTAAGTGTGGGTGAGGATGTGGTGCAATTTTTTTTTTCTTTTTTTGAGATGGAGTCTCGCTCTGTCACCCAGGCTGCAGTGCAGTGGCACAATTTCAGCTCACTGCAACCTCTGCCTCCCGGGTTCAAGCGATTCTTCTGCCTCAGCCTCCTGAGCAGCTGGGACTACAGGCGCGTGCCACCACGCCCAGCTAATTTTTGTGCTTTTAGTAGAGACGGGGTTTCACCATATCGGCCAGGCTGGTCTCGAACTCCTGACCTCATGATCCGCCAGCCTCGGCCTCCCAAAGTGCTGGGATTATGGACGAGAGCCACTGCACCCGGCCGGATGTGGAGCAATTTAAATTCTCATAATCCTGGAGTGCATGCAAGATGGTATAACCACTTTGGATAAGTTTTGTAGTTTCTTAAAAAGCTGAACATAGACCTTCCTTAAGATTTTGGAGGAAGACTTTCTCTGCCTATCCAGAGAAACAAATTAACAAGATGCTATTCAAACACTTTTTCCCAGGAAAATCATATAGTTTTCAACATGTGCATAACATAATATGCTCTATTTAAAGCTTTGCATCAAAGGCTTTGATCTCTTTTCAGTGATTTTTGTTTTAACATTTTGTTAAATGTTAAACATTAACATTTTGTCATGATAAGCCTAGGTAGACGAGTCAAATGGCAAATAAATTCAGAATAAACATAATTCTACAGAAATATGCAGGGCTTCCATCTGTGAAAGACTGCAGGAATCCTCAATCTGGAAGAAGAAATTTCATTTTACGTAAAACAGGCCCCCACCCCTTGCTGAAACATGTATTTCAAAATGCAAACTCAGAATTCTTTTTAAAGCACCATATTCTTTTTAGTAAGATGTATTTAAACAATCTTCTGTGATCTTTTTATAATCTTACATTTTTCAAACTTAAGAAAGTTAACTGTAATACGTAAAAGAAAGAAGCCTGAATTTCTTGACAATAGATACATAAATAATTTAATTACTAACATACCTGAGAGCAACGCAGCAGAATCACCAGGGCTTGTTAAAACACTGATTTCTGGCCCTAACCCCAGGGTTTCTGATTTAGTAGTCATGGAATGGGACCTAAGAATTTGCATTTCTGACAAGTTCCCAGGTGATGCTAATGCTGCAGATTGGCAAGCGGACTTTGAGAATCACTGCTCTGGAGATTGTCTTTCAAAAAAAATAGTTGTTCCTCATTACCTGTGAATAATTTGGGAAGAAAGTCATTCTTCACTAGTAGCCTCCCTGTTATTTTGCCTCATTCATCAAATTAATGCCTGTCAAAGAGAAAGTATTGAAGATCCTGCCAAGTAGATAACATCAGAAGGAGTAGTTGTTAAGGGAAATATCCCTAATTTGGTCTCATCATACTACTGCTTAGTTTCTTTGGACACCTTACTTATTTTTATTTCTAATATAGTATGTGCCCAGGCACATCCAGTTTTTAAGACCATTCTGCCTCCTGACTCACTTCACATATAGGTATGTCATTAACCAGCTGTCTTCTTTTCTAAGTACTGAGGCCTTAGATCCCATTTATTAGAATACCTCAAGGCTGTTACCTATGTTTCAAGGGAAACCATCTCCCAAGAATTCCCTGCAATCTAAGCTGGTTCTTCATCCTTGTGATCTTCAAATAAATGTTCTTTGGGGTTTACTGAGAATTCTTATTTTGCACAGGTATTAATCCTTGGTAGTGAATGCATTAATGTGGTTTGTATTTAGCAAAAATAGTCTGGAAATTTGAAACACCCTAGCTCCCCTTTCTTTTAAAAACACAAACGAACTTTCCTCTTGCACTATTATATAAGCTGCTGTTTTTTTTAACCTCATTGCTTACCTTTAATAACTTTCCATGCCAGTGAATATATCTCCATTTCATCTTTCCTAGGTGTTCTGTTATATGCATACACTATAATTAATTAAACAGCTCAAATTTGGCACTTAGATTGTTATAAAAATATAAACATGCTGTAGTAAACATTTTTACATGTATTTGTCTATTATTTGATAAAGATAAATTCCTAGATATGGAACTTGTGAATCAAACTATATGCATATTTAATTTATTTATTGTCATTATGACAGACTGCAATCCAGAAAGCCTGAATCAATTTACAGTTCCACCAACAACGTATCAAAATACCCACTTCACTCTACTCATGCCAATCTTTGGAATCTCTTTCAATCAAATTGGCAAAAGTCATTTTGTTATTTTAAAAACTAGACAAAGTCTCCTAAAAGAACAGCTTATATAATAATGCAAAGAGGAAAGTCCATTTTTGTTTGTTTTTAAAAGAAAGTTTGGAGCAAAGCTGAGTGACTCATGCCTGTAATCCCAGCACTTTGGGAGGCCGAGGCAAGAGGATTGCTTGAGCCTTGGAGGCAGAGGTTGCAGTGAGCCAAGATCGTGCCACTGCACTCCAGCCTGTGCAAAAGAATGACACCCTATCTCAAAAAAAATTGATTTTTTACAATGAGTATGGAATAATTTAAAATGAAAATAAATTCTCATATTAAACCAAAGAATCTGTCAAATTACCGGTTAATGAAATTGGCCTTCATTTAAAATTGGACTCCTTTTCTTTTTTTTTTTATTCTTTTTTTTTTAATTATACTTTAAGTTTTAGGGTACATGTGCACGACGTGCAGGTTAGTTACATATGTATACATGTGCCATGTTGGTGTGCTGCACCCAGTAACTCGTCATTTAGCATTAGGTATCTCTCCTAATGCTATCCCTCCCCCCTCCCCCCACCCCACAACAGGCCCCAGTGTGTGATGTTCCCCTTCCTGTGTCCATGTGTTCTCATTGTTCAATTCCCAACTATGAGTGAGAACATGCGGTGTTTGGTTTTTTGTCCTTGCGATCGTTTGCTGAGAATGATGGTTTCCAGCTTCATCCATGTCCCTACAAATGACATGAACTCATCATTTTTTATGGCTGCATAGTATTCCATGGTGTATATGTGCCACATTTTCTTAATCCAGTCTATCATTGTTGGACATGTGGGTTGGTTCCAAGTCCTTCCTATTGTGAATAGTGCCGCAATAAACATACACATGCATGTGTCTTTATAGTAGCGTGATTTATGATCCTTTGGGTATATACCCAGTAATGGGATGGCTGGGTCAAATGATATTTCTAGTTCTAGATCCCTGAGGAATCGCCACACTGACTTCCACAATGGTTGAACTAGTTTACAGTCTCACCAACAGTGTAAACGTGTTCCTGTTTCTCCACATCCTCTGCAGCACCTGTTGTTTCCTGACTTTTTAATGATTGCCATTCTAACTGGTGTGAGATGGTATCTCATTGTGGTTTTGATTTGCATTTCTCTGATGGCCAGTGATGATGGGCATTTTTTTATGTGTTTTTTGTCTGCATAAATGTCTTCTTCTGAGAAGTGTCTGTTCATATCCTCGCCCACTTGTTGATGGGGTTGTTTGTTTTTTCCTTGTAAATTTGTTTGAGTTCATTGTAGATTCTGGATGTTAGCCCTTTGTCAGATGAGTAGATTGCAAAAATTTTCTCCCATTCTGTAGGTTGCCTGTTCACTCTGATGGTAGTTTCTTTTGCTGTGCAGAAGCTCTTAAGTTTAATTAGATCCCCTTTGTTAGTTTTGGCTTTTGTTGCCATTGTTTTTGGTGTTTTAGACATGAAGTCTTTGCCCATGCCTATGTCCTGAATGGTATTGCCTAGGTTTTCTTCTAGGGTTTTCATGGTTTTAGGTCTAACATTTAAGTCTTTAATCCATCTTGAATTAATTTTTGTATAAGGTATAAGGAAGGGATCCAGTTTCAGCTTTCTACATGTGGCTAGCCAGTTTTCCCAGCACCATTTATTAAATAGGGAATCCTTTCCCCATTTCTTGTTTTTGTCAGGTTTGTCAAAAATCAGATAGTTGTAGACACGGGGCATTATTTCTGAGGGCTCTGTTCTGTTCCATTGGTCTATATCTCTGTTTTGGTACCAGTACCATGCTGTTTTGGTTACTGTAGCCTTGTAGTATAGTTTGAAGTCAGGTAGCATGATGCCCCCAGCTTTGTTCTTTTGGCTCAGAATTGACTTGGCAATGAGGGCTCTTTTTTGGTTCCATATGAACTTTAAAGTAGTTTTTTCCAATTCTGTGAAGAAAGCATTGGTAGCTTGATGGGGATGGCACTGAATCTATAAATTACCTTGGGCAGTATGGCCATTTTCACGATATTGATTCTTCCTTCCCATGAGCATGGAATGTTCTTCCATTTGTTTGTATCCTCTTTTATTTCATTGAGCAGTGGTTTGTAGTTCTCCTTGAAGAGGTCCTTCACATCCCTTGTAAGTTGGATTCCTAGGTATTTTATTCTCTTTGAAGCAATTGTGAATGGGAGTTCACTCATGATTTGGCTCTCTGTTTGTCTGTTATTGGTGTATAAGGATGGTTGTAATTTTTGCACATTGATTTTGTATCCTGAGACTTTGCTGAAGTTGCCTATCCACTTAAGGAGATTTTGGGCTGAGAAGATGGAGTTTTCTAGATATACAATCATGTCATCTGCAAACAGGGACAATTTGACTTCCTCTTTTACTAATTGAATACCCTTTATTTCTTTCTCCTGCGTGATTGCCCTGGCCAGAACTTCCAACACTATGTTGAATAGGAGTGGTGAGAGAGGGCATCCCTGTCTTGTGGCAGTTTTCAAAGGGAATGCTTCCAGTTTTTGCCCATTCGGTATGATATTGGCTGTGGGTTTGTCATAGATAGCTGTTATTATTTTGAGATACTTCCAATCAATACCTAATTTATTGAGACGTTTTAGCATGAAGGTTGTTGAATTTTGTCAAAGGCCTTTTCTGCATCTATTGAGATAATCATATGGTTTTTGTCGTTGGTTCTGTTTATATGCTGGATTATGTTTATTGATTTGCGTATGTTGAACCAGCCTTGCATCCCAGGGATGAAGCCCACTTGATCATGGTGGATAAGCTTTTTGATGTGCTGCTGGATTTGGTTTGCCAGTATTTCATTGAGGATTTTGGCATCGATGTTCATCAGGGATATTAGTCTAAAATTCTCCTTTTTTGTTGTGTTTCTGCCAGGCTTTGGTATCAGGACGATGCTGGCCTCATAAAATGAGTTAGGGAGGATTCCCTCTTTTTCTATTGATTGGAATAGTTTCAGAAGGAATGGTACCAGCTCCTCCTTCTACCTCTGGTAGAATTCGGCTGTGAATCCATCTGGTCCTGGCCTTTTTTTGGTTGGTAACCTATTAATTATTGCCTCAATTTCAGAGCCTGTTATTGGTCTATTCAGAGATTCAACTTCTTCCTGGTTTAGTCTTGGGAAGGTGTATGTGTTGAGGAATTTATCCATTTCTTCTAGATTTTCTAGTTTATTTGTGTAGAGGTGTTTATAGTATTCTCTGATGGTAGTGTGTGTTTCTGTGGGATCAGTGGTGATATCCCCTTTATCATAAAATTGGACTCCTTTTCTAAGTTCTAACCTAAGTTCCAATGTATTGACTATTTTACCTGGTTAATGTGCTCTGGTTTGATCCCTCATAGAAACTTTATTTGGTTAACACCAGCTTAGTAATAGGGGTATTAATCTACCTATAGAAATTTGAGGAAAATAATGGGGAAATTAGCTTTTATTATCTTGTAATCATTTTTATTTTAAGTCAAACTAGCTGTGTGACCTTAAAGAAGCTACATCATCTCTCTGTACCTCAGCATGCTCCTCTATAAAATAAAAAACCTGGAGTAAGTTGTGGCACCTCTACATTGTCATGCCCAGCAGGCTGATTTTCCGCCTGTTTCTTCTGGTAATGACACATTGCTGTTCCTTAAATGTGGTACCTAGGGAAGGAGCATCCCAGCACAACATCTGGCAAAGAACATCTGGAGATGATCTCTGAACTCATGTCTAGCCTTCTGATTAAGAAGTTGCCAAGAAAAACTAAAATGGTCATTTCCTCTGGGAAAGGGGCATGGGTGGTTTGTGGACAAGCTAGAATTGAGACTTAACATTTCCCTGTATTTCTCTTTAGAATTCTGCATCCTATTATTCCGTACATGTGTTACCTAGTCATTAGGTAAATACATATTTGGAAATCATTTTTGAAAAGACAACGTATAGTTCATAATCTCATCTTTTTAAGGGCACTGTCTTAGTCCCTTGGTGTTGTTATAAAGGAATATCTGAGTCTGGGTAATTTATAGGTAATTTATAAAGAAAGATTTGTTTGGTCCATTTTCTGTAGATGGTACAAGAAGCATGGCACTAGCATCTGCTGAGCTTCTGGTGAGGGCCTCAGGCTCCTTCTACTCATGGTGGAAGGCAGAGGGGAGCCAGCGTGTAGAGATCACAGGAAGAGAAAGGAAGCAAGACAGAGAAGGGGGAGGTGCCAGGCTCTATTTAATGCCAGTTCTCCAGGGAAATAATAGAATAAGAACTCACTCACACACCTCCAGCCAAGGGCATTAATCTATTCATGAGGAATCTGCCTCCATAACCCAAACACCTCCCATTAGGCCTCACATCCAATATTGGGGATCAAATTTCACCATGAGGTTTGGTGGGATCAAACACTCAAAGTATAGCAGACGTGCATAAGCTGAGGACTGGAATTATATATGTTAAAATACCAACAGTGGTTATCTCTTTATGGCAGAACTGTAAGTAATTTTGTTTTCTTTTCTATGATTTTATTTATTTTTATATGTTTTTTCCCTGAACATTCCCTCCTGTGGTCAGACAAACCTTTTACATTTTAAGCATTAATCTTGTAAAATAAATATGTAAAATAAAGATCCTAATGACACCAAATACACCAAAACTAGAAGGGAAAGTGTTGCCAGGAAAATCTCTACTAGCAGCCATGTCACTACACACACAGCTGGTGCTCAATATATGGTCTGCGAGTCACTGACTTTTACCTCCTGAATCCTCATGTCCTTTCTCATTGAGAGCTGTTTTCCTAACATAAGAGCCTCCTCTTCCTAAAACTCTCCTCTTCTGAAAACTTCCACCTCCTGCCTCATTTTCATCTTGGTAGGTCCTACTTGATGCTCAGGTATCCACTTTGCTCTCCCTCCTCCAAGAAGCTCTCCCAAATCACAGGTCTAGGCTGGGTCCCATGTATAATCATCTGCATAATTGCTGCCTCCTTACTAAACTGTAGGTCCATGAAATTAGGGCCATATCTGACTTGTTCACTGTTGCATCCCAAATACTTAGCACGGTCCTTGTCAGAGAGTAGATTCTTGATAAGTATGTGTTAAATGAATGAGTGAGATTACCTGTACAAACTTCACCTCTGGCATGCTACGTGCAGATTCCTTTTGAGCACCCTCACCTGGTCTTTAGCTTAATTCCCTTCCATCAAACCCTTACTTTGCCAGCTATTCATCTTCTTAATCAAAAATAACTTTTGTTGATGGAATAATAAAGAGTTGGAGTAAGGATACAACGCATTGTTGTTGGTTGAAATATGCACTTTACCCATGAAGCTTCTCATGGCCCTATGTATTAGTGGGTTCTGTGAATGGCTCTTGGATCTCAGAAGTTTTGGGAGATATTCTCTTATTTTCTGTAAAAATTAACTCAGCTGAGCAATTGGGGCAATAGAAGTCATTCAGACCCTCCTTCTGCAAGCTTACAGAGTTCACATTCAAATTATATTGAATAATTGCTGAATGTGATGACAGCGCTTGAGCTGATGTCCAAGATGATACTGATAAAAAGAGTTGTACTAATCCATTCCTTTAGAACAGTGATCCCTGAGCTTTTTGGCACCAGGGATGGGTTTCATGGAAGAAAATTTTTCCACAGACTTGGGGGTGGGAGGTGGTTTGGGGATGATTGAAGTGCATTATATTTATTGTGCACTGCGTTTCTATTATGACATTGTTATAGCTCATCATAATGTAGAATCAGTGGAAGCCCTGAGCTTGTTTTCCTGCAGCTGGATGGTCCCATCTGGGGTGATGGAAGACAGTGACACCTGAAGTGTGTTGCTTATGTCCACTCTACCCCATAATCTCGTTTTGGTTGCTGTCACTGCAGAAAACCCTGCTTCACAAAGATAGGATGTTGGAAATGGAAGGAAGCTTTTCAGTGCTTCTGTGGTAATCTCAGGATATTCCGCCTTGACTTTAATCCAGAATGTATGGAGATGTGAAGTTGCCTCAAACATACTTTTAAGGCAACCGTCATTTGCAATCTCAAGCAGCTGATCCTCTTCAAGCAGGGACAAAGTCAATTCCCTTGGCTTATTCACAAATGGGTGATGGATCCATTCCTTCCCAGTTTGGGGGTCTTTTGTGGTTGGGAAGTAATGCACAAACTCTTTTGAAAGCTGAGGTAGGTGACCATGCACCAGCTGGGAGAAAGAAGGCCCTGGCTTGGTCTCTTTCAAAATGTCTGCTAATGTTTGAAGCATGTCAGAAATCCCAGTGTTCATTCATCACCCCCATAATTCCAGTTTGGCTTTGAATGCAGCCACTTTATCTGCCGACTTGAACACAGTTGTCATTCTCCCCTGAAGTGACAGACTGAGTTCATTGAGCAGGTTGAATATGTCACACAAGTGAGCAAGTTTTGTGACCCATTCTGTGTTGCTGAAATGTGCTGGAGTGGTAAGTGCTTTTCTAAAAGAAATCTTTGGAGTGGTTTTTGTAACTCAAAAATCTCTGGCCAGTGATCTACCTTGAGAAAGCCATCTCACTTCTGTGTATGAGAGAAGACATGTGTGGTCTGTATCCATTTCCTCATAGAGCTATGCAAAAAGACATGAATTAAGGGCATGTAATTTAATGTTGTTGATAATTTTAACCACATCCTGCAAAACCTTAAGTTCAGGTGACATTTTTTTTTGGCTAGCCAGCATTTCTCTGTGGATGACACAGTGTGTAGATTCACATTCAGAAGCAACCTCTTTGACCCAAGTAGTGAAACCAGAAAGGCATCCAGTCATGGCAGCCTCTCTGTCCATGCACATACCAATACAAAATGACCAATTCTGTTTTCCTGATATGTAATTCATATGGTTTGGCTCTGTGTCCCCACCTAAATTTCATCTTGTAGCCCCCATAATTCCTGCATATTGTGGGAGGCACCCAGTGGGAGATGACTGAATCATGGGGGCAGGTCTTTCCCATGCTGTTCTCGTGATAGTGAGTGGGTCTCACAAGATCTGATGGTTTTAAAAACAGGAGTTTCTCTGCACAAGCTCTTCTCTTGTCTGCCACCATGTAAGACATGACTTTCACGTTCCACCATGATTGTGAGGCCTCCCCAGCCATGTGGAACTGTAAGCCCATTAAATCTTTTCTTTTGTAAATTGCCCAGTCTTGGGTGTGTCTTTATCAGCAGCATGAAAACGAACTAACACAGTAATCATTCAAAGGCTTGAATAGTTCTGTACCTGTGGTGCTGGTTGGCAACAAAAGTGCACATAACATATTCTCATGCACGTCCTCCCGAGAAATATATCGCACAAAAACAAGCATTGTTGCCTTGTTGTCAACATTCGTAGACTCGTCAACCTGGATTGCATGCCACAGTGACTCATTAATCTTCTCTAACAATTGTGCCTCAATATCCTCAACTATTTCATTCATCTAGTTATGGGGCTAGCCAAAAGAGGAACATATGCCACCTTTTGAACTGCAGCATCTCCTAAAAGTTCATGACTAACATCCTTAATGGTGGGCAGGATCAACTCTTCACCAATAGTAAAGGGCCTCTTAGTGTTAGTGATGTGGTTAGCCACTAAGAATGATGCTCTCGGTGCAGACACATTTGATGAAGTGGTGGCCATCAATAATTGCTTTTGTTCTTCCTGTTCATGTTTTTTTAATTTGAAAAACTCCAAAGGCTTGTCTTTTAGTGCAGGGTGTTTGGTCTCCACATGGTGAAGCAGTTTTGAAGATTTCATGGCTCCATTGAATAGCTGGTCACCACATATACAAAGCGGGCTTACAGAATGTAAATCACCTGTTGCAATCAACCTGTAAAAAGTAGGACTTTTGGTATTTTCTTTTAAATGCAGCTTTCTTTTTGTTTGCAGTCTTAGAGTCTTCTGCTGTCTTATCATTGGATCTTTCCCCCTTTTCAAAGAAGCTCTCCAGTGACATCTGTTTTTCACTCATTTTGGCTAGGGTTAGCTTGTGGGTTTAGCAAAACTGTGACTGAGACAAGTGCACAGTACAGGAAAAAGGCATGGGTGGAAGTGGTAAATAAAATAATGAGTGGACCATGCAAAGACTGAAATAAGTGTTGGATTCTGATTTAAAGCCTGCCACCAGATGCAGCTTAATTGTCCCTTGCCACTCACTGATAGGGTTTTGATATGAGTCTGCAAGCAATTGATTTATTATGGTCTCTGCACAGTGAAACCTCTCTGCTAATGTTAATCTGTATTTGCAATTGCTCCCCCATGCTAGCATCACCACCTCAGCTCCACCTCAGATCATCAGGCATTAGATTCTCATAAGGAGCACACAAGCTCGACCCCTTGAATGTGCAGTTCACAAAAGAATTCGCACTCGGATTAGAATCTAATGCCACTGCTGATCTTACAGGAGGTAGAGCTCAGGCAGTAATGTGAGCAATGAGGAGTGGCTATAAATACAGATGCAGCTTTGCTTGCTCAACCGCCACTCACCTCCTACTGTGTGGCCTGGTTCCTAACAGGGGTTGGGGACCTCTGTTTTAGAAGGCTTGGTTGAGTTGCCCAAAATAAAGAGTGATCCCTAATCATTCATTAAATCTAACTTTAGAGCATACTTTATTGATATCATGACTGCAGTTGTTGGTGGTGATATTATAAAACCATGGTAATACAATTCCGTAGGACCCATAGCATGTAAAATCTGGAGTTAACTTTAATGATCACCTAATCTCACCCTTTAATTATATTACAAATGAAATTATTGAGATACAAAAAAATAAAGCCTCTAGTTCTTGGCAGATTTGGGTTTGAACGTGGGACTTCTGTCCTTAAGTCTTTCTTTATTAAATTTTCTCATTTGTAAATCATGACTACTCATAACATAAGCCCACCAAAACTCTAGGAAAGTATGATATTAACTGAAGCTTTGTTGTATATATATATATCATACATATAGAAGTGTGTATGTGAATATGCTTAGTCCACGCTGTAGATAGGATAAAGCAATACTTAAGAGGGGAAATATATCCAATCATAACTAAATTGCTATAGTTCATTGGCTCTAAGATGCTATCAATTACATTAGTAACTGTTACTTTATTTACCACACTAAGAAAGAAAAAACAACTGCCAATTAAATGAGGATACCAATTATAGGATGTGCCCCAATTTTAGAAATTTTAAAATGTAAAATAATGTCATCTTGAGAACTAAAGTATAGTGTAAAGTAATATGTTTATACTACTCATTTTTGCTAAAATAACTTGTTTAATATTACTAATGTCTCCATACTTACACCACATTCATCATGGGTAAAGGCAAGTGAAGTATACAAGCACAAATATTTTCATGTAGTTCATATATACAGGAAAAAGTTATAGTTTTTTGGAATCAAATTATGTCAGGATGCTTTTGGAAACCAGGCTCAAGCCAACATTTAAAATAAAGAGAGTTTATTGCCTCACTGACTACAAAATTCACAGTATCATCCCTGTACTGATTCCTATTTTCTGTGTCCTTTCACCTCTGCCACCTCCACGAACTCCTTGAACTCAGCCTAGCTTCCCCTGAAGCAATCAGATGCTGGAGCAGTTCCAGGGCTCACATCTGCTCTCCACACCACACAGAACTAAGGGAGCCACCCATCCTAACTTTCTTAGTCTGAAGCCCAGAGTTCATGCTGATAGACCAGCTTCAGTCACAAGCAGTTTGGTGAAGTCATTAGGAGCACAGATTCCAGAGCCAGACTGCCTGAGTTAGGATCCATCCCAGCTCACTATTTACCAGCTCTATGCCTTAGAGCAGCAAAAAGGGGATTATAATAGCACCTACCCTGAAGGGTTGTTGTGAGGACCAAATGGGCTAATGTAGTGCTTAGAATAGCACCTAGCACTTACTAATTAGAAAGTGCTATGAAAGTGATCATGATGATGATGATAATGATGCCCATTCCTAAAGTAATCACCATGGCTAGAGGGCAACTATGCTGAATGGCTTAGCCTAGATCAAAACACTCTTCGAATGCAGTAGGCAAAATTGGCTTCTCTGGAACAACATGGGTCCCCAAATAGGAGCCACTGAGAATAACTTGGCAACTGAGGCATAGAAAGCAGGCAGGGGCAACCAGCAAATGTTCACTACACAAATCACAGTTAAAGTATGCAAGGTTGTTTGACAAATCATAGTCTAAAATGAAGACCATGTGTTCAAGGTAAATAATCATTCTATGCTTTATATCTTTTACAAATACCTATTTTCAAATATCAAGTTTCCATGTTCTATCAATTACGCATTTCACAAATGCTACCCAGGCTCCCCCTTTTGCTCACATACTTTCTTTCATTTTACACCTCAGTCAGTATTCATTGACTGTTGCTGTGTGCCAGGCATAGCAGTTAGCAAACTGGTCTCTACCTTCAAGGAGCTTACAGTCTTATAGAATGATAGTTCTTGGCAAGTATTGATCTTGCTTTAGCTAGATCACTATTATATAAAATAAAAGTATAGATGGTCAAATAGAAAGAGTTCTGGTAGCAGCTCCCAGCGAGACCAATGCAGAAGGCAGGTGATTTCTGCATTTCCAACTGAGGTACCTGGGTCATCTCATTGGGACTGGTTAGACAGTGGGTGAAGCCCACAGAGGGTGAGCAGAAGCAGGCTGGGGCGTCACCTCACTCGGGAACTTCAAGGGGCTGGGGACCTCCCTCCCCTAGCCAGGGAAGCCATAAGGGACTATGTTATCTAGCCCAGATACTACGCTTTTCCCATGGTTTTTGCAACCCGAAGACCAGGAGATTCCCTCGTGTGCATACACCACCAGGGCCCTGGAGTGTTTCAAGAACAAAACTGAGCAGCTGTTTGGGCAGACACTGAGCCAGCTGCAGGTTTTTTCTTTCACACCCCAGTGGCACCTGGAACCTCAGGAAGACAGAACCGTTCACTCCCCTGGAAAGGGGGCTAAAGCCAGGGAGTCAAGTGATCTTGCTCAGTGGGTACCACCCCCATGGAACCCAGCAAGCTAAGATCCACTGGCTTGAAATTCTCACTGCTAGCACAGCAGTCTGAAGCTTGGTTGGGTGAGGGGTGTCTGCCATTACTGAGGCTTGTGTAGGCTGTTTTCCCCTCACAGTGTAAACAAAGCTGCCAGGAAGTTCAGCAGCTGTGGCCAGACTTCCTCTCTAGATTCCTCCTTACTGGGCAGGGTATCTCTGAAAGAAAGGCAGCAACCCCAGTCAGGGGCTTATAGATAAAACTCCCTTCTCCCTGAGACAAAGTACCTGGGGGAAGCGGTGGATGTGGGCAGAGCTTCAGCACGCTTAAACATTCCTGCCTGTGGGCTCTGAAGAGAGCAGTGGATCTCCAGGCACAGTGCTCGAGCTCCACTAAGGGACAGGCTGCCTGCTCAAGTGGGTCCCTGACCCCCTTGCCTCCTGACTGGGAGACACTTCCCAGCACGGTTAGACAGACACCTCATACAGAAGAACTCCAGCTGGCATCTGGCAGGTGCCCCTCTGGGACGAAGCTTCCAAAGGAAGGAACAGGCAGAAACTGCTGCTGTTCTGCAGCCTCTGTTGGTGATAACCATGCAAACAGGGTCTGAAGTGGACCTCCAGCAAGCTCCAGCAGACCTGCAGCAGAGGGCCCTGTTAGAAGGAAAACTAACAGAAAGCAATAACATCAACATCAACAAAAAGGGTGCCCATACAAAAACCCCATCCAAAGGTCATCAGCAACAAAAACAAAAGGTAGATATATCCACAAAGATGAGGAAAAACCAGCACAAAAATGCTGAAAATTCCAAAAACCAGACTGCCTTTTCTCCTCCAAAGGATCACAACTCTTTGCCAGCAAGGGTACAAAACTGGACAGAGAATGAGTTTGACAAGTTGACAGAAGTAGGCTTCAGAAGGTGGGTAATAACAAACTCCTCTGAGCTAAAGGAGTATGTTCTAACCCAATGCAAGGAAGCTAAGAACCTTCATCAAAGGTTACAGGAACTGCTAACAAGAATAAGCAGTTTAGAGAAGAACATAAATGACCTGATAGAGTTGAAAACACAGCACAAGAACTTCATAAAGCATACACAAATATCAATAGCTGAATCAATCAAGCAAAAGAAAGGATATCAGAGATTGAAGATCAACTTAATGAAATAAAGTGTGAAGACAATATTAGAGAAAAAAAGAATGAAAAGGAATGAACAAATCCTCTAAGAAATATGGGATTATGTGAAAAGAACAAATCTATGTTTGATTGGTGTACCTGAAAGTGATGGGGAGAATGGAACCAAGTTGGAAATCGCACTTCGGGATATTACCCAGGAGAGCTTCCCCAACCTAGCAAGATAGGCCAACATTCAAATTCAGGAAATACAGGGAACACCACTAGTTACTCCTGAAGAAAAGCAACCCCAAGACACATAATCGCCAGATTCACCAAGGTTGAAATGAAGGAAAAAATGTTAAGGGCAGCCAGAGAGAAAGGTCAGGTTACCTACAAAGGGAAGCCCATCAAACTAACAGCAGATCTCTCTGCAGAAAACCTACAAGCCAGAAGAGAGTGGGGGCCAATATTCAACTTTGTTAAGGAAAAGAATTTTCAACCCAGAATTTCATATATAGCCAAACTAAGCTTCATAAGCAAAGGAGAAATTCATAAGCAAAGGAGAAATAAAATCCTTTACAAACAAGCAAATGCTGAGGGATTTTGTCACCGCCATGAATGACTTACAAGAGCTCTTGAAGGAAGCACTAAATATGGAAAGGTAAAACCAGTACCAGCCAGTGTAAAAACATACCAAAATATAAAGATCAACAACACATGAAGAAACTGTATCAACTAATGAGCAAAATAGCCTGCTAGCATCATGATGACAGGATCAAATTCACAAATAACAATATTAACCTTAAATGTAAATGGGCTAAAAGCCACAATTAAAAGACACGGACTGGCAAATTCAATAAAGAGTCAAGACCCACTGATGTGCTATATTCAGGAGACCCATCTCACATGCAAAGATACACATAGGCTCAAAATAAAGGGATGGAGAAATGTTTACAAAGCAAATGGAAAGCAAAAAAAAAAAAAAAAAAAAAGCAGGGGTTGCAATGGTAGTCTCTGATAAAACAGACTTTAAACCAACAAAGATCAAAAAAGACACAGAAGGGCATTACATAATGGTAAAGGGATCAATTCAACAAGAAGAGCTAACTATCCTAAATATATACGCACCCAATACAGGAACACCCAGATTCATAATACAAGTTCTTAGAGACCTACGAAGAGACTGAGACTCCTACATAAGAATAGTGAGAGATTTTAACACCCCACTGTCAATATTAGACAGATCAACAAGACAGAAAATTAACATGGATATTCAGGATATGAACTCAGCTCTGGACCAAGCAGACCTAACAGACATCTACAGAACTCTACACCCCAAATCAACAGAATATACATTCTTCTCAGCACCACATGGCACTTATTCTAAAATGGACCACATAATTGGAAGTAAAACACTCCTCAGCAAATGCAAAAGAACAGAAGTCATAACAAACAGTCTCTCAGTCCACAGTGCAATCAAATTAGAACTCAGAATTAAGAAACTCACTCAAAACTGCAAAACTATATGGAAACTGAACAGCCTGCTCCTGAATGACTACTGGGTAAATAATGAAATTAAGGCAGAAATAAATAAGTTCTTTAAACCAATGACAACAAAGACACAATGTACCACAATCTCAGGACACAGCTAAAGCAGTGTTTAGAGGGAAATTTGTAGCACTAAATGCCCACATCAGAAAGTGGGAAAGATTTAAAATCGATACCCTAAATTCACAATTAAAAGAACTAGAGAGGCAAGAGCAAACAAATTCAAAAGCTAGCAGAAGACAAGGAATAACAAAGATCAGAGCAGAACTGAAGGAGATAGAGACAAAAAAAAACAACCCTTCAAAAAATCAATAAATCCAGGAACTGGTTTTTTTAAAGATTAACGAAATAGGTAGACCAGTAGCCAGACTAATAAAGAATAAAAGAAAGAAGAATCAAACAGACACAATAAAAAATTGTAAAGGGGATATCTCCATTGATCCCACAGAAATACAAATTACCATCAGAGAATACTGTAAACAACTCTACACAAACTAGAAAATCCAGAAGAAATTCATAAATTCCTGGATACATACACCCTCCCAAGTCTAAACCAGGAAGAGGTTGAATCCCTGAATAGACCAATAACAAGTTCTGAAATTGAGGCAGTAAGTAATAGCCTACCAAACAAAAAAGCCTCAGGACAAGATGGATTCACAGCTGAATTCTGCCAGAGATACAAAGAGGAGCTGGTACCATTCCTTCTGAAACTATTCCAATCAATAGAAAAAGAGGGACTCCTCCCTAACTCATTTTATGAGGCCAGCATCATCCTGATACCAAAGCCTGGCACAGACACAACAAAAAAAGAAAATTTCAGGCCAATATCCCTGATGAACATTGATGCAAAAATCCTCAATAAAATACTGGCAAACCAAATCCAGCAGCACATCAAAAAGCTTATCCACCACGATCAAGTCGGCTTCATCCCTGGGATGCAAGGCTGGTTCAACACACACAAATCAATAAATGTAATCTATCACATAAACAGAACCAATGACAAAAACCACATGATTATCCCAATAGATGTATAAAAGGCCTTCAATAAAATTCAACACCCCTTCATGCTAAAAACACTCAATAAGCTACGTATTGATGGAACATATCTCAAAATAATAAGAGCTATTTATGACAAACCCATAGCCAATATCATACTGAATGAGCAAAAGCTGGAAGCATTCTCTTTGAAAACTGGCACAAGACAAGGATTCCCTCTCTCTCCACTGCTATTCAACATAGTATTGGAAGTTCTGGCCAGGACAATCAGGCAGAGAAAGAGAAAGAAATAAAGGGTATTCAAATAGGCAGAGAGGAAGTCAAATTGTCTGTGTTTGCAGATGACATGATTGTACATTTAGAAAACCACATCGTCTCACCCCAAAAACTCCTTAAGCCGATAAGCATAATCAGCAAAGTCTCAGTATACAAAATGAATGGGCAAAAATCACAAGCATTCCTATACACCAATAATAGGCAAACAGAAAGCCAAGAATGAGTTAACTCCCATTCACTATTGCTACAAAGAGAATAAAACACCTAGGAATACAACTTAGAAGGGACATGAAGGACCTCTTCAAGAAGAACTACAAACCACTGCTCAAGGAAATAAGAGAGGACATAAACAAATGAAAAAAAAAAATCCATGTTCCTGGATAGGAAGAATCAATATTGTGAAAATGTCCATACTGCCCAAAGTAATTGATAAATTCAATGCTATTCCCATCAAGCTACCATAGACTTTCTTCACAGAATTAGAAAAAGCTACTTTAAATTTCCTATAGAACCAAAAAAGAGCCCATATAGCCAAGACAATTCTAAGCATAAAGAACAAAGCTGGAGGCATCATGCTACCTGACTTCAAACTATACTACAAGGCTACAGTAAACAAAACAGCATGGTGCTGGTACCAAAACAGATATATAGACCAATGGAACAGAACAGAGGCCTCAGAAATAACACCTCACATCTACAACCATCTGATCTTTGACAAACCTGACAAAAACAAGCAATGGGCAAAGGATTCCCTATTTAATAAGTAGTGTTGGGAAAACTGGCTAGCCATATGCAGAAAACTGAAACTAGACCCTTTCCTTACACCTTATACAAAAATTAACTCAAGATGGATTAAATATTTCAACATAAGACCTAAAACCATAAAAGCCTTAGAAGAAAACCTAGGCAATACCATTCAGGACATAGGCAGGGGCAAACACTTCATAGCTGAAACACCAAAAGCAATGGCAACAAAAGCCAAAATTGACAAATGGGATCTAACTAAACTAACACAGCTTCTGCACAGCAAAAGAAACTATCATCAGAATGAACAGGCAACCTACAGAATGGGAGAAAATTTTTGCAATCTATCCACCTGACAAAGGTCCAATATCCAGAATCTACAAGAAACTTAAACAAATTTATGAAAAAAAAAAAAACCCTTCAAAAAGTGGGCAAAGGATATGAACAGACACTCCTCAAAAGAAGAAATTTATGCGGCCAACAGACATAGGAAAAAAATATCATCATCACTGGTCATTAGAGAAATGCAAATCAAAACCACAATGAGATACCATCTCATGCCAATTAGAATGGCGATCATTAAAAAGTCAGGAAACAACAGATGCTGGAGAGGATGTGGAGAAATAGGAAAGTTTTTACACTGTTGGTGGGAGTGTAAATTATTTCAACCATTGTGGAAGACGGTGTGGCAATTCCTCAAGGATCTAGAACCAGAAATACCATTTGACCCAGCAATCCCATAACTGGGTATATACCCAATGGATTATAAATCATTCTGCTATAAAGAGACATGCACAGGTATGTTTATTGCAGCACTATTTATAATAACAAAGACTTGGAACCAACCCAAGTGCCCATAAATGATAGACCAAAGAAACTGTGGCATACATACACCATGGAATACTATGCAGCCATAAAAAATAATGAGTTCAGGTCCTTTTTGGGGACATGGATGAAGCTGGAAACCATCATTATCAGCAAACTAACACAGGAACAGAAAACCAAACACCACATGTTCTCACTCAGTGGGAGTTGAACAATGAGAAGACATGGACACAAGGAGGGGAACATCACACACTGCAGCCTGCTGGGGGTTGGGAGGCAAGGGGAGGGATAGCATTAGGAGAACTACATAATGCATGTGGGGCTTAAAACCTAGATGAAGGGTTGATGAGTACAGCAAACCACCATGGCACATATATACCTATGTAACAAACCTGCAAGTTCTGCACATGTATCCCAGAACTTAAAGTATTTTAAAAAATAATAAAATAAAAGTGCAAATAGGACCCTAGAAAGTCAATATGTAAATTTTTCCTTGTTGAGTAAATTGTTTTGTGACTATATGGTATTGTAATTTCTAAATGTATTTTGTGTGTCTGTCTCCCCTATTGGACTGTGAGCTGCTTGAGGGCACAGGCTACTCCCTATTCAGCTATCTGTCTGTAACACCTAACATACTGCCTGGCTCATGGTAGATACTCACAGATTTTAATTAATTAATTAAACTAACAGTTTAGACCAAATGCCAAAATTATGTAGTATTCATGGCTTGAGTGTGTAAAGGTGAGGAAGGACAATATCTGATTGCTTATCTAAAATATTCTCCTGGTTTTGCCATTTATGATAACTTGAGGTTAAGTTTACCTCCTCATTATCTATGTTTCAAAGCAAAATTTGGCCTATATTCTGACTTTGAAACTAAACCCCAATTTTTAGCTGGACATATTTCTCAGATTCCCTTGCAAGTAAGGATGGCTATATGACTCAGGTGTGGCCAATGAAATGTAAATGTGAAGTATTAAATGGCACTTTCTGAGTCTTTAAAAGTCTTCCTAAACATCTTTAACAAGAGAAAAGGAGAAATGCATCTCTGTGCTCCTTCCTGGTCCTGCAATTTGAATGTGATGGCTGGAGTGCAAAGAACCTCTTCAAGACAAGGCAGAACAAGAAAGAAGCCTGCACCCAAGCATGGAAGCCCTACACCAGCCTTGGGCAGCCTATCTCAGGGCTTATTCATGAGGAAAAAAGAAAGAAACTTTCACCTTGTTTAAATCTCTGTTGTTTGTTTTTTGGGCTTTGGGGTTGTGTCGTTGTTGTTGTTAAAAACTGCTAAAAATAATCCTCATTGAAACCCACATTATTTAATTAATAGTGTAAAATAGAAAGGAACCAAATTGACAACCTACATATCTTTTTTTTAAAGGACCGCTTGGTTCTGTGGAATTATATGCTGTTCCTTAGAAATACATTTTCTCCATTGAATAAAAATACTTAACTTCATCTCCCTTGTCTGGACACCAGGGCTTCAAACATGTTAAATTAATTCACTAAGAATAAGGTCTCAGAGTTTTGCTAAATAAATCCTTCCAAAGACACCACAAACTACCCATCCTTAACCCACTTTCAATTTCAGCCTTGGGAAACCCATTTCAAAATCACACTCTCTTTGGCAGACTCTGAAAAAATTTGAGGAGGCAAGACACTAGAAAGACATTGTCGAGGAAGGCTTTTCATAATCTCATTATTTTCTCCCTCTGGAGATTCACCGCTATGAAAAATGTGATTTTCTTGGTTCCTGTATAGGAATGCCACCTGAAACACACACACACCCATCTCCCCAGAGCCACTGTCTCACTTCTGGACCACTAGATCTACATAAGCAACATACTTCACTAGTCAAACTTCACACATCTGCTGTCTCAAGCAGTGAGCCTCAGAATGTCTATAGCCTCAGAATGTCTATTGAGCCTAAGTTGAAACTCAATATAGCCTAAGTTGAAACTCAGTTGTGTTGAGATTTAAATACCAAGTTCAATAATGAGAGACAGGACTAGCTGGATTTCCTAGGCTGACTAAGAATCCCTAAGCCTAGCTGGGAAGGTGACCACTTCCACCTTTAAACACGGGGCTTGCAACTTAGCTCACACCCAACCAGATAGTAAGGAGAACTCACTAAAATTCTAATTAGGCAAAAACAGGAGGTAAAGAAATAGCCAATCATCTGTTGCCTGAGAGCATGGTGGGAGGGACAATGATCGGGATATAAACCCAAGCATTCGAGCCAGCAATGGCAACCCCCTTTGGGTCCCCTCCCTTTGTATGGGAGCTCTGTTTTCACTCTATTTCACTCTATTAAATCTTGCAACTGCACTCTTCTAGTCCATGTTTGTTACGTCTCGAGCTGAGCTTTTGCTTGCCGTCCACCACTGCTGTTTGCCACCGTCGCAGACCCGCCGCTGACTTCCATCCATCCAGAGGATCCAGCAGGGTGTCTGCTGTGCTCCTGATCCAGCGAGGCGCCCATTGCCACTTCCAATTGGGCTAAAGGCTT
The DNA here is from genome assembly GCF_000001405.40 of Homo sapiens. Classification (NCBI taxonomy): domain Eukaryota; kingdom Metazoa; phylum Chordata; class Mammalia; order Primates; family Hominidae; genus Homo; species Homo sapiens. The sequence continues at coordinate 112,444,205 of NC_000005.10, forward strand.
GCCATTGTTCCTGCATGGCTAAGTGCCTGGGTTCATCCTAATCGAGCTGAACACTAGTCACTGGGTTCCACGGTTCTCTTCCATGACCCACAGCTTCTAATAGAGCTATAACACTCACCGCATGGCCCAAGATTCCATTCCTTGGAATCCATGAGGCCAAGAACCCCAGGTCAGAAAACACAAGGCTTGCCACCATTTTGGAAGTGGCTCACCACCATCTTGGGAGCTCTGGGAGCAAGGACCCCCAGGTAACATTTTGGCGACCACAAAGGGACATCCAATGTGGTGAGAAATATTAGACCACTTTTGCTTGCTATTCTGTCCTATCCTTCCTTAGAATTGGAGGAAAATACCAGGCACCTGTCAGCCAGTTAAAAATGATTAGTGTGGCCACCAGACTTAAGACTCAGGTGTGAGCCTATCTGGGGAAGGGCTTTCTAACAACCCCCAACCCTTCTGGGTTGGGGACATTGGTCTGCCTGGAGCCAGCTGCCACTTTCAATTTTCTTGGGGAAGCCAAGGGCTGACTACAGGCAGAAAGCTGTCATCCCAAACTCCTGGCAGTAGCCGGATGAGATCATGGTACAGCCAGAAGTCTCTACTCAACAGTCGCCCATGCATGCGCCCCTACCTTTCCTTCTGACCCATACCTCCTGGGTCCCAACCATGACTTTCTTGAAAGTGTAGCCCCAAAATTATCCTTACCTCTGAATCTACTTCCTCTGATCCCTGCCTCCTAGGTACTAATGGTTCAGACTTTCATTTCCTCTAGCAAGTTGTATCTCCAAAGGGATCTAAGGAAGCTACGCTGTGTCCTTAGGCACCCAGGCTATAACCCAGGGAGTTTTATCCCTGGAGTCCCTCCCGATTTAGGTATACAGCTCTCAACATGGGCAGTTATGGGGGACCCGTTCCCCACCACCCTTGCCAGGGCCCCAAGCTTGTAATGGCTAAGAGAGAGACGCGGAGGGAGAGGGAGAGAGAGAGAGAGAGAGAGAGAGAGATGGAGAGAGAGAGAGACAGAGAGAGAGACAGACAGAGAGGTAAAGAGGGAGTGAAAGAGTAAAAGATAAAAATAGTAAAAAAAACAGTGTGCCCTATTCCTTTAAAAGCCAGGGTAAATTTAAAACCTATAATTGATAATTGAAGGTCTTCTCCATGACCCTATAACACTCCAATGCCACTTTGTTGTCAGTGTAAATCAGGGCGTAGCCCAAAAGCACTGAGGCCACTGACAACCCATAGCCTTCCTATCAAAAATCCTTAACCAGTTACCCGCGGATGGGCCAAATGCATTCAGTCGGTAGCAGCAACTGCTTTGCTAAAAGTGGAAAAGTACTTTTAGAGGAAACCTCATTGTGAGTACACCTCACGAGTTCAGAATTATTCTAAGTCAAAAAAGCAAAAAGGTAGCTTACTAACTCAAAAATCTTAAAGTATGGGGCTACTATGTTAGAAAAAGGCAATGTAACTCCAACCACTGATAATTCCCTTAACCCAGCAGATTTCCTAACAGGTGATTTAAATCTTAATTACCATACAAAGGTCCAACCAGACCTAGGAGGAACTGCCTTCAGGACAGGACGATAGATGGTGATTGAGGAAAAAAACCACAATTGGTATTCAGTAATTCATGCGGAGACTTGTGGAAGCAGAGTTACAAAAATTGCCTAATAATTGGTCTCCTCAAACGTGTGAGCTGTTTGCACTCAGCCAAGTCTTAAAGTACTTACAAAATCAAAAGACTATCTCAATCCTGACTCAAAAGATTTGCTACACCTTCTCTGAAATGAATTTGCATAAGAACTGTTGTTTATGGGAATGCCTCTTGAAGGGGCAGCTGGCTTGTTATGAAATACTCAGGAACCCATCCCAGCTCTAGGACTTACCCCTGAGCACAAAGGCAATGTTGGGCATGCTGGTAAAGGACCACTGGAATCCAGCAGCCCAAACCCCTTTCTTTGTGGTTAAGAAAGGCAGGAAAACAGATGCAGGATTGCTACATTGGTGAGTGTAACTAATCCGATAAGCAGAGGTCCATGGGTGGTTACGCACCCTGGAAAGGAATAAGCATTACGACCATACAGGATGCTCTAGAAAATGCTCACTGGAAAATGACTAGGGGTACTGGCATCCCTATGTTCTTTTTTCAGACAGAAAACATTCCCCCCAAGGCAAAAACACCCCTAAGATGTATTCTGGAGAATTAGGACCAATTTGACCCTTAGACGCTAAGAAAGTAATGACTTACATTCTTCTGCAATACCGCCTGGCCATGATATCCTCTTCAAGGAGGAGAAAGCTGGCCTCCTGAGGGAGGTATAAATTATAACACCATCTTACAGCTAGACCCCTTTTGTAGAAAAGAAGGCAAGTGGAGTGAAGTGCCATATGTACAAACTTTCTTTTCATTAAGAGACAACTTGCAATTATGTAAAAAGTGTGATTTATGCCCTACAGGAAGCCCCCAGAGTCTACCTCCCTACCCCAGCATCCCCCTGATTCCTTCCCCAACTAATAAGAACCCCCCCTTCAACCCAAACAGCCCAAAAGGAGGTAGACAAAGGGGTAAACAATGAACCAAAGAGTGCCAATATTCCCCAATTATGCCCCCTCCAAGCAGTGGGAGGAGGAGAATTCGGCCCAGCCAGAGTGCATGTACCTTTTTCTCTCTCAGACTTAAAGCAAATTAAAATAGACCTAGATAAATTCTCAGATAACCCTGATGGCTATATTAATGTTTTACAAGGGTTAGGACAATCCTTTGATCTGACATGGAGAGTCATAATGCTACTGCTAAATCAGACACTAACCCCAAATGAAAAAAGTACTGCCACAACTGCAGCCTGAGAGTTTGGTGATTTCTGGTAGCTCAGTCAGGTCAATGAGAGGATGACAACAGAAGAAAGAGAATGATTCCCCACAGGCCAGCAGGCAGTTCCCAGTGTAGACTCTCACTGGGACACAGAATCAGAACATGGAGATTGGTGCCGCAGACATTTGCTAACTTGCGTGCTAGAAGGACTAAGGAAAACTAGGAAGAAGCCTGTGAATTATTCAACGATGTCCACTATAGCACAGGGAAAGGAAGAAAATCCTACTGCCTTTCTGGAGAGACTAAGGGAGGCACTGAGGAAGCATACCTCCCTGTCACATGACTCTATTGAAGGCCAACTAATCTTAAAGGATAAGTTTATCAGTCAGCTGCAGACATTAGGAAAAAACTTCAATAGTCTGCCTTAGGCCCAGAGCAAAACTTAGAAACCCTACTGAACTTGGCAAACTCGGTTTTTTATAATAGAGGTCAAGAGGAGCAGGCGGAACGGGACAAACGGGACTAAAAAAAAGGCCACCGCTTTAGTCATGGCCCTCAGGCAAGCGGACTTTGGAGGCTCTGGAAAAGGGAAATGCTGGGCAAATCAAATGCCTAATAGGGCTTGCTTCCAGTGCGGTCTGCAAGGACACTTTAAAAAAGATTGTCCAAGTAGAAGTAAGGTACCCCCTTGTCCATACCCCTTATGTCAAGGGAATCACTGAAAGGCCCACTGCCCCAGGGGACAAAGGTCCTCTGAGTCAGAAGCCACTAACCAGATGATCCAGCAGCAGGACTGAGGGTGCCCAGGGCAAGCACCAGCCCATGCCGTCACCCTCACAGAGCCCCAGGTATGCTTGACCATTGAGGGCCAGGAGGTTAACTGTCTCCTGGACACTGGTGCGGCCTTCTCAGTCTTACTCTCCTGTCCCGGACAACTGTCTTCCAGATCTGTCACTGTCTGAGGGGTCCTAGGACAGTCAGTCACTAGATACTTCTCCCAGTCACTAAGTTGTGATGGGGGAGCTTTACTCTTTTCACATGCTTTTCTAATTATGCCTGAAAGCCCCACTCCCTTGTTAGGGAGAGAAATTCTAGCAAAAGCAGGGGCCATTATACACCTGAACATAGGAGAAGGAACACCACTTTGCTGTCCCCTGCTTGAGGAAGGAATTAATCCTGAATTCTGGGCAACAGAAGGACAATATGGATGAGCAAAGAATGCCCATCCTGTCGAAGTTAAACTAAAGGATTCCGCCTCCTTTCCCTACCAAAGGCAGTACCTCCTTAGACCTGAGGCCCAACAAGGACTCCAAAAGATTGTTAAGGACCTAAAAGCCCAAGGCCTAGTAAAACCACACAATAGCCTCTGCAATACTCCAATTTTAAAAGTACAGAAACCCAACGGACAGTGGAGGTTAGTGCAAGATCTCAGGATTATCAATGAGGCTGTTGTTCCTCTATACCCAGCTGTACCTAGTCCTTATACTCTGCTTTCCCAAATACCAGAGGAAGCAGAGTGATTTACAGTCCTGTACCTTAAGGATGCCTTCTTCTGCATCCCTGTACATCCTGACTCTCAATTCTTGTTTGCCTTTGAAGATCCTTCAAACCCAACGTCTCAAATCACCTGGACTGTTACCCCAAGGGTTCAGGGATAGTCCCCATCTATTTGGCCAGGCATTAGCCCAAGACTTGAGCCCATTCTCATACCTGGACACCCTTGTCCTTCGGTATGTGGATGATTTACTTTTAGCTGCCCGTTCAGAAACCTTGTGCCATCAAGCCACCCAAGCGCTCTTAAATTTCCTCACTACCTGTGGCTACAAGGTTTCCAAACCAAAGGCTCGGCTCTGCTCACAGCAGGTTAAATACTTAGGGCTAAAATTATCCAAAGGCACCACAGCCCTCAGTGAGATGTATCCAGCCTATACTGGCTTATCCTCACCCCAAAACCCTAAAGCAACTAAGACGGTTCCTTGGCATAACAGGTTTCTGCCGAATATGGATTTCCAGGTACAGTGAAATAGCCAGACCATTATATACACTAATTAAGGAAACTCAGAAAGCCAATATCCATTTAGTAAGATGGATACCTGAAACAGAAGCAGCTTTCCAGGCCCTAAAGAAGGCCCTAACCAAGCCCCAGTGTTAAGCTTGCCAATGGGGCAAGACTTTTCTTTATATGTCACACACAAAAAAACAGGAATAGCTCTAAGAGTCCTTACACAGGTCCAAGAGATGAGTTTGCAACCCGTGGCATACCTGAGTAAGGAAACTGATGCAGTGGCAAAGGGTTGGCCTCATTGTTTACAGGTAGTGACGGCAGTAACAGTCTTAGTATCTGAAGCAGTTAAAATAATACAGGGAAGAGATTTTACTGTGTGGACATCTCATGATGTGAATGGCATACTCACTGCTAAAGGAGACTTGTGGCCGTCAGACAAAAGTTTACTTAAATATCAGGCTCTATTACTTGAAGGGCCAGTGCTGCAACTGCGCACTTGTGCAACTCTTAACCCAGGCACATTTCTTTCAGACAATGAAGAAAAGATAGAACATAAATGTCAACAAGTAATTGCTCAAACCTATTCCGCTTGAGGGGAGCTTTTAGAGGTTCCCTTGACTGATTCCGACTTCAACTTGTACACTGATGGCAGTTCCTTTGTAGAAAAAGGACTTTGAAAAGCGGGGTATGCAGTAGTCAGTGATAATGGAACACTTGAAAGTATTCCTCTCACTCCAGGAACTACTGCTCAGCTGGCAAAACTCACTCGGGCCCTAGAATTAGGAGAAGGAAAAAGGGTAAATATATATACAGAATCTAAGTATGCTTACCTAGTCCTCCATGCCCATGCAGCAATATGGAGAGAAAGGGAATTCCTAACTTCTGAGGGAACACCTATCAAACATCAGGAAGCCATTAGGGAATTATTATTGGCTGTACAGAAACCTAAAGAGGTGGCAGTCTTACACTGCCAGGGTCATCAGAAAGGAAAGGAAAGGGAAATAGAAAGGAACTGCCAAGCGGATATTGAAGCCAAAATAGCCACAAGGCAGGACCCTCCATTAGAAATGCTTATAGAAGGGGACTCCTAGTATGGGGTAATCCCCTCCAGGAAACCAAGCCCCAGTACCCAGAAGAAGAAATAGAACAGGGAACCTCACGAGGACATAGTTTCCTCCCCTCAGGATGGCAAGCCACCGAAGAAGGAAAAATACTTTTGCCTGCAGCTAACCAATGGAAATTACTTAAAACCCTTCACCAAACCTTTCACTTAGGCATTGATAGCACCCATCAGATGGCTAAATTATTATTTACTGGACCAGGCCTTTTCAAAACTATCAAGCAGATAGTCGGGGCCTGTAAAGTGTGCCAAAGAAATAATTCCCTTCACTGCAGGCCATACATTTCAATCCCTGCATCTTTAACCTCCTTGTTAAGTTTGTCTCTTCCAGAATCGAAGCTGTAAAACTACAAATTGTTCTTCAAATGGAGCCCCAGATGCAGTCCATGACTAAGATCTACTGCGGATCCCTGGACTGGCCTGCTAGCCCATGCTCCAATGTTAATGACATCGAAGGCACCCCTCCCTAGGAAATCTCAACTGCACGACCCCTGCTGCGCCCCAATTCAGCAGGAAGCAGTTAGAGCAGTTGTTGGCCAACCTCCTCAACAGCACTTGGGTTTTCCTGTTGAGAGGGGGTACTGAGAGACAGGACTAGCTGGATTTCCTAGGCTGACTAAGAATCCCTAAGCCTAGCTGGGAAGGTGACCACTTCCACCTTTAAACATGGGGCTTGCAACTTAGCTCACACCCAACCAATCAGATAGTAAGAAGAACTCACTAAAATGCTAATTAGGCAAAAACAGGAGGTAAAGAAATAGCCAATCATCTGTTGCCTGAGAGCACGGTGGGAGGGACAATGATTGGGATATAAACCCAGGCATTCGAGCCAGCAATGGCAACCCTCTTTGGGTCCGTTCCCTTTGTATGGGAGCTCTATTTTCACTCTATTTCACTGTTAAATCTTGCAACTGCACTCTTCTAGTCTGTGTTTGTTACGACTTGAGCTGTCCACCACTGCTATTTGCCACTGTCGCAGACCCACCGCTGACTTCCATCCCTCCAGATCTGGCAGGGTGTCTGCTATGCTCCCAATCCAGCCAGGCACCCATTGCCACTTCAGATCGGGCTAAAGGCTTGCCATTGTTCCTGCATGGCTAAATTCCTGGGTTCATCCTAATCCAGCTGAACATTAGTCACTGGGTTCCATGGTTCTCTTCAGTGACTCACAGCTTCTAATAGAGCTATAACACTGACCGCATGGCCCAAGATTCCATTCCTTGGAATCCATGAGGCCAAGAACCCCAGGTCAGAGAACACGAGGCTTGCCACCATCTTGGAAGTGGCCCACTACCATCTTGGAATTGGCCCACCACCATCTTGGGAGCTCTGTGAGCAAGGACCCCCAGTAACAATAATTCAGATATAAACATGTAGTGATGGCAGACCACTGGTTTTGAGGCATCTCTCGCATTATATGAAGCAACCCTTGTAATCTGTTTTACAAGTTTGGGAATATGTTTTTCCGCCACTGCATACTTACATTTGGCATTTAGCAAATTGATACAAACAAGGACAAGCAATCAGAACGTCAGTTGTGGAAGGAAACTTCCGCACCTTCCTCTTAGCCTCCATTGTATCATATAGAAGCCTCATTGTCTTCTCAAACCACCTCCACTGTCCTGATTCTTAGTGGACACTCACTCTAGATTTTGGCAAGAAATTGGTCATTGCTCTCAGTCTTCTTTTTCTTTGTTAAATGTAATACTGTTTAACTTCAAAACATTTCAGCATTTTAAACATACAAAAAAAAACAGATAGTTGCAAATCATGTTTAAGTACAGAAAGTTATTGAGCCTTCATTGATGCAGCGGCTCTTCACTTTGCTGACGGTGAAGAGTTCTACAGTTTGTTTTAAAACAAAGTTTAAAAACTATTGCACTTAACTAAAAAAAAAAACACAACAACAAAAAAAATTTCTCATGCCAGTTGACTCCACTTTACCCACAGCTATGAATGGCAGCAGAATTCTGTACATGTCACTATATGCAGAAACAAGACAACTTGAAGCTAAATGGATGCCCACTGCAAAGTCAACAGGTCCAGCCTCACAGTGCATGCCCTGAGCTACCACCCCTCCAAAAGCCATCTTCCTCCTACAGCTTCAATGCCAAGCAAGGGGCATCAAGACTTTGTCTTGGTTGTTTTTCTCTGTTTACAAACTATAGACATATACAGTTGATAACTCAGGATTTCCAGCCAATAACCATATAGTTAATACCACCTTATGAATTTTTTTAAATGCCAGAAACATCTTTAAATGCCTTGTCACATCAACAGCAAAGTGCACACAGAACATCAGAATGTCTTTTCATTTTAAAAATGTTTGGACATATGTACAAGTTTAATACAGCTTCAGGGTGCTCCAGACACCCATGGCCACTTCACATAAATCACTGACAATTTCTAGATCACTTTGAGAGACTACAATATGGTTGCAATCAAATTTTGGAATGAAACTTAATGAGGGCAGTAGACACTTCTGAAATAAGAGATGTGTCAATTATGACACGCGCCTACTCTAAGGTATTCACAGGGAGACAGATAAACAGGTTTTTTTTATTCAGCTTCCTTCTCTTCTTCCTCCTCATTGTCTTTGCCTTCCTCTTCCACCTCTTTCTGGGCAACTTTAGCAGGACCCTCTGCACCATCAAACTTTCCTTTAGACCTGCAGTCAGAAACATCGTTCTCCCACTTCTCCTTCAGCTTTTCCACCTTAGAGATGTAAGGTTGGTCTTCACTGTCACTTGTTATTCCACATCTCACCCAGCATTTTTGCCATGTCTCCAATAGAGATGCCAGGGTTTGTGGATTTCATCTTGGGGCAGAATTCTGAACAGAACAGAACAGCCTCATGCTAGCTGCCTCCACGAGAGCTGCCTTCTCTGTTTTCTATGCCATAAGACCTTTTGGTTTTATGCCTTGATGAATTTTAGCGGGACCAGTGTTCTAAGCGAACACTATTCTTCCAAGACGTTTTGTGTTCTCCTAAAAAATAATCACAGATAGACTGTCTTCAAGGATGAGTAAGGCTTATGGGCAAAAAGTGGTATGGCCCTAGCACCGACTCTTCCTAGGTAATCTGCTCTTATGCAACAACGTGGAAATAGTTCATAGTCACAAGCCACTCCACTGCCTCTTTTTTTGAGACGGAGTCTCGCTCTGTCACCCAGGCTGGAGTGCAGTGAGGCAATCTCGGCTCACTGCAAGCTCAGCCTCCTGGGTTCATGCCATTCTCCTGCCTCAACCTCTGGAGTAGCTGGGACTACAGGCGCCCGCCACCACGCCCGACTATTTTTTTGTATTTTTAGTGGAGACGGGGTTTCACCATGTTGGCCAGGATGGTCTTGATCTCTTGACCTCGTGATCCACCTGCCTCAGCCTCCCAAAGTGCTGGGATTACAGGCGTGAGCCACCGCGCCCGGCCAACACATTTTTTCATTAGTGTATTATTGGCATGGCTATGCAGTACTTGGAGTGGAGTGATTATGGTTAAGAAAACTAAGTGTGCCCGGGAATTTGAGACAAGCCTGAGTAACACAGCAAGGCCCCACTCTAAAAAAGAAAAATAAAGAAATAAATAAAAGAAAACTAAGTGCATTCAAAAAGATGGTCTGTTCCCTGACAAAAGGCAGAGAGAAGAGCAGGTAGAATGAAGAAGGGTACACACTGTTCTTCACACCTGCAGTAGATTTTAGTTCTGTGTATTTATATTTTGATCAGGCTATTTTTCCAGCCATCACATAGCCTAAGGCACCATTGAAAATCACCCATGGCACATTTTATCTTGAATGGGGCCTTTCAGGTAGGTAAGAGATAATGAAGTAAATTGTTAAAATAGTTTTGTCAGTGTTATCACTTGATATTTCCTGATATTTCTGCTACTTTAATTAAAGCAGCAGTTCCTTGTCCCTCCCTCCACCGCATAGTACATTTGGAAATATCTAGAGAAATTTTGGTTTGTCACAGCTAGGAATTTGCTACTTATATCAAATGACTAGAGACACGGATGCTGCTTACCATACTACAATGCAGGAGACAGATCCAAAATTTCCGTAGTGCCATTAAAAAAAAAAAAACAAAAAACACTAAGTTAAAGAAATGTCTCCTATTTCATGTAATGTTGTATAATAATACTTACTGTTATATATAATATGCTAAAATTTTATGCTTTTCAAATTCTAAGAAAATTTAATGGCCTTATTTTAACCAACTTAAAATTTATTTTTACGTATTTAAAATTATTTTAACTTATAAATATAAATGCATTATTACATTTAATATGATTATTATAGATATATTATGTTTAACAGACTTTACTTTTTAGAGCAGTTTTAGGTTCACAGCAAAATTGGATAGAAGGTACAGATATTTCCCATGCTGCCCCTGCCCTACATACACACAGCCTCCCCATCAATATCCCCCACCAGAGTGGTACATTTGTTACAATTGATAAACCCACATGGACACATCATTATCAACCAAAGTCCATAGTTTACATTAAGGTTCACTCTTGGGTGTACATTTCATGGATATGGACAAATATATAATGAACATGAATTCATCATTATAACAACACACAATGTAGTTTCACCACCTTAAAAATCCTCTGTAATCCATCTATTCATTTCTCTCTTCCCCTTAACCCCTGGTAACCAGTGATGTTTTTACTGTCTCCATAGTTCTGGCTTTTCTAAATATCATATAGTTGGAATCATATAGTATACAGCCTTTTCAGACTGTCTGCTTTCACTTAGTACATAATATGTGTTTAAGTTTCCTCTGTGTTTTCTCATGGCTTGATAGTTCACTTCTTTTCAGCACTGAATATTTCCTTATCTGAGTGTACTTGTTGTATATTTTATTTTACAAATTATGTTTTCATCTACTCATATCCACTTAATTTGATTATATGTTGGATTCTAAAAGATGTTGAAAAATATTGAAATAAAATTTAATTTCAAAAAAATCTTAGATTTACCTTTTATGGCTTTATCTTACTATTTTTTTCCTCCTATTTTAGAGTCAATTCTTGATTGGACCTTAGGTTGTATAGGTTATAACTATGGTTATGAAACAATTTTATAATCTCAGGATATTTATAATTCATTAAGATTGTTATTCTCTTAGTTTTTAAATATAAATCTCTATTTCTATAGAAGAGAAAAAGAGTTACAGAGATAATTTGCAATGGGCATCAGAAATTTAAATTCTAGATGAGTTTTTCCCATCCAGTATTCCAAGTAACTAATCATTTAAATTTATCCTCTTAAACCACACATTGTTGCATTTAACGAAAATGAAATGAAATGATTATATTAGTTTTCAAACTAAAGGATTTTAAAATCTATGGACTTTGACCAAAACCTAATGGGCCAATAGACAGATTCTACCAAATCAGCTTAACATTTCAACTAATCTTTTCTTGTTATTGGCTTACTTCTATTTTATTTGTTGCTATATTTTTATTTAATTCTTTGAAAGCAAAGAGTCATTTTTCATCTTTTTTATGCAAGAAAGACCAGTGGAAGAAACTTAATTATAAGTTAAATCAGAACACTGCTTCACACATCTTAGGCGTGACAAGATACTTGTTTTACTGCTTATAAAAGGAGTCAATTCTCCATTATATGTAGTAACAATTAATGGCTAATTCAACATAGCAAAAAATTACAAAATTAATTTGTTTTTGAGTTTGAAATACATTATCTGATTTTTGTATTAAATACTTATTATTTAATATTTAGTCATGGACCAGGCACGGTGGCTCGTGTCTGTAATCCTAGCACTTTGGGAGGCCAAGTCAGGCGGATCACTTGAAGTCAGGAGTTTGAGACGTGCCTGGCCAACATGGTGATACCCCGTCTCTACTAAAAATACAAAAATTAGCCAGGCGTGGTGGTGCACACCTGTAATCCCTGCTGCTCCGGGGGCTGAGGCACAAGAATTGCTTGAACTCAGGAGGCAGAGGTTGCAGTAAGCTGAGATTGCACCACTGTACTCCAGCCTGGGCAAAAGAGTGATACTCTGTCTCAAAAATATATATATTTAATTAAGTTTTTCATGACCAATAACATATTTGCATTCCATGAGCATTATTTCAGCTGGCCCTTAGAGCTCTGCATACAATGGGTGATCTCAGGGATCACTTTATAAAAATCTATGTTTCTCATGGTAAACAAATGTAGGAAAACCTCAAACATTTTGAAGAAACACCACTTGACTTGGCTTCAATAGAAAACTCTAGTTCTGGCCAGGCACAGTGGCTTACCCCTGTAATCCCAGCTACTTGGGAGGCTGAGGCACAAGAACTGCTTGAACCCAGGAGGCAGAAGTTGCAGTGAGCTTGATTGTGCCACTGCTCTCACCCGGACAACAAAGTGAGACTCTGTCTCAAAAAAAGAGAAAACTCTGGTTTTGTCTAATGGTCTCATTCATTTAATGCCCAGTTCTTATCCTTAAAAGGCCTAGTGCCCTGCTGCCATCACCGTCACATCACTTGATACACTCAGCTGAAACTTTTGCCTTAATTATCTATCTTTCCTACTTATCTGTAGGCAAGTAAGTCTAGGACCATTACTAATTATCCTTAGCATCCTGTTTCTGAGCACAGGACCTAACACATACTAGGTACTCAGAAAATATTTGACAAAGGAAGGGAAGGAATGGAGGAAGGGTGAGAGGGAGGAAGGGAAACAGGGAGGGAAGCTGGGCAGTGATCTTAAAGATGGTGGCCCATGTTCCCAGTGTGCAATCCTGGATCCAGAGAAAACAGAGGAGATTTCATTCACAAATTATTATTTTTGTCTGCTCTAACTTATCTGGGCTACCTGAAGGACTGATGTGAGTCACTCATCTCTATTTTGCCAACCTCAGAATATACTAAGGGCAGAAAGGTATTAGGCATTGCTTGAAAATATTTTAAGGCAAATTAAAAACCTACAGCCACCTAAGGCAAAAGGTTATGGTTGAGATATACAATAGACAGCCTAAAATTTGGGGAAAAAAGGCTGAGGAAAGTTTCCTTGGGAAATGTGAGCATTCATCCGCACTCACGGGTACCTGGAAATTTAGAAAGCCACATGTGTGCAAAAACAGGGTAAGTGCTTAGAAAAGACCTGAGAAGACCTTAAGCTTTCAACTTTGGCTAATCTCTAGGCTCAAGGTAAGCAGGAAGTGAAGGCTAAGGCGGAGTTGTAAACAGTTTGGCAAAGTATTGAGGGAGCAAATGTGCATAGAGCCAATCCAAAGATTTTTTGTGTGTGTTTGTTTTGTTCTTAGCTCCTGGCATTCAAGGAAACCTTTGTCAAACTGCCAGCTGAATACAAGCAAAGGATCAAATATTTCAGTGAAACACATGACAAGTAGTACAGTCTTTGCAGAAAAAAAAGTTAGGGAAAGTTATTAAACAAACAGATGATTGCAGCCTTGCATAATAAAGAACAGCAAGCCCTAGGGAAGAGGGAGAATCTAATATCTAGGGTTACCACATTATAATATTAAAATGTCAAGTTTTTAGTAAAAAGTCACAAGGTGTACAAACAAACAGGAAAGTGTAGCCCAAAGGAAAAATAATAATAATTGAGAGAAACTGTCCCTGAGGAAGCCCAGACATTGGGCTTACTAGACAAAAATTTTAAATCAAGTCTCTTAAATGTGTTCAAAATGCTAACAGAAACCATAGACGAAGAACTAAAGGAAACCAGAGAAATGATGTATGAACAAAATAAGGATATTGATAAAGGGATAGAATTTTTAGAAGAGAACCACATAAAAATTCCAGAGCTGAAAAATATAATTCAATGATGAATTTAGTATAGGAGTTCAATAGTATATCTAAGCAGGCAGAAGGAAGAATCAGCAAACTTGAAGACAGGATAATTGAAACAGTATAGTCTGGGGAGCATAAAGATAAAGAAATAAAGAAAGTGAACAGAGGCAAAGGAACCCATGAGACACGATGAAGTGGACCAATATACACTTGATGGTCCACATCAAGTGGACCAGTATAGAAGTTTCAGAAAGAGAAGAAAGAGACAGGGCAGAAAGTATATTTGAAAAATAATGGCCAAAAACTTCCCAAATTTAATAAAAAATATAAATTTAGACAAACGAGAATCTTGAAAGCATTAAGAAAGAAGTGACTCATCACATGCAAGTGATCATGCAAATGAAAATAAGATTAACAGTTGATTTCTCATCAAAAGCCATGGAGGCCAAAAGGCAGGGAAATGACATATTTAAGGTACCAAAAGAAAAAACGGTCAACCAAGAATTCTATATTTGGCAAAACTATCTTCCAAAAATGAAGGAAAATTTAAGACATTACCAGATAAACCAAAGCTGACGAAGTTTATTATTAGTAGACCTGCCCTACAAGAAATGCTAAAGGGAGTCCATGAGTTTGAAGTGAAAGGACACTAGACAGTAACTTGAAGCTGAATGGAGAACAAAAGATCTCCAGTAAAGATGACTACATGGTTAAATACAAAAGCCAGTATTATATTTTTGCTTTGTAACTCCACTTTTTTATTTCCTACATCATTTAAAAGACAAATTCATTTAAAATAATTACAAATCTCTTATTGAGTATGCATTGTATAAAGATATAATTTGTGACAACAACATAAATGAAGGAAAGGAGCTGTATAGGAGCAAAGCTTCTGTATGCTACTAAGTTTTTATGAGTTCAAGCTAGATTATTATACATTTAGGATGTTAACTGTAATCCCTATGATAACCACTGAGAAATGTCTGAAATATATATACAAACAGAAATGAGAAGGCAATCAAAATAGAACATCATAGAAAATCCACTAAACACAAAATCAGGCAGTAATGGGAGGATGTAAGGGACAAAATTGGTATAAGGCACACAGAAAACAAAGAGCAACACTGCAGAAGTTAAGCTCTTCACTATAGTAATTAAATGTAAATGAATTAAACTCTCCCCTCAAAAGGTAGAGATTGATAGATTAAAAACATGATCCAATTATATGCAGCATAGAAGAGACTCACTTCCGATTCAAAAACACAAATAAGTTAAAGATATGGGGACAATTTTTTCATGCAAATAGTAACCAAAAGAGAACAAAGATAACTATACTAATATCAGACAAAATAGACTACAAGTCAAAAGCTGCCTAAGAGACAAAGAAGGACATTGTATATTGATTAAAAGAGTCAATTAACTTGGAACTCACCTACAATGCTCATGGAAATGTAAAATTTTTCGGCTACTGTAGAAAATAGTTGATACTTCCTCAAAAAGTTAAACATAAAATTGTCATATGACCCTGAAATTTCACTCCTAGGTATATACCTCCCAAAATCGAAAGCAGGAACTCAAACAAATACATGTACACTCATATTTCCAGCAACACTTACCACCAATAGCCAAAAGATAGAAATACCCTGATACCTACTAATGAATGGATGGATAAGCTAATTGCATAAACTAATGGATAAAACTAACTCTTTTTTATGACTGAAGAATATTCCTTTATTTTAATATTCCTTAATTTGTAAATGTACATACAAAGGAATATTATTCAGCCATAAAAATGAATGAAGCATTGGGCCAGGCGCAGTGGCTCATGCCTATAATTCCAGCACTTTGGGAGGCTGAGGTGGGTGGATCAGGAGGTCAGGAGTTCAGGACCAGCCTGGCCAAGATAGTGAAACCCCGTCTCTACTAAAAATACAAAAATTAGCCAGGCATGGTGGCAGGTGCCTGTAATCCCAGCTACTCAGGAGGCTGAGCCAGAGGATTGCTTGAACCTGGGAGGCGGAGGTTGGAGTGAACCAAGATCGTGCCACCGCACTCCAGCCTGGGTGACAGGGTGAGACTCCATCTCAAAAAAGAAAAAAAGAATGAAGCACTGATACATGCTACAGCATGAATGAACCCCCAAAAGATTATGCTACGTGAAAGAAGCCAAACACAAAAGATCAAACACTGTATTATTCCATTTATGTGAAATATCCAGAATAGGTAAATCCACAGAGACTGAATACATATTGGTAATTTCCAAAATTTGTGGGGAGAGGAGATGGAGAGAAAATGTTGAATGGGTACAGATACCTTGGAGTAATGGAAATATTTTATAACAAAATAGAGATGGTGGTTGCAAGACATTGTGAATATACAAAATACCACAGAATTGTTGGTGAGTTTAAAATGGTTAATTTTACATTATGTTAATTTCATCTCAATAAATTATCTTTTAATGTAATGCATATGGTAGTATCATAGGTGATCCCTTTGAAATCTTGTGTCTGCCTTTCTTTGCTTCCCATGTAAGTCTTTATGGATCTATATTACTTTTACATCCATAAATATTAGTAACTAAAAATTACTTTTTAAAGATATATTTTAAAACTGTATATCCAAAACAAACGCAGAAATGAACAATTACTGAAGAAAGCTGAGACTACTTCAAATATCACATAATAGGTAAAAATAATAGTAACAACATAATAATAATACCTAAGTGAAAACTCCAGCATTGCAAAGTGCTATAATGATTATACAGGTCTTCCTCAATCCTTCTTATATAAATCTTTTAAAGAAATTTTTTTCATGTAATTTATTTATTTATTATTTTTATTCTTATGCTTTAAGTTCTAGGGTACATGTGCACAATGTGCAGGTTTGTTACATATGTATACATGTGCCATGTTGGTGTGCTGCACCCATTAACTCATCATTTAGCATTAGGTATATCTCCTAATGCTATCCCTCCCCCCTCCCCCCACCCCACAACAGTCCCCATAGTGTGATGTCCCCCTTCCTGTGTCCAAGTGTTCTCATTGTTCAATTCCCACCTATAAGTGAGAACATGTGGTGTTTGGTTTTTTTGTCCTTGTGATAGTTGCTGAGAATGATGTTTTCCAGCTTCATCCATGTCCCTACAAAGGACATGAACTCATCATTTTTATGGCTGCATAGTATTCCATGGTGTATATGTGCCACATTTTCTTAATCAAGTCTATCATTGTTGGACATTTGGGTTGGTTCCAGGTCTTTGCTATTGTGAATAGTGCCACAATAAACATATGTATGCATGTGTCTTTATAGCAGCATGATTTATAATCCTTTGGGTATATACCCAGTAATGGGATGGCTGGGTCAAATGGTATTTCTAGTTCTAGATCCCTGAGGAATCTCCACACCATCTTCCACAATGGTTGAACTACTTTACAGTCCCACCAACAGTGTGAAAGTGTTCCTATTTCTCCACATCCTCTCCAGCACCTGTAGTTTCCTGACTTTTTAATGATTGCCATTCTAACTGGTGTGAGATGGTATCTCATTGTTGTCTTGATTTGCATTTCTCTGATGGCCAGTGATGATGAGCATTTTTTCATGTGTCTGTTGGCTGCATAAATGTCTTCTTTTGAGAAGTGTTTGTTCATGTCCTTCGCCCACTTGTTGATGGGGTTGTTTGTTTTTTTCCTTGTAAATTTGTTTGAGTTCTTTGTAGATTCTGGATATTAGCCCTTTGTCAGATGAGTAGATTGCAAAAATTTTCTCCCATTCTGTAGGTTGCCTGTTCACTCTGATGGTAGTTTCTTTTGCTGTGCAGAAGCTCTTTAGTTTAATTAGATTCCACTTTTCAATTTTGGCTTTTGTTACCGTTGCTTTTGGTGTTTTAGACATGAAGTCCTTGCCCATGCCTATGTCCTGAATGGTATTGCCCAGGTTTTCTTCTAGGGTTCTCATGGTTTTAGGTCTAACATTTAAGCCTTTAATCCATCTTCAATAAATTTTTGCATAACGTCTAAGGAAGGGATCCAGTTTCAGCTTTCTACATATGGCTAGCCAGTTTTCCCAGCACCATTTATTAAATAGGGAATCCTTTCCCCATTGCTTGTTTTTCTCAGGTTTGTCAAAGATCAGATAGTTGTAGATGTGTGGTATTATTTCTGAGGGCTCTGTTCTGTTCCATTGGTCTATATCTCTGTTTTGGTACCAGTACCATGCTGTTTTGGTTACTGTAGCCTTGTAGTATAGTTTGAAGTCAGGTAGCATGATGCCTCCAGCTTTGTTCTTTTGGCTTAGGATTGTCTTGGCAATGTGGGCTCTTTTTTGGTTCCATGTGAACTTTAGAGTCGTTTTTTCCAATTCTGTGAAGAAAGTCGTTGGAAGCTTGATGGGGATGGCATTGAATCTATAAATTACCTTGGGCAGTATGGCCATTTTCACGACATTGATTCTTTCTACCCATGAGCGTGGAATGTTCTTCCATTTGTTTGTCTCCTCTTTTATTTCATTGAGCAGTAGTTTGTAGTTCTCCTTGAAGAGGTCCTTCACATCCCTTGTAAGTTGGATTCCTAGGTATTTTATTCTCTTTGAAGCAATTGTGAATGGGAGTTCACTCATGATTTGGCTCTCTGTTTGTCTGTTATTGGTGTATAAGAATGCTTGTGATTTTTGTACATTGACTTTGTATCCTGAGACTTTGCTGAAGTTGCTTATCAGCTTGAGGAGATTTTGGGCTGAGATGATGGGGTTTTCTAGATATACAATCATGTCATCTGCAAACAGGGACAATTTGACTGCCTCTTTTCCTAACTGAATACCCTTTATTTCCTTCTCCTGCCTGATTGCCCTGGCCAGAACTTCCAACACTATGTTGAATGAGTGGTGAGGGAGGACATCCCTGTCTTGTGCCAGTTTTTGAAGGGAATGCTTCCAGTTTTTGCTCATTCAGTATGATATTGGCTGTGGGTTTGTCACAAATAGCTCTTATTATTTTGAGATACCATGAATACCTAATTTACTGAGAGTTTTTAGCATGAATGGTTGTTGAATATTGTCAAAGGCCTTTTCTGCATCTGTTGTGATAAGCATGTGGTTTTTGTCTTTGGTTTTGTTTATGTGATGGATTACATTTATTGATTTGCATATGTTGAAACAGCCTTGCATCCCAGGGATGAAGCCCACTTGATCATGGTGGATAAGCTTTTTGATGTGCTGCTGGATTTGGTTTGCCAGTATTTTATTGAGGATTTTTGCATCAATGTTCATCAGGAATATTGGTCTAAAATTCTCTGTTTTTGTTGTGTCTCTGCCAAGCTTTGGTATCAGGACGATGCTGGCCTCATAAAATGAGTTAGGGAGGATTCCCTCTTTTTCTATTGATTGGAATAGTTTCAGAAGGAACGGTACCAGCTCCTCCTTTTACCTCTGGTAGAATTTGGCTGTGAATCCGTCTGGTCCTGTACTTTTTTTGGTTGGTAAGCTATTAATTATTGCCTCAATTTCAGAGCCTGTTATTGGTCTATTCAGAGATTCAACTTCTTCCTGGTTTAGTCTTGGGAGAGTGTATGTGTTGAGGAATTTATCCATTTCTTCTAGATTTTCTGGTTTATTTGCATAGAGGTGTTTATAGTATTCTCTGATGGTAGTTTGTATTTCTGTGGGATTGGTGGTGATATCCCCTTTATCATTTTTTATTGCATCTATTTGATTCTTCTCTCTTTTCTTATTAGTCTTGCTAGAGGTCTATCAATTTTGTTGATCTTTTCAAAAAACCAGCTCCCGGATTTGTTGATTTTTTGAAGGGTTTTTTTGTGTTTCTATCTCCTTCATTTCTGCTCTGATCTTAGTTATTTCTTGCCTTCTGCTAGCTTTTGAATGTGTTTGCTCTTGCTTCTCTAATTCTTTTAATTGTTATGTTAGGGTGTCAATTTTAGATCTTTCCTGCTTTCTCTTATGGACATTTAGTGCTATAAATTTCCCTCTACACACTGCTTTAAATGTGTCCCAGATATTCTGGTATGTTGTGTCTTTGTTCTCATTGGTTTCAAAGAACATCTTTATTTCTGCCTACATTTCATTATGTACCCAGTAGTCTTTCAAGAGCAGGTTGTTCAGTTTCCATGTAGTTGAGCGGTTTTGAGTGAGTTTCTTAATCCTGAGTTCTAGTTTGATGGCACTGTGGTCTGAGAGACAGTTTGTTATAACTTCTGTCCTTTTACATTTGCTGAGGAGTGCTTTACTTCCAACTATGTGGTCAATTTTGGAGTAAGTCCAGTGCAGTACTGAGAAGAATGTATATTCTGCTGATTTGGGGTGGAGAGTTCTGTAGATGTCTATTAGGTCTGCTTGGTGCAGAGGTGAGTTCAGTTCCTGGATATCCTTGTTAACTTTCTGTCGCGTTGATCTGTCTAATGTTGACAGTGGAGTGTTAAAGTCTCCCATTATTATTGTGTGGGAGTCTAAGTCTCTTTCTAGGTCTATAAGGACTTGCTTTATCAATCTGGGTGCTCCTGTATTGGGTGCATATATATTTAAGATAGTTAGCTCTTGTTGAATTGATCCCTTTACCATTATGTAATGGCCTTCTTTGTCTCTTTTGATCTTTGTTGTTTAAACTCTGTTTTATCAGAGACTAGGATTGCAACCCCTGCCTTTTTTTGTTTTCCATTTGCTTGGTAGATCTTCCTCCATCCTTTTATTTTGAGCCTATGTATGTCTCTGCACATGAGATGGGTTTCCTGAATACAGCACACTGATGGGTCTTGGCTCTTTATCCAATTTGCCAATCTGTGTCTTTTAATTGGAGCATTTAGTCCATTTACATTTAAGGTTAATATTGGTATGTGTGAATTTGATCCTGTCATTATGATGTTAGCTGGTTATTTTGCTCATTAGTTGATGCAGTTTCTTCCTAGCATCAGTGGTCTTTACAGTATGGCATGTTTTTGCAGTGGCTGGTACCGGTTGTTCCTTTCCATGTTTAGTGCTTCCTTCAGGAGCTCTTTTAGGGCAGGCCTGGTGGTGACAAAATCTCTCAGTATTTACTTCTCTGTAAAGTATTTTATTTCTCCTTCACTTTTGAAGCTTAGTTTGGCTGGATATGAAATTCTGGGTTGAAAATTCTTTTCTTTAAGAATGTTGAATATTGGCCCCACTCTCTTCTGGCTTGTAGAGGTTCTGCCGAGAGATCAGCTGTTAGTCTGATGGGCTTCCCTTTGTGGGTAACCCGACCTTTCTCTCTGGCTGCCCTTAACATTTTTTCCTTCATTTCAACGTTGGTGAATCTGACAATTATGTGTCTTGGAGTTGCTCTTCTTGAGGAATAGCTTTGTGGCGTTCTCTGTATTTCCTGAATTTGAATGTTGGCCTGCCTTGCTAGATTGGGGAAGTTCTCCTGGATAATATCCTGCAGAGTGTTTTCCAACTTGGTTCCATGCTCCCCACCACTTTCAGGTACACCATTCAGATGCAGGTTTGGTCTTTTCACATAGTCCCATATTTTTTGGAGGCTTTGTTCATTTCTTTTTATTCTTTTTTCTCTAAACTTCTCTTCTCACTTCATTTCATTCATTCGATCTTCCATCACTGATACCCTTTCTTCCAGTTTATCAAATAGGCCACTGAAGCTTGTGCATTCATCACGTAGTTCTTATGCCGTGGTTTTCAGCTCCATCAGTTCTTTTAAGGACTTCTCTGCATTGGTTATTCTAGTTAGCCATTCGTCTAATCCTTTTTCAAGGTTTTTAACTTCTTTGCATTGGGTTTGAACTTCCTCCTTTAGCTCAGAGAAGTTTGATTGTCCGTAGCCTTCTTCTCTCAACTTGTCAAAGTCATTCTCCATCCAGCTTTGTTCTGTTGCTGGTGAGGAGCTGCATTCCTTTGGAGGAGGAGAAGCGCTCTGATTTTTAGAATTTTCAGTTTTTCTGCTCTGTTTTTTCCCCATCTTTGTGGTTTTATCTACCTTTGGTCTTTGATGATGGTGACATACAGATGGGGTTTTGGTGTGGATGTCCTTTCTCTTTGTTAGTTTTCCTTCTAACAGTCCAGACCCTCAGCTGCAGGTATGTTGGAGTTTGCTGGAGGTCCTCTCCAGACCCTGTTTGCCTGGGTATCAGCAGCGGAGGCTGCAGAACAGTGGATATTGGTGAACAGCAAATGTTGCTGCCTGATTGTTCCTCTGGAAGTTTTATCTCAGAGGGGTACCCAGCAGTGTGAGATGTCAGTCTGCCCCTACTGGGGGGTGCCTCCCAGTTAGGCTACTTGGGGGTCAGGGACACACTTGAGGAGGCAGTCTGTCCGTTCTCAGATCTCAAGCTCCGGGCTGGGAGAACCACTACTCTCTTCCAAGCTGTCAGACAGGGACATTTAAGTCTGCAGAGGTTTCTGCTGCCTTTTGTTTGGCTATGCCCTGCCCCCAGAGGTGGAGTCTACAGAGGCAGGCAGGCCTCCTTGAGCTGTGGTGGGCTCCACCCAGTTCGATCTTCCTGGCCACTTTGTTTGCCTACTCAAGCCTCAGCAATGGCGGGCACCCCTCCCCCAGCCTCACTGCCACGTTGCGGTTCGACCTCAGACTGCTGTGCTAGTAATCTGCAAGGCTCTGTGGGCGTAGGATCCTCTGAGCCATGTGCGGGATAGAATCTCCTGGTGTGCCGTTTGCTAAGACCATCGGAAAAGTGCAGTATTAGGATGGGAGCAACCCGATTTTCCAGGTGCCATTTGTCCCCCCTTCCCTTGGCTAGGAAAGGGAATTCCCTGACCCCTTGCACTTCCCGGGTGAGGCAATGCCTCGCCCTGCTTTGGCTCATGCTTGGTGCGCTGCACCCACTGTCCTGCACCCACTGTCCGACAATCTCCAGTGAGATGAACCCAGTACCTCAGCTGGAAATGCAGAAATCACCCATCTTCAGCATCACTCATGCTGGGAGCTGTAGACTGGAGCTGTTCCTATTCGGCCATCTTGGAACCACCCCCAGAAATTTTTTAAAGTAGAGGAAACCAGGGTAAGATATTTAGAAAGTGTTTTGGATACTGCAGTGGGTACTTGGCCTAGGAGGAGAGAAGGAATTTCTCCTTGCAGATGTCACCATTGCTGCTGACTATCCTGTCCTTGCCCCTCTCTTAGCTACTCTGGGCTTGAGAAACAAGAGCAGAAACAGAAAGCAAAGATGGGACAAGGGGATACTTGAGAGCGAGTTCTTGTTACTCAGAAGTCATTGTAATTAACTTTTTAAATATCCACAGCCCTTTACTCCAGGACTTATTATATAATTAACCTCACCTGAGCTTCTACAGTCGGTGACAAAGGCAGGACCAGTATTATTATACTCTTTCTGAGGCTGAGTAAACAAGGTGAGAGGGGTGGTAGGACTTCCCCAGCAAGTAATAAGTTGGGGATGAGGAGGTGGAGGTCTGTTCCTCCACTAGGGCATGCTGGAGTTGCCCACACACTCATAGATCTGACCCAATAGAGTAATTTCTCCTTTCTTAGTTAAAGGTAAAAATAAAAAAGATATGCTTATCCTCTTCTGACTTAACAAAGATTCCTATGGGATCATCTGAGCCTAGACAATCAATACCCATTTTATTTTTCCTTTTTGGGATTTTATTTTGTGAGCTGCCTGTGGTGGAGGAATTGGGGGTTGGACAAAGATTAAGGCACAAGCAGGAGCGCCTTTTTGATATTCCTGTCTCTCCTGCTTGCTGGGCTGGCAGACTCTGACTGATTGGACCTGCCAGCACACTTCAGCCAGCACCCCAGCAAACATATGGTGGCAGGGTCAATATTTACTTTCATTTAATGCATGCAGTGCTTCATCTATTTATTTATTTATTCAGCAGGCAATTAGACTTCATGGAGCAAAATCCTTTTGTTCTCCACATGGGTTACTGAATATCAGAGCTGTGGAAAACAGCTTTCAGACAAGACTATCCTACCTTCATCACCCAGTGTTTGCCTACAGTTGCTTCTCCTATGTGAAGAAAAAGAAGTGCACATATATAAACACACATATAAATATTGAGAATATATCATTATAATCGTATGTAATATGTAATATATGATATGTATACAGTTGTCAATTGGTATTTGTGGGGGTTTCAAGACTCCCATGGATACCAAAATCTGCCAATGCTCAAGTCCCCTTACATAAAATGGCTTAGTGTCTGCATGTAAGCTACACACACCCTCCTATACATTTTAAATCACCTCTAGATTCCCTATAATACCTAATACAATGTAAATGCTATGTAAATAGTTTTATACTATATTGTTTCAGTGAAATGAGAAGAAAAAAAGATTTTCACATTCAGTGCAGATGCAAGTTTTTTTCTGTTGTTGTTTTCTTTCTCTTTTTTTTTTTTTTTTTTTGAGATGGAGTCTCGCTCTGTCACTCAGGCTGGAGTGCAGTGGCACTATCTCGGCTCACTGCAACCTTCACCTCCTGGGTTCAAGGGATTCTCTCACCTCAGCCTCCCAAGTAGCCAGGATTACAGGCACCCACCATCATGGCCAGCTAATTTTTGTATTTTTATAGAGACGGAGTTTCACCAAGTTGGCCAGGCTGATTTTGAACTCCTGACTTCAGGTGATCCACCCGTCTTGGCCTCCCAAAGTGCTGGGATTACAGGCGAGGGCTACCACGCTCCGCCTGCAAGTTTTTGTAAAAATATTTTTGAACTAAGGTTTGTTGAATCCATGGATGTGGAACCCACAGATAGAAAGAGACAACTATATTTGAGAATACATTATTAATATATATCACACATATTATTTAGAAAACATCATATAGCATTCTTTTTAATTTGGGCATACATCATATCAATGTGATTTGTTTATGCCTTTGGGGTGGCTTTTTTATAAGTAGGAAAGGTTATTCAGGAGCTTTGTTAAAAATGAAAACTCCAGGTCTTTCTTGAGCTTTTAGTTCTCTTATAAATCTTATTATTCTGTTCTCAAAACTGACACATTTTAACAATAACTTTTTTTAAATTATACTTTAAGTTCTAGGGCACATGTGCACAATGTGCAGGTTTGGTACATATGTATACATGTAAATGACGAGTTCATGGGTGCAACAATAACCTTTAAGGAAGTTTTGATTAATGTATTAAATTATATACAAAACTTAATTAATAAAAATACCTTTAAACATTTTAAACAACATTTATACATTTTTCTTCTATCACTTTCTAGCTGTCTTGATCTGTTTGTGTTGCCATAAAGGAATACCTGAGACTGGGTAATTCATAAAGAAAAGAAATTTGTTTGGGTGACAGTTCTGCAGGCTGTACAAGAAGCATGGCACCAATTTCTACTTCTGGTGAGGGCTGCTTCCACTCATGGCAGATGGTAAAGGGGAGCCAGCTTGTAGAGGTCACATGGCAAGAAAGAAAAAGAACATGTGGTGTTTGGTTTTTTGTCCTTGCGATAGTTTGCTGAGAAAAAAAAAAAAAGAAAGAAAGAGAAGGGAAGTGACATACTTGTTAACAACCAGTTCTTCTGGGAACTAATAAAGCTGGAACTAACAGAGCTAGAACTCACTGATTACAGTGAGGATTGCACCAAGCCATTCATGAGGGATCTGCCTGTGTGATCCAAACACCTCCCATTAAGCCCCACCTCCAGCACTGGGGATCAAATTTTAACTTGAGACTTGATGGGGCCAAACAAACCATATCCAAATCATACCACTAGCCCTGAGACCCAGGTCAGTTAACATCTCTAATCTTTAAACAGGAATACTAATTCCTCTTGCTAGGTTGTTGTGAGAATTACAATAAAAATATACAGAGCAGTGGGAACATTACTTGACACTAAACAATAAATAATTGCTGCCATTATAATATTCTTACAGTTATTGACTACCAATGAATTTGTTTCTTCATGTGATGTAAACGAGGTACAGAGAAGTAGAGTGCCTTGCAGGTCAGAGCCTAGTCTCTCTGGGACCTATCATCAACTTGTGAGCTCAGAATCTGCTCCTGCCTGTAGACACAGCTTCCCATCAACCCAATGAGAGCACCCAGAAAGTCTTTCCCCCTTTCCATGGTTCATTCTAAATGAAATCAACAGACATTTACTGAGCTCCCACTATGCGCCAAATACAGAGGTTTGTAGAGGACATGGTAAGGAGGAAGACAGGCCTCTGCCCTCCAGAAGCTTGGCTGCAGTTCTGGCAGGGAGAAGAGCCCCTCATAACCAACATACACACAGTGCAGACACGGATGAGGGCCATCACTGGCCCCAGTGGACCTCGGAACACACAAAGGGGTGAGGAAGAGAGAAAATCAGTGAAATTAGATGGGTAGTTCATCTTCCTAGGTCAAGTTTGGGTAGTAGAAAACCCAGAGCAGCTAAGGTATGAAATACTAAGACCATGGACTAAGCTAGAGGGCCCTTAATGTGTAAAATTTGCATGTTTGGGTAGCACAGATTGATGTAACTAAATCAAAGCCATCAAATACAGCTAGATTCTGCCACTCCATACGATGACTTCTATATAGGGCAGGAATGGGATTGTTACAGAACTTGAATTTCTGCTCTACTTTACCCAGTCCTAAACATTTATATGTAGATTATTTCATTGGATTTTCATAACCAAACATGGTGCTTGGGATTTTTTCCTGCCAAGCCAAGTTGATACAGTTTAGCTAAATGTTGGCCTGTATTGTATGATTTGACAGGCTTTGAAGACAGCCTTCCAAAAGCTCTCCATCTCCCAGAAATGTCACTGTCACTAATATATTCCTTTGGGTTAACAACTGGCTCCAGGAACTTCACATGTTAAGCTGACTGTCATGTGTGAATTTTGTTGTGATCTAGTTAATTATCATCATAATAATTAGAGAAAGTACAGAAAAAGCAACTACTTAATGAGCACCTATTATATGCAGAAGCAAGGCTAATGGCTAGGGCACAACAATGAATAGGACAATCTCTGCCCTACAGTGGTTCCCAGCTTAATGCCTGAAAGTAGGAAACTGTTGAAACCCACATCACTGCTGGAGGGAGGCAGGTTTGCTAAGGCCCTGTGGTAGGGCCCTGGGTGATCCAAGGTAGCATGAGGGCCCCAGCACTTAGTGACCAAAAACATAAGAAAATGCTTAATTGAATTTTAGCTATTTTACAATCTGATCTGGAGTAGCCTTGTTTCCTAGACTTCTCAAGGCCTGTCTCACCTTGTTCTCCTAAAACATCAGCATTATACTATCCCAATCTGGAGTGTTCATTTAGACGTCCTGTTGACTTCGCCTCCTGAGTATCTTAACATCATCCACTCCTCTCAGGCCTACCACTCCAATGTTGGGCCCCCATTTCCCTGCCTCCAGCCTCATGGCTACCCACCACTCACCCTATACTGCAGCCAGCGTGTCCTTCTGAAACACTAAATCTGATCTTTCTCACCTTCTCTAATTCTGATCACCTCACTCCCCAAGTAAAACCCTGCCACACACCTGCATATTCTAGTTCCCCAGCACATACAGAGTTCTCACTCTGTATACCTTTCCCAATAAACTCACACACACACCTTTGAGTTCCAGCCAAAATGAACCACAAGCCCAAAGAGGATATGTGTACTTTTATTTTTGATAATTACCACCAGATTTCTTTTCCCAAAGCTGTGGCAACTATTTCTCCCCTTCCTCACTGACGCTTTTAATTATGCTAACCTGATGTGTGATCTTATTGCTTAAATAAGATCATTTTCCACCGACTTCTAGTGAAGCTGAGCATATTTTTACCTGTTGATTGAAAATTAGGATTTCTCCTTTATAAATTGCCTGTTCATAATCCCTGCTTAATTTTCTACCAGAGCGTTTTCTCCTTTTTATTCATTTGTAGATGCTCTTTGTGATATTAACTTTTAAATTTTCTAGTAAACAATGGTTAACAAATATTGAGTGCTTTATGTGCCAGGCACTGCTTTCCCCAGTCAACTGTGGGTCTTTTGATTTCATTCATGTTACATTTCTCTAAATATAAATTAATAAACGCTTTATGAATAATGGATAAGTGAATGAGTTAATTGAATGAATGAAGTATGTAAGTTTTATCTCCTTTGAAAGACTGACTTTTTGATCAAGGGCTACGTCGTTACATGATTTTTCTGTATTCTTTTGTAGCTCTCCATCTCTTCTTCCTGATCCTTCCAACTGTCATTCTATGCCTCTTGTTTGACCAGGAGGAGGTACACCAGACACACTTAATAAATGATTACAGAATGGGAAGAATGCCTGTCTCTCCTGTAAGTGTTGAGCTTTGGAAAGGGGCTTAGAAAACACACACCTGTAGTAACAGCAGGAAATGCTTCTTGTTTTATGAATTGTATTGGGGGAGCAGTTATTAGTTACCTTAAAATGGCATGTACAGCACTTAGGGTCATAAAGGATCTTGGCAATGAGGCAACTAAAATTTTAGTATTATTTCTTTAATGTACTGTATCCTGCTGGGAGTACTTTAAAATTCTTTCAGGCTTATTTATGAAGCACCAACCAGTCTGCAGAAATCTAGGGAG
This sequence comes from Homo sapiens, assembly GCF_000001405.40. Lineage (NCBI taxonomy): Eukaryota > Metazoa > Chordata > Mammalia > Primates > Hominidae > Homo > Homo sapiens. Next base: position 112,472,426 of record NC_000005.10, read on the forward strand.
ATTCGCTGTCTGTTCCAACTCCCACAAAAAAAGGAGTGGAATATACAATTGAACAAAGCAGAATGGCAGAAAAATATTAAACCAGAATCAGAGAGACTTCTCTGCAAAAGCATGGATTGGATGACTTTCTTTTAATTTTAGAAGAGTCTTACATTTGAATTTATACTACTACATGACTGTGTGATTTAAGGGTAAGTTATCTGTCAGTATTCCCACCCCATCGTTCTACTGAGGCTACAAAACAACCTCAACTGCTCTTTTCTTACTTGCTTTTTCCCCCTAGTTTACTTTTAATAGTCCCTTCTCTTATATGACTCTTAAATAAAGTAAGTGCATTTGGGATACTTTGTGTGTTACTTGCAGATAAAACACTTAAGTGTTTCTTTTGGAATCAAATACAGCTTCCTGAGGAAATAACTGAAATCATGCAGTTGTTGAAAAAGCCGATAAGCAAAATCGAGTCGCCAGAAAAAAAGTCATCTTTTTTTGAACAAAGCATCTAAAGCAGCTTTACAAAGAAACACATGCAGAAGACCTAGGCCCGGAGATGGCTTTAGTTGCGCCCTAAATACCAGGCTATAGGCAATGAGAAAATCAAGATTTTAATAAGAATGAAGAGCATGACCAGGTTCAGCAAACTCATCAGGAATGACTACAAAGCCATTTCCCTGAAGACGGATTCATGACATCTGGCTTAGACGACTGGCCTGTCCTCTGGCTGGAAGCAGAGGTCCAGGAAAGATGATCAAAACACTGGTCCATAACTTATTCTAGCCTGAGGATAATCATTGACATCAGACTTTAGTGAGTCTTAGGCAGGATCAATTCATTCATTCATTCATTCGTTCATTAGTCAATGAATATTATAGAGTGCATACATTTCTAGTAATATGCTATGTCCTTGTGCAGGGCACAAGTCTCTATTCCAAATCTAGCAGGGGCAGCTAAGTCAAGTGTCTAAGGAAGACAGGCAGGTAACATAAACGGGGCAGGCAAGGTGGAAATTGGGAATGTGGTAGATGGAAGACTAGAGACTCCATCTACAAGAGGTTGCTCTTATTCAGATCCACTGATTATTTCCATAAGGGAACGCAAGTTCGGTATCGCCTCATTTTCAAAACCGAAGCCTCAAATCCAAATTTTATTATGAAATTTCTTCTTTTGAAACATTAGTAACTAATTATGATTTTTTTAAAATACTAGGTCAGCAAAGCAAAACATGACTGCAAAGCCAAATTTGACTGGAGCAGCCTGTTTACAACTTCCAGCACAGAACATTACATAGTGTTTACAAACATAGGCAGTGAATTTCACAAAGTGGTGCCATTTCTCCCCCCTCCTCCCGTCAAGTTTTGAAGATATTTGAAGTATAGAACAGCTACTCATAAAATATGTTTGACCCACACAAAAAAACCTTTTTTTAACGGTTGAGATAAGGTCCTGGAAAACTCTCCATTTTGAGTGTCTGGGATTTCCTACGCAATGACTAAAACATATTAATAGGAAACTTTCTAATCAAATGTCTTACTACCTACATGTCATGGATTCTCTTGCGGTGTGTGTGTGTGTGTGTGTGTGTGTGTGTGTGTGTGTTTTACAAGACTGTCTCAAGATCTAGATGCTAACCCTTTGCTTATTCTGAAATCCAGGCACTCTTGGCACTGTAAATCCGCAGTAATTTTTATCAAGGGGACAGTAAGCTTTTCCTTTTTCTGGAGATTGCCACATTCTCTCTCTCTACCCGCGGGAAGCTTGTCACTCTTGATCCTCAGCCCCAGCCAGAGTGTTGCATCCACCTACCACTAGCCTAGACTGCAACTGTGTGCAAATTCGGAAGGGACCCTTAAGGCTTTACTAATACTTGCCAGAAAGATGTCAGAATACACAAATCTCCCACTTCGTCAAGAATGGGTCCTGTGCCCATCTCCTCCAGGGGCACTTTCTCTCCAATTCATCCTCAAATCCCCCCGCCGCCCACTTTTTTTTTTTTTTTTTGGCACCTCATAAATCTTGGACCTGAGTTTCCAACTCACCGTTTTCACAATTAATTAACTAGTCATAAAGAAGAACCTGAACTATGTGCTCCCATCCCCAACCCCAGGTCTAGATCTTGTAAAAGACTGACCGGCAAGGTCACCTTTACTGAGCTGTGTGACACAGATGCTTCGAACAAACTGAAACAGAGAGGACTGCGTATGTGGTATGTGGCAGCTTTCCAGTGACTCTTGAGTGCAAGCTTTAGAAAAGAGGCTGAAAGGCTGGGTGTGGTGGCTCACGCCTGTAATCCCAGCACTTTGGGAGGCCAAGGCAGGCGGATCACAAGGTCAGAAGTTTGAGACCAGCCCAGCCAATATGGTGAAACTCTGTCTCTACTAAAAATACAAAAATTAGCCGGGCATGGTGGCGGACGGACGCGTATAGTGCCAGCTACTTGGGAGGCTGAGGCAGAAGAATCGCTTGAACCCAGGAGGTGGAGGTTGCAGTCAGCTGAGGTTGTGCCACTGCACTCCAGCCTGGGCATCAGAGGGAGACTCTGTCTTAAAAAAAAAAAAAAAGAAAAAAAAAAGAAAAGAAAAGAAGCTGAAAATGGGGGCTGGGGTTGGGGGGCACAATGGCAAATTAGTTCAATCCACCCTAAGATATATTGTTGGTTTGATTTTGTTTTTTTCTGCACATCATTTTCTGAAGTTTGAATCTGAATGCTTTAGGACTTTAACCACTCATCTCAGTTGTCATTATACACAATTAATTAATTAAGAAGTAGATTCTGCTATTAAGACCAAGACCCAAAGTACCTGTGACTTCAATAAAACAAGAGTTTGTTTTTCTGTTATGTGACTGCCCAAGCATAAGCATTACAGAACTGGAATAATGGGTCTGTGGTGTGAGGGACTCAGGACCCTTCTATATTGTTACTCACCTATCTCTAAGGCATTGTGCTCATTGGAGTGGTTGAGGGTCACTCATTACCACTTACCACCAGGTATAGATTGCAGCTGCTAAGTAATAGGGAAGGGGAAGTGGGGTGGGGTGGTGGTGGTGGTGGGGTATGTCCATTCCTCATCATGGTACATTCCAGAAGTTACACACATCATTTCTGCAAATATCTCATGGGCCAGAACTGTGCTTCGCCCGGTTGCAGGAAAGCCTGAGAAGCATGGTGTGTATTCTGAGCAGGACTCCATCACTAATATTGGAAGTGCACCGGTAGCCTCTGCCAACCTTTTACCTGCTCAGAGTTTCCTGAGAGAACAACATAAGTGACTTTTCTTATTGCCCATCACAGGCCTACCCAGTACAGGTATCCCCAGGTGAATGTTGATTTAGTTTCTCGGGAACAAAAGTGGCTAGTTAACTAATGCTAATCATATACAGCAGTTTTAATGTACTAAAACTATAAAAAAAAAACAAAGGAAAGCAGTGCCACCTTTTGTTTGTCTGCTAGTGGCTGGCTCAAATTTGGCTTCATAGCCTTGTAACTGAACAGAGCAGAGGCAGTGCTCACACTCCTTGCTCGACTCAGAAGCCAACTACAGTCTGCAAAATCTGGTTTTCAAAATATGCAAATTAAGGTCAAACAACCCTACATCTGAGATTTAATGGCTAATCTGTTCAGACAGCTGCTTCTTAGCCATTAAATTACAAGGTGACTGAGTTCATTAAGATTTTCACACACAACTAACTCCTCAAATTGTATCTCATACTTTTCTAAGACTTTCATGGGCAAAGCTAGTCAGATGAGCTATGGTTATAGCAGAAAGAGGCAATCTGTCGCCATTTGTTTTCCAATAGACAAAGAGGCATTATTTTCAGGTTGATTAAAACTGGTCACTCAAGCCAAATTCCAGGATGAGGTCATGAAGATCAGTCACTGTGAGGTTTATTGCCAAAGGCAACTGGGGGAAAAAGAGTCCAGTTTTCTTTGCTGAAAGACATATTGCCAAAATTCAAATTAAACTTTAAAATTATACTACCTTTCTCCATGTTATCCCATATATATTAAAAATAACAAAGCCAAGCACAGGTCCTTAAACGTTAGCCTTATGCGTGGACATTGTTTAGTATTTACATTGGGTTAAATACTAAACGTTGGGTTAGTACCATTGGGTTAAACCAGTCATTGTTTATTATTTCTGCTGTTCTCTTTCTCTTCTCTGAAAATGGAAACCTATTTATTTTATAAAACTACACTTACAAGCAAAATATTTTGGAACATGTTTCATTCTGCTCATATAATGTACTTAACATTATTATTAAATATTAGAGAATTTTAATAAATGATAACTTCACCACTCATACTTTCTGATATTTAGTATAAACTACTTTATTTCCACCAAAATGTCTTACCAATGAATTAAAATTACTGTGAATTCTTAAAACACCTCTGACTCTGGTAATATAAGCATGTTATAAGAAAATTTCACAAGCTAAAAACAATAACAAAATAGCTCTTCTACCAAGCAAGAATTTGGAATCGACAAAGAGTTTTAGCACTTTGGGAGGCCCAAATGGGAGGATTGCTTGAGGCCAGAAGTTCAAGACCAGCCTGGGCAACATAGCAAGACTCCATTTGTACAAAAAAAAATTTTAATTAGCTAGGCATGGTGGTGTGTGCCTGTAGTCCCAGCTACTTAGGAGGCTGAGATGGGAGCATCACTTGAGCCCAGGAGGTTGAGGCTGCAGTGAGCCATGATTGTGCCACTGCACTCCAGCCTGGGTGACAGAGTGAGACCCTATCTCCAATTGCCTTTAACACTTTTTGTTAAGAGACAAGGTCTTGCTCTGTTGTCCAGGCTGCTGTGCAGTGCAGTGGTACCATCAGAGCTCATAGCTCAGTGCAGTCTTGAACTCCTGGACTCAAGAGATCCTCCTGCCTCAACCTCCCAACTAGCTGGGACTACAGGTGCTTGCCACCACACCCAGCTAATTTTTCAAAATTTATTTTAAGTTTTTTTAGAGATAGGGATCACACTATGTTGCCCAGGCTGGTCTCAAACTTCTGGCCTCAAGAAATCATTGTGCCTCAACCCCCTAAGTAGCTGAAATTACAGGTGCAAGTCACAGCACCTGGTTCAATTTACTCCTAATGTAGCATATATAGTACAAATTTAAGGAGCAAAATGAACTAGCATTGTTTGAACATAAACACGAGTCATTCAAGGTGAAATAATTTATTGCTAAAACCATGAATTGTTAATTTATGAGCTCATGATTTTTTTAAAAAGTGATCAGCGTTGGACTAAAACTGTCTTTTCTAACCAGTATGACCTTGAAATTCACAGGGCAAAAAAATGACTTTAAGTTGTAATTAATAAAAACCAATTATACAATGAATTATCGTGAATTCAAAAGGAAATAATTATGAGGCTTTAAGAAGTTCAATTGGTTCTTAGAATATAACAAAAAAAGCTTGAAAACATTTGAAAAAGTTCTATCTACTTGCTTCATTATTTATAAGTGAGAAAAACTGTCAGTAACCTAAATATCTTTTTATATGGTATGCTTAAAATGTCATTAAATGCTGCACTCAAAAGAATATGAAATATTAATAACATGGAAAATTATTACAATAGAATTCTAACTATAAAAAATAAGTAATCAGGTGTTTTTCCCTCAAAGGAATAAATCACTGATCTGGGAAAATAATTTTGATTGTCATCGATAGAAACTGCGAAACACCCACATTTGATGCCCGTGGCCCCGTGCTGTAATTTTAATAGTGAAATGTAGCAATGTAAACCTCGATTGAAATTTTCTCGGGTGGCATTTACTTGAAATCCATGCACGTTAACAACTTCTCCTCCCAGTGGGTCCCCAGGATCCTAGATATGACAGGTTTGGTAATGAGCTGGACTCTGTGGGATGCAGACGAGAAGCACCTTCATTTTTCTTCACTTTGATCATTAGGTATCTTCTGTCAGATCTCACTGCTCTGCCTCTGGCTGACAGCTTAGGCATCTCTCCTAGATTTCCAGTCCCTTTCAGATGTTAAAAGGTTTTCTTTTCAGGCAAAGTATTAAGAAGTCCAGTGTGATAACAATGAAAACTTTGATCTCTCTGGAGTCTCTCCCCCGCCCTCCACAGACCAGGAGTGGGGAAGGGGGTGGTCTCCTCCGTATCTTCACAACGCCTCCATGTGGCTCCTCCACTTTTCTTCTCTCACTCACTGTGCACCCTTTTGGCTCCTCCAGGGTTAGAGGAGGTTGGCAGGGAGAGGACAGGTAAGGGGGTAAATAGGTTTGACTCAATGGGTGCTGTTGTAACCTGGTGTTACTGACCCCTGCATGGCAGATGTGCCAAAGCTGGCTTTCTCTTTTGGGGGTTCTTTGAGGACTCTGCCCTCAGACACGTGCATCACTCTATGTGCTTGATATGCTCCCCCAGTAGCTGCTTACTCCCACTGCCCCAGTCATGTTTCTGGTGGGATATTCCACAGGCTCTTTGAGCAAAGGTGGCCACGCTGGCCTCACCTCGAGGGAGGTACAGCCACCATCACCTCCACTGCAATCCCTCACTTCGCTCTGCTTCAGGAGCAAGTCCAGAGGACCTCACACCTTAGAAGTTTCTAGGCAGAAGTCAGGCCCCAGATCCTCCAAACTCTGGAAGTCATGTGTCAAACTCTTCTGTGAACTCTCTCAAGAGACTCCACTCCCGTGCCAATGCCTCCTAAGGGTTTATGGACCCCCCTCACTCAGGTTGAGGTGGGAGAGGGCAGCATTCTTCTCTCTCCCACTGGAAGGATAGGGGCCACACCACAGAGCTCAGCATCTACCAGACTTTTAAGAAATCCTCATTCTCAATTCTTCGCTAAGCATAGAAGAAGTAACAGAGGCAGTGTGGAGTCACCTCTTAGCAAGTACTATAGAGATGATCTATCACCTCTTTTCAGAATATGGGGGTACATGCCATCTACTGCTCTCAACTTTGCAGCCTCAATTGAAATAAAGAAAAATCATGTTTTCCTTTTATGGATGATACCTCTTACTCATTAATAAATAAATTTTCTCTACCACCTCTGCTCAAAGCCAACGGATTATTCTAAAAATTAAATGGTAAGTCAGTTTCAAGTACTTTGGCTTTTCTGCTCAATCACTCCAAGACCCTTGAGGCTTTCTTAAATAGAATATAGGAATGCTTACATCAGTTTATTTTCTGCAATGACTCATAACTGGGCTTCAGACAGGACCAGGCTTGTCTGCTGAACTGGTAAGGCAGGCCTGCCAGGAGGGTTTGCTTTGTTTTGCTGACTGAAAAAGAAGAGAGGCAGGGTGCCCAAGATGCAGAGGCCAGGAGAAGCTGTGAGGGAACATGGCAGAGTCTCAGTGATGTTCCCCTTGGCCAGCCCCATAAATTTGGGTTTGAGTCCTATGGAGAAAGTGGCTACTGGCACACATGAAAGGAACTGTTTTCATAAGGGATTCTGAGACACTGTGAGACATGAGGATGCAGGCAGGGTGAGGAGGAGGGGTCTTCTGTCCAGTTAGGCATAGGGCACAGCATAGCTTCAGAACACTAAGAACTCAGAAGAGGGCAGCACGCTAGTGTGTGCAGCTTTGGGGTGGTGTCAAGAGTCAGCATCTGTGGCCAGAACATCAGTCGAATCTCAGTGGTCTCCCATGACAGTGGCAGTGGATATTAATTAGCTAGATCCTAGAAAACTCCTCAAAGACAGTTAATCTAAGTATCTTCTATGTATTCAACCAGCTCCAAGTGTAGGTTGTCTGGGTAATATTCAGTCCCCCTCCAAATGTTGCTCTTCCCATTTAACCAAGTCATACAACTTCATATAAAATACTGGCAAGAGAACAGGATAGCTTCAGTATCAACTCCCATTTGAGAAAAGAGAGAACACAATAGTTCCTGGACTGTGACATATGTTTTTTCCTCCTGGACAGGAACAGCAGGGACTCCATGCCTTGGCAGTCCTTGGTCTACCTGTCAGCTGCACCAGCTTCTGCTCTTAGGGGAAAAATCTCCTTTGCTCATGGATTTCCTTCATCACTGATTCTGCTTTCTGAAGCTCTCCCTCAAGACCTCCCAGAATCACAGTGGAGATTGGGACTGGTCTTCCAGTGGCTGTATCTCTTTTGAGACTATTTTCAATTGGTATGAATTCTGGGGGCTAAAGGAGGTTGAGCAATTGAAACTGTTGGGACATATGCTTAAAAGCTCTGTGACCATATAACTCCTTAACAAACTTGGTAGGCTTCAATTCCATAGGCTATTAACTCATGCTTTAGAACCATTTGAGTCATCAACCTTGAGCATGGAATCTGGCCTTCAAAATTCTTTATTCTCTCAACAGGCCTGGGTGCCTGTGCTGGTTTTTGGACACTCCCTTGGTCTCTGCCTCAGGACAATTTGAAACAATAGACTTAGCTGGGCACAATGGCTCACACCTGTGCTTTGGGAGGCTGAGGTGGGAGGATTGCTTGAAGTCAGGAATTCAAGACCAGCCTGGCCAACATGGTGAAACCCTGTCTCTACAAAAAATACAAAAATTAGCTGGGCGTAGTGGCACACACCTGTAATCGCAGCTACTCGGGAGGCTGAGGTACAAGAATGAGAATCGCTTGAGCCTGGTGGCTGAGGTTGCAGGTGAGCTGAGATTGTGCCACTGCACTCCAGCCTGGGCGGCAGTGCAAGACTCTCTGTCTCAGAAAAAATAAAATAAAATAGACTGAGGTAGGGCAGCAACCATTAATCTGCTCCTTCCCTGCAGCCACATCCAAACTGGCATTCACAATGAGACTCATTGTCCCTGTTGCACAGGACGAGAGGTACTTGGGGAGGGCTCAAGGGGTCATGTGTCTCCTGGATGCCATAGTGTCTCCAACTATGGCTCTTGCTTGCATCAACATTAGGTTAGGGAGATAATTTGTTTTGTTTTCTTTTTTCCAGATATTACAAAATGTGGATCTTCAGCTAAGTTTACACTATAGCTAGAAGAGGCTCTTTTAGCAAAGTGGTGTTTTCTTCTCTCTCTATCAAAGAGCCATTTATTGGGATATTATTATTAATTGAATGTCTAATTAGTACTTATTATAGCTCTTTGATAGTTACTGCTTATATGCTATGTGTAAATGCACATTATGTTCAGGGCCCCTAAATAATTTGCAGAGTTTAGTACAAAATAATAATGCAAGATTCCTTGTTCAGAAAAAAAATGCTGTTAGTTATATTTACTAAAATATAAAACTCCTTTCTTTCCCAGTCTCTCTCTCAACTTGTCCTGTGTTTATAATTTTCTAATTAATGTCATTCTAAGTAAAAAGAAGTAAAATTTTAAATTAATACTATGAATTTTAGCATTTGCTTTTATATTGTACAATGCCAGTTTTAAATGTAAATAAATAAGCATTTAACTTCTATGTGGACTCACTGAAATTACACAATTTGCCTTTTGTAGCTTATACATTAATATGTATTTTGCTCTTACCAAACAGTGGAAATCTTGTGCAAAATTAATTCAACTGTTTTTATCTTGCTTCTTGATACATGGGTATTCTACCAACACTCTCTACCTGTGCTTTATGGCTGAGGGAAGAATGACTGAAAGAAAAATGAACTATAGGTTGCCATATCTTTGCCTTTCCTTCTATGTTATAATTTTCAACATAAATGGTTGGCTAATATAGGAAAATAACATGAATTTTTAAAGATGTGGGTCAAGCGCAGTGGCTCACGCATGTAATCCCAGCACTTTGGGAGGCTGAGGCGGGTGGATCATGAAGTCAGGAGTTCGAGACCAGCCTGGCTAATATGGTGAAACCCCATCTCTACTGAAAATATACAAATTAGCCAGGCATGGCAGCACACGTGTGTAGTCCCAGCTACTCAGGAGGCTGAGGCAGGAGAATTGCTTGAACCCGGGAAGTGGAGGTTCCAGTGAGCCGAGGTCACGCCATTGCACTCCAGCCTGGGCAACAGAGTGAGACTCTGTCTCAGAAAAAAAAAAAAAAAAAGATGTCATGGGATTCCTTGGTTGTTAATATTTCTCAGAATGTCATTGCCTTCTTTCTGCATTGCAAGTTTCTTTCTCAGAATGTCATTGCCTTCTTTCTGCATTGCTTCTGCAAAGCAAGTTTTGGTTCAAATAGAAAGCATGGCCTCCAGGGGAGGTCAATACCGTCATATTGCAGTGTAGACATAACATATTTGTAGTTGTAGACATAAAATATTTGCTTTGTTCTTACTTTGTCTTTCTGAAATCCCATGTACAGTTAAGTCCACCAGAATTCTGTGCTCATGCGCATCTCAGACAACACAGTATATGCAAAAAAGGCGGCAAGAAATAGAGGGCACACATATTGCATGTGTCTCCTCTGCTCGTGTGCATGCTCTATTTTTCCATCAGAGTTTACATACACACATTTAAAGATAAAATTTTTAAGAAATCCAGATGGCAACAGCAGAGCATTAAACCAAGCATGGAACCCTCCTAAGCACTGGGCCCTCTGTGACTCCACGGGCTGCATACCCATGAAGCTGGACTTGCCTGTGTCATTATGCAGTAGGCACTATTCTAAATGCTTTATATTTTCATGAATTTAATCCTTTCAATACGGCGAACAATTCATATTTGGACTATATAATGTTCTCTGACTAACAGCGGTGTGGTCAGGATTTATCTGAGTGTGCCTTTGCCTGAAACTGTAATATCAAAATGTCACTTCTTACGGTATTTCTGCTTAGTATGTTTTGAGGTGAAAAAGTCATAAGGACAACAAAAGGAGACATTGCTGAAGAAATGGTATAACTTTTAAAGATTTGCTACAGCAGAGAGTTGTCAACCAAATGGTCATTATATGAGGTAAGTCTGTATTAATTATGATTACATGGCTGAAAAACATGCTAAGTAAGATTCTGGAAACCAGGTTTCATCTATTTTTGCTCTACTATCTTTAGTATACAGAATTCATCGCCATGATGACTGCTCAGAAGATGACTGCTCCAATGTAGGCACTGCATTTACAGTCTAAGGAGAAAGAAGGAAAGTAACCCATCCTTGAAGACTTCTTTCAACATTTCAGCATCCACAACTGTGTTCTCTTTAGCTGCAAGGGAGTCTGGGGAGGTGTGTCTTTTAGCTTTTCAGTCTCTCTAGTAGAGAAAGGCAAGGGAAAGGGTTTGTGAGAGGCTCTTGGATAGGCTGTCTCCAGTGTCCACCTCAGTCTGCCCCTTTGCTCCACAACATTCATGCCTTTCCTTATTTCCATATATTCATTTCATATGGAATATGTTTATCCCTTCCCCTAAGAAACACAACCCTCAACTCTCATTTAGTTACTACATCCAGATCCAAGTCCAGAATCTCTCTGTGGTATCCAGTTCTTTCCAACAGTTCTGATTATGGTTCCATGGGACCTTATAAACTTAGGCTTAAAACTAAAGATATCCAGTCTAAACACACCCAGTATACAATGGTTGGGGAAGAAACAAGATAACTACAGTCAAAACTCCCATTTGGAAAGGTGTGGTTAGGAAACAAACATCCCTTATTACATCCTGCTGGACAGGAAGAATGAGGCTCTTGCCTAAGACCCTGGCTCTGCCCTCCAGAGAAATCTTCGTCATTTATTTTCCTTTGCCTCCTGGTTATCCATTTTGAAGGAGACATTCCCTGTGAACTGCCATAACTACGTCTGAAATTAAAATTTGGAAGGATTTTCTTCCAGCATGCTTCTCAGCTTTTGCAGACATTTTTTCAGTCTTAGAAGTCAGTTAGTGACAAGGTGTCAAACAGTCTTGAGTTTGTTTTTGTTTCATCGTGTTTTTTTGTTGTTGTTGCTTTGTGGTTGTTTTGCAGTACAATCTCCCTATAAAATAACTAGGTTTCTCTATTGGTTTTCTTTCATTTGCCCCTTCAGAACTACTCTCTACCAATCTCAACCCTGCTGTGTTCTGGGAAGCTGACCTGGATGCCTGGCCTCAATGTTTCCACTGCTCTCTGACTTTCTGTTGGGTTTGGCCAATAAAGGGAACCTGAAGGTCATCCCAGGGAGAGAGGAGCGGGAGATCAGGGTGTGTTTTTCACCAGATTTCTTTCTGCTGGGTTGCCATGGTCCTACCAAAGACAGCAGCTCCTATCAAGCACCCTTCTCTGAATTCTGATAACTGCTCCCTCCCATGCCCTTCAGGTCCAAGAATGGAAATGACTCCCTGCTAGTACTCACCCCGGGTTGCTGCACTCACTGTGGTTCCCCTACATCCTCTTCACATCTTTGTCAAGTGTTCCTTTTCAAAACTCTCCTCAAACCACCCAAATTCAGTGCGCTACCTATTTCCTGCCAGGATTCTAATGCTACAACATCCAGTTTATTTGTTTATGTAGGTATATGTATTCTGGAAAATTACATGATGTCATGAAAAGTTGCATGAGCTATTTCAGAGACTTGAAATTTATTCTTATTCAACAGATGGGGAATCAAACCGATCATGCATTATAATACAGCCAAATATATATTATTGTTGCTATATAGCCAAAAGTCATATAAGTGTTTGAAAGTAATAGACTAATGATGCAATAAGATGAATATGCCATTCAAATTCATGGATGGTTTTAAAAATTAGTGACAGATAGGTATATTATTATTTCTTCCATTTTACGATAAGTGAAGTCAGAGAAGTAACTTGGCCATGGTCATATGATAAATAGCCAAGCTGGGATTTGACCCCAAGGAGTTTGGCTCCAAAGCCTGGGCTCTTAACTCCACCCACTGTTTCTCTGGGCAGTACCTGGAAATAGCTGGACTTCAGGCAGGTTGGTCAGGTATGGCACAAATATTGGAAACCTCAGATCTGAAATTTTAAAACCAACATGGTGCCATGTAATTTCTTACAGTTAAATAAAGAGACAGTTTGGGACCTGAGAAACGGAGATCTTTTGAAAACCATGGGATTCTATGACTTTTAGAAACTAACCACCATGTTCAGGTTGAGTTAGTTTCCCCTTTCTCTATGTTTCCATGACTTTGTGAACACACCCTATTTTAGCTTGTATTACAGTGTTGTAATTGGTTTTATATATCTGTTGTCTTCTGGTTTGTGAGCTCTTCAAGGAAAAAAAATATGTCTTATCCATCTTCACTAATGTTCTATATTATGTGTCATTTAATGAAGGGCCAATTAATATCTGGTCTATAAATATTCATCTAATCGTATCTTAATTTAGCATCCATAAAGCTAGTTACAATGTAGGTGAACTTCTATGGGTTTATTGTCATTGGCCACTACATATTTTAGGAGGCAATTAGTATTTTTATTCTTATCAGTATTGAGACAAATATTAAGATTTAATATAGACATATATTAAATACTAATAGCTAGGCAACAAGAGATTAAAAATAAAACAACGACAAGAATAAACAAAAACCTGGTTTCCCTAAATTAGGCTTAAAAAACATGAATCAAAAAAAGGGATTTTATTAATTATATCCTAAAAATGTTCTGGTTTATATCCAGCTCAGTTAGCCCCTTTAAGGATCTGCTCCCAGACCAGGGAAGCACACAGAGTCCATGATCACCTTCTTTGGAAGCTGCACAGACAGTACAGTAAGAGATAACACCATGCTTCCTACTCTGTTGCTCTCTGCTTCAAGTTAGAAAGTTGAGTTTACATAAACTTTCTTACTGCTTTATTTTATGTGTCAAGTTCCTTCTCTGCTTCTCCAAGCAAGAAAAATATTATTGAGATATTTACCCTATCTCATTTCCTCTTCCTTCAACATTCCAGCGGGGTGGGGAGAGTGTTGGAAGGCGGTTTGTCTGAGCATGACTATTGTGACTGCTCTGTGTTGCTGAATCTTATCCTTGGGAAAAACAGCATGGACTTTGGGCAGATTCTACCTGGTTTGACAAATAAGCTCAAGCCATGTGCTTATTTACATCTATCTCTCCTAGGAACAGAGAATTCATTCAACAATATTCACTCAGCAAATGCTTTCTGAATGTTTACTTTGTGCCAAACACCATTCTAAGGACAAGACTAGAGAGACAGTTTCTAGTCTGGAGTAGTTTAAAACCTATTAAGGAGATAAGATGATCTCACATGGAATAAACTGTGAAAAATATAGAAGATAATTATGATATATGATATGATATATAATACAAGCCATGGTATAATAAGTTATCTAACTTATCATAAGTTTTGGGCAGGGGGGTTTGAGACAGGGTGTCACTCTGTTGCCCAGGCTAGAGTGCAGTGGTACAATCCTAGCTCACTGCATCCCTGAACTCCTAGGCTCAAGCAATCCTCCCACCTTATCCTCTCAGACTACAGAAACACATCACAATGCCTGGCTAATTTTTAAAATTTTTTTTTAGCGACAAGGTCTCACCATGTTGCTCAGGCTGGTCTCAAACTCCTGGCCTGAAGCAATCCTTCTAACTTAGCCTTCCAAATAATTTTTTTAAAAATTAACCTTTTTATTTTGAAATAGTTATGTGTTGCTTAATGATGGGGTTACATTCCAAGAAATGCATCGTTATGTGATTTTGTTATTGCGTGAGCATCGTAGACTGTACTTACACAAACCCAGATGGTACAGTCTTCTATACACCTAGACTGTATGGTATTGGCTATTGCTGCTAGGTTACAAACCATGTTACTGTACTGAATACTGTAGGCAATGGTAAGTATTTGTGTATCTAAACATACAAAAGGTAGAGTAAAAATATGGTATTATAATCTTATGGGACCACTGTTGTATACACAATCTGTTGTTGACTGAAATATCATTATGTGGTACAAGACTGTAACTGTAGATTCATGTGGAGTTGTAAGAAGTACCTTTTAACCAGTTTCATCCCAAGGGTAACATCTTACCAAACTATAGCACAATATTGCAGCCAGGATATTGACATTAATACAGTCAAAATACAGAATATTTCCATTGTTTCTGTGAGTATGAGGATGCCTCAAGTTGTGCTTTTATAGACGCACCCATTTTCCTCTTGATACCACCCCCTCCTTAACTCCTGGCAAACACTAATCTATCCTCCATTTCTATAAATATATTATTCTAGTTGAATCGTAAGTATTTAACATCTTGGGATTGGCTTTTTTCACTCATCACAATTATCTGGGGATTCCTTCAGGTTACTATTGGTATCAGTAGTTCATTCTTTTCATTGTTGAGTAGTATTCTATAGTATGGATATACCACAGTTTGTTTAACCATTCACCTATTGAAGGATCTCTGTGTTGTTTCCAGTTTGGGACATTACAAATGAAGTTGTTATAAATGTTCATAAACATGTGTATTTTGTGAACTTACTTTTCATTTTTCTGTGATAAAGACCCAGGAGTTCAATTACTTGGTGATATAGTAGCTGTAGGTTTAGTTTCTTAAGAAACTCCCAAACTGTTTTCCAGAGAAGCTGTACCATTTTACATTCCCACCAACAACATATGAGTGATCCGGCATTTGGTCTTGTCACTGTTTTTAACATTGGCCGTTCTAATATGTGTATAGTAATATCTCATGATTTTAATAGACTTTTTTAAGATAAGTTTTAGGTTCACAGCAAAATTGAGTGAAAGGTGCAGAGATTTCCCGTACATCCTCTACTCCCACACATGCACAGCCTCCCCCATTACCAACATCCCTCTGGCTCCAAAGCCTGGGCTCTTAACTACATTGAGCCCATGCAGTTGAACCTACATTGACACGTCATTGTCACTTAAATTACACAGTTTACATTAGGATTCACTCTTGGTGTGGTACAATCTGTGGGTTTGGACAAATTCATATGATATGCATTCACCATTATAGTATCATACAGAGGAGTTTCACTGCCCTAAAAATCCTCTGTGTAGGGGATGTCGATAATGGGGAAGCTATGCATGTGTGGAGGCAGGAAGTATATGGGATATCTCTCTAGCTTTTCCTCAACTTTGCTGTGAACCTAATACTGCTCTAAAATAAAGTCTTGGCCGGGCATGGTGGCTCAAGCCTGTAATTCCAGCTCTTTGGGAGGCCGAGGTGGGTGGATCACTTGAGCTCAGGAGTTCGAGACCAGCCTGGCCAACATGATGAAACCTTGTCTCTACTAAAAATACAAAAAATTAGCTGGGCATGGTGGTGCACGTCTGTAATCCCAGCTACTCTGGTGGCTAAGGCATGAGAATCGCTTGAACCTGGGAGGTGGAGTTTGCAGTGAGCCAAGATCAAGCCACTGCACTCTATCCTGGATGACAGAGCAAAACTCTGTCTGAAAAATAAAATAAAGTCTTTAAAATAAAAAGCATCCAGGTCCCAACTATTCACCCCTTCCCTCTAGTTCCTTGCAACCATTCAATGTGGTTTTAATATGTGATTCTCTAATGGCTAATGATGTTGATACTCGTTTTGTTTATTTACCATCTGTACATCTTTGGTGAAAATCCTCTTCATGTATTTGCCAATGTTCTAAATGGACTGTTCACTTTTTTACTTCTGAGTTTTGAGAGTTCTTTCCATGTTCTCAATACTAGTGCTTTGTTTGGATATGTGGCTTGAAAATATTAATATTTCCTCTCTGTGTCTATCTTGTCCTTTATTTTTTTACCAGATCTTTCACAGAAAAAAATTTTAATTTTGATGATGTCTATTTATCAACTTTTAATCAATCATACTTTTGGTGTCAAGTCTAAGAACTCTTTGCCAAAATATAAAAAGACTAAAAGTTTATATATTTTTTCTAAAAGTTTTATAGTTTCACACTTAAGTCCATGATCCATTTCAAGTTACTTTTTGTATAGGGTGTAAGATTTATGTTGAGGTTCTTTTTTTTTGGCAAATGGATATCAACTTGCTCCAGCACCATTTCTTGGCAATATTTGCTTAATTTTTTTTTGTAAAAGATGCAAATGTTGGGCATATTTTTGTGGGTTTGTTTCTAAGTTCTCTATTCTGCCTCGTTGATCTATGTGTTTATCCCTTCTCCATTGTCACACAGTCTTGGTTACTGTAGTTATATATAAGAAGTTTTTTTATTGAGTAGATTTATTATTCTTACTGTATTCTTTTTCAAAAACAATTTCTAGCTACTGTAGTTACTTTTCTGTCTAAATAATTTTGGAATAATTTTGTGTATATCTACAGAAAGTCTTGCTGGGATTTTGACAGGAATTGTTACACCTCTATATCAATAGGGGAGAACTGACAATTTTATTATATTGAGTCTTCAAATTCATGAACATGGTATGTCTGCACATATTTTGTTAGAGTTACACCTAAGTATGTATATCATTTGGAGTGACAACTGTAAATGGTGGTTTATTTTTAATTTTGATTTCCGAGTATTCACTGCAGCGAGAGTGGCCTCATTATTGTTGCACAATGGTGCAAGGCCTGACTCTCTCCTAAGCCTCCTCTGAGACCACTCTGGGAAAAGGAAGTGGGCTGGAAAACAGGCTTTCTACTTGGCCATCTCTAACATCACCACAGTTGGACTGTTGGGTGCCTCATTACAGCCTCACAAGTGTGGAGGTCTAGTGAGAGTATAATGTAATGTATCCAATGTCACATATATAGTAAATAGTGAATTCTGGAATAAACTCAGGTCTCTGTGATGCCATAGACCATTTTTTTAATCACTAGACCTTACTATGTGATAAGAGAGAGAGCTCAGATTATGACCTACTAAAATCTAAGCAACTAATCAATGCCTTGGAAGATGAATAAAATGATAAAATTTATGTTAAAGGAAGATTGACCTGTTAGTGGAAGGAAGAATATACTAAATATGGGAAAATAAAATCAGTGCCTGGCTACAGTAGGCTTGATTGTTCTGTTCTTTTTTTTTTTTTAAGATGGAGTTTTGCTCTTGTTGCTTAGGCTGGAGTGCAGTGGTGCGATCTCAGCTCACTGCAACCTCTGCCTCCTGGGTTCAAGTGATTCTCCTGCCTCAGTCTCCCAAGTAGCTGGGACTACAGGCACCCGCCACCACATCCAGCTGATTTTTTATATTTTTAGTAGAGATGGGGTTTCACCACATTGGCCAGGCTGGTCTCAAACTCCTGACCTCAGATGATCCACCCCCCTCGGCCCCCACAAAGTGCTGGGATTACAGGCGTGAGCCCCTGCACCAGGCTGATTGTTCATTTTTATGTTCAGTTCATTCATTCAACCAATGTTTATTGCATGCTATGTTAGTCAGGGTTCTACTAGAGAAACAGAACCAGTCGGATATATATGTATACATACATACATACAACCCACTGGCCATGTTGATATTGAATCTTGGTTCCTGGGTATCTGAGCTTGATGGGGTTTGCCTTCCCAAGAAGATCATGAGTAGAAGGCCAGAGTGTGAGTCTAAGACAAAGCTGTGGTCAGGTCCTTGTCAAGGACCACATGAGGGAAACTGCCCTGTGTTGAATAGTGTCTCCTGTAACTTCATGTCCACCAAGAACCTCTAATTGTGATCTTTAGTTGGAAATAAGGTCTTTGCAGATGTAATAAAGATAATGTCATACTGGATTAGACTGGGCCCTAAATCTAATGATTAGTATCCTTATAAGAAGAGGGAAATTTGCACATACATAGAGACACAGAGGGAGGAAGGCCATGTGAAGACAGCAGATATTCCAAGGATGCGTTTAACAGCCAATGAATGCCAAAGACTGCTGGAAACCACATGAGGATAGAAGTAGCAAGGAAGAATTCTTCCCAAGAGCCTTTAAAGGGAGTGTGGCCCTACTGACACCCGGGTTTTGGACTTCTGGCCTCCAGAACTGTGAGATAATAAATTTCTATTGTTTTAAGCTACCCAGTTGGTGGTAATTTGTTACAGCAGCCCTAGGAAACTAACACAGAAACCAAGTCAGTGAGCATTGTAAAGATGGGAGAAGATCAAAAATGGAGACAAAACTAAGAAGTGGGAATGAGGTGGAAATGCCCAGAGCAGGTTAAGGTAGAATTGAGGAATATTCTTGGTGGAGAAATAAAATGACAGTGTCTGTGCCTTGTATTATTGGCCTGGCATGTGGCGTGACAGAATGGTTTAAGGCCACAGGGCTGGAGTCATCACGGGCATAAGCGTTTTTGAAGACCTATGTTTTGTGGCCACTAGGGGAGCAATCGGGAAAAATGTAAGTAAGGACAGAAAGATGACAATTCTTAGGACTGATTTAAAATGCAAAAAGGAAGAGGAGTCATCAAAGGAGACAGAGAAAGAATGGTGAGAGAGATGGGTAAATCGTATAGTAATAATTACCAACAGGAAAGAAGGATGAGGGCTCCCCTTAACTAGACCACAGCATCCTGAGTTTAAGGTCTTTATATTTTCAGTGCCCATGAGAGTGCTTGGTCCACAATAAATACTTAATAAATGTTTTTCAAATTAATAAAGAGCCATTTTCTAATACAAGAGATACTGGTGAGAATGAAGATAGAAAAGGGGGTCTCTGACTTAAGCAAATAGGAGATCCTGAAATTCTAATAATAAACTCCTATAATGGACTGATTCTTGAACTCAGAGCATATTAGAAGTGAGAGAAACCTAAAAAAGTATGTAGTATACCTCCACTTTATATACGAGGAAACTGGGATCTAGAGATACTGCTTTTGTGACCTGGGCTGTTTGAACTGAAGGTATCTTACATTACTAAGACAGGTGACTTTGTGTGTTACAGCTGACAACAATCCCCCTTGAATTATCAGGTTTCTAATTAATTGTTTTCAAGCCTTAAAGGTCAGTATCATTCAAGCTTAGTTGTTAAAAATAAAACTAATAATTGTTGGACTACAGTGGTAAAATAGGAAAGCTCTGATTAGAAAAAGGAAGAAAAGTGATAAAGAATACATTTCATAATAATTTGGGGTCACCATCTATAACCCAAACTCCCTTTGAAGGACGGATAGGTTTGCATAGAGAGAATTTAATGTAACACTTAGAGTTTGAGGACAAGGACAGCAGGTCTGGTACTGCTCTTGAGTTTCCAATCAGAAAATGATCACTGTAACGGTACGTCAATTTAATAACCATTAGATTTACTCCAAATTAGATATTTTCATGACTCATATCTGACATCCTTGCTGAGAGTTTGGCAGCAAACGACTGTGGCAGAGCCCCCAAGTGGACGATGAAAGAGCAGCATCTGTAGCAGCAGTGAGAGGGCGCAAACCCCCAAGTCTACCAGAGGAGAGAGCTCCGGGCTGAGGAAACCCTGCCAACATGGTGGAGCTTCCAGAGCCCAATACCAGAGCCTGTTTATTACACAGCTAAGAAAGAATAAAAGCGATCCTTTGAAATGTTGGTCATCCCTCAAGGTATGTTTTTTAATCTCCTAAGACTCTGACTGATCTCTCTACTATGGTTTTTTGCTTTTTTAACATCCAAGAGGATAAGATATTCTGCCCCAATACAAACCTGAGGGATCTGACACATCAGACATCTGGCAGAGATTCTGCTTAGAAAGTAGCTCTAGATTGAAGGCTATTATCCCAACGTCACTTCAGTCAAGGTGTCCTGATTTGCTTTGAATTTAATTTCCTTTGATTGGAATTTTTGAAAAAAAGAACAAGAATAAAAAGTAATAGGCTTGTGGAAGTGGAAGGCATGCCAGGTTTCTGCATCTGGTAGCTCAAACAAGGTGAGACTTTGAGGCCTTGGGAAGGAAAAGAAGGCGGGGAAGTTGCTAAGACAACTGATTAAATGACAACCTGATGAAGCAGAAAATTCTCTAAATCCAAGGTGAAGAATTGCCTCAGGAAGCACCAAAATTTCCATCAGACACACATTGCAAAAACAAAGGTCACATCCTATCCAATTTTTAATTTTTTGTTTTTGATGTGTGAAGCATGCAAATTAGAAGAAAATGCAGGCAATTATCAAGATCACTTATACAATACCAATCCTGTGCCAATACATCATTGCTCTTGCTTTATGCTTTTGTGGATTCCTCAAGATTATAACCAGCTTAAATCCCATTTACTACTTGTGCTCAAAAATAACATTCATGTACTGAAAAGTAACTTCTTACTGAGATATGTTAGAGAGGAAAAATTAAAACTATGGTTATTTTTACTGAAAGTTACGAATAACTATCTTAATGATTCAATGGAAAAGATGGAAACAAGAAATCTGACTGATTTAACAAAATTTGCTCTCTCCTACCTAAAGTAAAAAGCAGAATGAGACACATTCAACTTAGTCGGACCCCTGACAGAAACTGAATACATTTTACTGACCCAGAGGCAGCTGCCACATTCATCACAGCCTGATTCTTTAATATAATAGAAGGTGATTTATGGTTACCAGTTAGAAATATTGCATGAAATAATGGAATAGTAAGGCTATTCAGAGGAAATTAAAATTGACCGATAGATTTACAATAGCTACCAGGCTTAACTTTTAATATATACATATAAGGAGACCACTAATGTTTGTCATTTAAATGGGAAACTAAATTATATTTAATGTGGTATATTTTCCAGTACCTTGCTTGATTTACCTTAACCCATACAATCACAGCATTTGTCATGTATTTTACAGAAAGTATTAATTCATTTTTTGTTGTTGTTGAGAAAAGATGTAAATGTACAACAGCCTAGAGCTGAAGAGGCTAATCAGTTTTACAGATCAAAAGAATACCTTGTAAAGCTAAATAGCATGTACATCCATAGTTGAATTGTATCAGATTCTACAGCACAAGAGACAGAATGTTACTGGGCTACTTGGGTACTTCATTTGAGCTTTAGGCAAATCACTTCCACTATGGTTCTTCATAAGAAAGAGAAATCAAGCTGAGACAAAGAGGAATGCATGTCTCAAGAACATGCCTCTGGCCTTTAATCCATTAAATTATCCCATAGTTTTTCTTTGCTCTTTTAAGTAGATGCTTCTAGGATGCATCAATATGATTTGTGGGTACTTGGAGCAATTCAGGAAATGACAAAAAGTGCCCTGATTACCTATAGATAATTTACTTGCTTCTGAAGTGAAAGAGCTTATACTCATCAAAATAAGATTTGTCAGATAAATTTAAATAAATAATGAGAGAACTGGGTTCATGACCTTCCCTGTCCCAAGTCATCTGTCTAAACAGCTTCTAGAAGGATCCTTCCCTTTCTCCTGCTCTGATATTCCCACTACTTGGACATCTGAGATTTTCAAAGCCAAAGATAGTCAACTGTTTATTTTATGTCTTCATTTTATTGTTTTCTGGGGGGAAGAGACAGGGTCTCATTCTGTTACTCAGACTGGAGTACAGTGGTGCAATCTCGGCTCGCTGCAACCTCCGCCTCGTGTATTCAAGCAATTCTCCTGACTCAGCCTCCCGAGTAGCTGGGACTATAGGCGTGAGCCACCACACCCAGCTAATTTTTGTACTTTTAGTAGAGATGGGGTTTCTCCATGTCGACCACGCTGGTCTTGAACTCCTAACCTCAAGTGATCCGCTCACCTTGGACTCCGAAAGTGCTGAGATTACAGGTGTGAGCCACCACGCCTAGCCTATATCCTTCATTTCTGTCCTGGATCTCCATTCATACTGCCACCAATTGTTTTTAAGAACTTTTCCAGTATTGGGGAATCTATATTTTTTTAAAATACCCTGTTGGAGTTACCTTGGCTCTCTCTGCGTGGAGAAGCCTAGTTGTGTGAATACCCCAGACACTTCACTAACCTCATGCTGGCATCTTTCAGCAAAGTAGCTTTTCAAAGCCATTTTGAAAAGTATCATCTGACCCTCACAACCTTAGGGAAACACTATCATCCCTATTTGCAGCTAAGAAAAAGTAAGAGTGAGAGAAGAAAAATTATGTTGTAACAATCTAATGAGACAATAAATTTTCCCTATTTGCAGCTAAGAAAAAGTAAGAGTGAGAGAAGAAAAATTATGTTGTAACAATCTAATGAGACGATAAATTTTTTCTCCTGTCCTGCTACCTGAGGACCATTCAGCATGCTGCCAGCAAAGAAGAAAGACTCTTCCAGGTGGCTGTTAATACGTAGTACACAAAAGATGATCTACTTGCTGTTTGGTAAAAGAAATGTATGGGTCCTTTCATTCTAAGGAAAACTATGACCTTTAGCTAAGTCTTAAAGTATCATATAATGGGTATTATCAGAGGGAGTAGATGAAAACATACAATGACTTTATTCCATTTTGGCTTGCTCAGCTCAGCAAATGTAGCAGGAGGTAAATCCATTTTGTCCTTGTGTGTCTGTCCTATCAGCTACACTACAATCAAAATTTTTCTGCAGGACCATAACCACTGAGGAAGTAAATGGGCACCTTATTCAACAGGTGATCGTCATGGCACTTATTATGTGTTGAGAGTGGTAGGAAACTGCCCCTCTACTAGGACTGCTCCCCAATATCTAAGCATCTAAGCATCCATGATTCTTATGACTCTTGAATAAAGGCTTGCACGATAATATTGCTTTTTATAATTTTATTCCAAGAAAGAAGAGTCTCTTAAGGATAGTTGACACTTTACTGGCTAATAAGAATTATGTAGCCCCTAACATAAAACTTTTCACCTTGAACTTCAATTTAATGCCATTTGCAGTAACTAGCCTAGGTTTGGGGATATATTTATTTCTGTCTTCTAGTAACAGGGCTTTTAATTTATGAATCAGCTGGGAAATATGCCTGCAAATAACAGAATACCCAAATAGGAGTTTTTATTTCACACACCAAGAGGTCCAGAAGTAGGCAGGTTTACTGTTGATTAATACAACAGCTTAACAGAGATAGCCCGGACTGGTTTCTCCTAGCTCCTCTTGGCTTTCTCCTCATTGTCACAAAATGGCTGCTGCAATATCAACTATAAATTCCTCATATTACAACAGCCAAGACAGGCTTCTGATAATAAAAGTAACTTCTACTAGAATTGTCCACCTTCCATAAACAACTAGAAAACTAGACAAAATAGGTGAAACGCTGGACAATACATGGCTCAGTACTGTGATCCCTGAGAGCAGGGTAACAAACAAGGTAAGCCCTGTGAAAATCCCAGCTTTCTGCCTGGAGCCACCTTCTGGACTATAGTGCTGGGATGGGGAACCCAAGCAAAGCACCACAACCTCACTAAGTTAATGGGACAGTGATTGGAGTTTGGGGAAATTAAGGTAGGTGGAACTTGCAAGAAAGAATACCAGAGAGGAAGGAACTACACAAAAAGAGATCTCAAAATCTGCATGGGGTCCCTTTGAAACTTTGGCTAAGTGCTGAGCTGTGCATCTATGGGGTGAAATTTCATAAGACTGTGCAAAGAACAAGTCTTAGGCTACTTAACAACTTCCAGAGCTCACACAGAACTGAGAGACAATCCAATTTACTTACTAATGGTAAAATAATGGCTACTCTTGACTTGCCCTAATAAGGCTTAACTGTTAGTATCAAACAAAATAGACATCAAGACAAGCAACAAAGAGAGAAATTTCATAATGATAAAAGGGCTAATTCAGCAAGAAGATATAATAATCCTAAATGTTTATGCCTCTAATAATAGAGATCCAAAATATATAGGACAAAAACTAGTATCACTGAAAGGGAAAATAAGTGAATACAAAATTATAATTGAAGATTTTGGGCCGGGTATGGTGGCTCATGCCTGTAATCCCAGCACTTTGGGAGGCCAAGGCGGCCAGATCACCTGATGTCAGGAGTTCGAGACCAGCCTGGCCAACATGGTGAAACCCCCATCTCTACTAAAAATACAAAAATTAGCCGGGTGCGGTGGCAGGCGCCTGAAATCCCAGCTACTCCAGAGGCTGAGGCAAGAAAATCGCTTGAGCCCAGGAGGCGGAGGTTGCAGTGAGCCAAGATAGCACCACTGCCCTCTAGCCTGGGCGACAAGAGCAAAACTCCATCTCAAAAAAAAAAAAAAAAGAAGAGGAAGAGTATTTTGGCATTCCTCTTTTAGTAACTGATGGAATAAGCAGACAGAAAAATCAGTAAGGACTTAGAAGATCTCAATGATATTATTAGCATGTCAATGACCTAATTGACATTTGTAGGACACTCCACCCAACTGCAGAATAGAGTCCCCATGTTCATGACCAGAACTAGGCCAATTATTTTATTTCTTACTTTGTAAGAGACAAAATTATGTCCTATAATCCTGATTACATGGAGATTTCAATTACAACCCAGTGGCTGCCCAACAAATCACTTCTATGAAACTCAGAATGTGTTGCCACTGAGCAAAAGCAAGTTTGTCATCTTCAAGAACTTCATTACAACTTTGCTCGATGGTTTCATGTATTATTTTAAAATCTTTGTTATTTCTGCAAATAAGGTACTTTGAAATTGGAATAGTTATTTTAAAATCACCCTATACTTGTCTTTACAATGAAAACAGTAGGAATTTTTTATTTTAGATCAAATTGCTAGTATTAGACTTGTCTTTCAAGTTCAGGATTCATACATTAAAACATCAATGTATAATGGTTAAACAATTAACTGACACCTATTTCTTTTATATATAGATAAATATAATAAAACATGAATTTATATTTGTTTGTTTGTTCATGATTTGTCATGTTTTTCATCCATCCAAACAGCATTCTGGAGGATTGGTTTACCATAAAAAAAAAAAAAAAAAACAGAAATACAGCAAATTTATTCAAAGAAACTAGAATATTATAGAGGACACTGTTTTAGTTGACTCAATAGTTTCTCCTCCCTTCCTTCCTACCTCCGTCTCTCTCTTTTCCTTGCTTCCTTCCTTCTCCCCTTTCTTCTGTTCTTGCTAATAATACTTACTTTTATTTTGCCAAGAAAGATTAATATACTCAGAGAAGATGGGTCTATTTTTAAACCAAGACATGAGCAATGATTGCTCTAAGCCAGTCACCATAATCTCATTGTCCTTTGCCAACTAATCTTAGGAATGGGATGGGAACTCATTCTTGTCCATGAGAAAGAGTGTAAAGATGTGAGGTGCTTCTGGGTGTAATCTCCCTCACAGAAGAAAAGAGACATGGGAGGAAAAGTCTTTTGCCTCCTGCCTCAACATCAGTGCTATGTCCTTTCCTAGTGTTTTGGGATTTTTCAGATATCTTTTCCTTGTTGATTTCTAACTTAATTATCTTGTAGTCAGAGAACATACTCTGTATAGTTTCAATCCTTTTTCTACTTGTTGGGACTTATTTCATGGTCTAGTATGGGAGCTTCAGCAAGGCAAAACTGGCTTCATATACATTTGGATTCAAGGATCTGTCCTTCTCTTTTTGTTACCTTTACTTTCTTTCTTCTATTCATTCTTGGACAAGTGCTTGCTTGTCTGCTGGTAAAAATACTCCCAGAAAGTTATAGAGTCACATAATCCTTAAGCTCATGTTCACAAGGAAAAAAGAAAGACCCTTTCCCTTTAATTCAAGGATTCTGTTTGGCAAGAACTTAGATCATGAACTAACTCCTATTAAGGGTAGGGGATAAGGTTCTGCACAAGAAACAGAAGTTTTGCTGTGAGGAAAAGGGAGATAGAAGTTTGCCATGCAGTTACCACTGTTTATACAATAGTGATCTCCAAATGCTTTTTTTCAAATGTTTTTGACTGCACACTCTATTAATTTTAAAATTGTATATGAATCCCCATATATGTAAATTATTTTAAAATAAGTATATATAAATATACAAATTATTTATTTATAAAGAAATTTAAATTTATTTGTCAGTAAATAAATATAAATAAGATTACTGGCATTTATTTCTTGCTATTCAAAGAAAAAAAGAAAGGCTGGGCTTGGTGGCTTAGAACTGTAATACCAACACTTTGGGAGGATGAGGTGGGAGAATCATTTGAGGCCAGGAGTTTGAGACCAGCCTGGGCCACATCGTGAGATCTCCATCTCTACAAAAAGTTTTTAAAATTAGCTGGGCATAGTGGCGTATGGCTGTAGGCCTAGCTACTCAACAGACTGAGACATAAGGATTGCTTGAGCCTAAGAGTTTGAGGCTGCAGTGAGCTATGTTGGTGCCACTGCATCCCAGCATGGGTGACAGAGGGAGATCTTGTCTCAAGAAAAAAAAAAAAAGAAGAAGAAAGAAGGAAGAAGGAAGAAGGAAGAAGAAGAGCAGCAACAATAACAAGAAGAGAGAAATCATTGTGTGTATTTCTGGCATATGCCAAACAACCTTTGGAGACCATGGCTCTCCACTGGTTTTATTTCCATATGGCCAGCAGACTCCCAGTCCCAGCTCTCCTTGAATACTGCTGGAAGGCACCTGGGACTTTGATTCCCTGTCCCATCCTATCAAGGAGAGGACAGACCAACTCCCATGGAGAGGGAGATGGCTTCTGGGCCATTTAGACCTTCCTCTACCTTCTCTACTGCTGTACCCTGTGGCCTCCAAACTACCTGCCCCTACCTTATAGTTTTGTGCTTATATCACTCCAGCTTGGGCATCAAATTACCTGTGCTGTTTTTCTCTCTAGATCACTTCTCTGCAAATACTGGTGGATGCCTGGAACTTACTTTAAAAGGCCAGTAAGTAAGTGGAATAAAAGTACCCCAGGATGACTAAAACTATCAGACCAGTGCTATGAGCATGATCCTGTTTCCTCACACTCTGGTTTAAGCCAGTCTCCCTTTCTAGAATGAGAGTGGCAAGACAACTGGGCTAAAGAATCAAGTCCCAGACCTCTGTCCCATCAGGTTTCCTGAGGACACTACCATGTTGCCATAGCTTCCTGGCATGGCTTTTAGACAGCACTTATTTTTTAATAGTTGTATTGATACATAATCAATGTCCAATAAATTACACATATTTAAACTACAGGATTCAATATGTATACATATTCAATTTGTGTGACATATGTATAGACCTGTGAAACCATCACGGTAATCATGATCACAAACATATTCATCATCACCTCCTGCTCCTTAGCCCCACATTCCTGCACAGGCCACCAGTGATCTTCTTTATGTCACTATAGATTAGTTTGCATTTTCTAGGATTTTAGATAAATGGAATTATACAGTAATGTACTCTTTTTTCCTGGCTTATTTCACTAAGCATAATTATTTTGAGACTCATCCACATTGTACTATATATTGATAGTTCATTTCTTCATATTTTTTAGCAGTAATCCATTTTATGGATATATGACTATTTGGTTTTGCATTCACCCCTTGAAAAATATTTCCAGTTTAACTATATGCTGTGAATATTCATGTACAAGTCTTTTTATGAACATATTCTTTCATTTTCCTTGGGTAAATGTGTAGGATTGAGATGGCTGAATCATCTGATAGATATTATGTTTAACTTTTTAAGAAACTACCCTTATTTTCCCAAGTGGTCATACCACTTTATTTTGTATTTCTGTCAGCAGGATATGAGAGTACCAATTCCTTCACCTTCTTGCTAACATTTGGGGTGATCCATGTGTTAGCTCCTATGGATGGTGTAACAAACTACCATCAATTTGGTGGCTTAAAAGAATAGAAATATATTCTCTCACAGTTCTAGAGACCTGAGGTCCAAAATCAGTATCTGAAATCAAAGCATGAGTGGGGCCACACTCCCTCTGGCAGTTCTAAGGGAGAATCTGTTCCTTGGCTCTTCTGACTTCTGGTGGTTGCCATATTCCTTGGTTTGTGGCTGCATCACTCCAATCTCGGCTTCTGTAGTCACGTTGCCTCTTCTGCAGGTGAAATCTGCCTCTTCCTCTCTCTTGAAAACACTTGTTGATATAGACAGGAGGCAGCCAAGGATTCCCTGGCAAAACCCTGCCTTCAAGTCTAAAACAGCCTGAAGGCTGAAAAACCAGACTGCTAACCCTGGAGAATCTCCCACTGACCTGTGCACTGGGAGGACAGAGTGGGGCTTTGGGAAGTTCCTGCCATTTGCAATGGGGAGGACTCTGGCCCCTGCTGTTCCTGTGTGGTAACCTGGAATTTAGTCTATGAGATGGGGCCCTATTAATAGGAACTCCTATCGCTTTGTTGAGAGTCTTTTTCCTTTTTGCCCAATAAATTACATAACACCTCACCCCTCAAAGTGTCTGTGTCCCTATTCTTTCCTGGTTGTGTGACAAGAACCCAGTTTTTCTTACAACATTATGGTAGCATTTCAGGTCCATCCAGGTAATCTCACACTTAATCACATCTCCAAAGACCTTCCCCTCCTATTTTTTTGGGGAGAGGGGGGCATATAAGATAATAGTCAGAATCTATGAATTAGGACTTGGCTATCTTTGGGCAGGAGCCATTCTTCAGTCTACCATAGCCAGTCTTTTTAATTTTAGCCACTCTAACAGGTTTGTAGTGGTATCACATTGCTTTTAATTTGCATTTCCTCAGTGAGCTAACAAAGTTAACCTCTTTTTATGGGCTTATTTACCATCTGTATATCTTCTTTGTTGAAGTATGTGTTCAAATCTTTTGCCCATTTTTAAATTGGGTTGTTTGTTTTCTTATTTTTGAATTTTGAGAGTTCTTTATCTATCCTGCATTTAAGTTCTTTATCAGGTACATCATTTGTAATATTTCTTCTAGATTGTGTCTTGTCTTTTCATTCACTTAACAGTGCCTTCTTTGACAGCATTTCTTGATTTGTATCATCATTCATCCTTTTCACACTTTCTAGATTGAGCCCCTTAAGGGCATGGGCTACAAATTATTTCCTCTACACCTTCAGCACCCAGCATAATACCTGACACATAGGAGATACTCACTGAATGCTATTTTTTTCTTCTCACTTTACTGCTCTTCCCTTTCATAGGGTCATATTTAAAAACCAAATTTTTTTTATATTAATAGTAAGATATTTCAGTGTGCTCTAGTCTGCAGCTTATTTTATTTTACATTTATGGAGATATGATTCGCAAATGACAAAATTTACCCTTTTAAAGTATAAAATGTAGAGGTCGTTCCTATGTTTATAAAGTTGTGCCGCCATCACCACTATCAGAACATTTCATCATCCCCCCAAAAAATGCCATACCTAGAATTCATGCCCCATTCTTTTCTCCCCCATCTCTCCCACCAATTTGTTTTCTGTCTCTTATGGATTTGCCTATTTTGGACATTTCATATGAATGTAATTATACAATATATGGCATTTTTGTGTCTGGTTTAATTCTTTTAGAATAATATTTTCAAAGTTCATTCATGTTGTATCATGTATTAGTATTTCATTCCTTTTTATAGCTAAGTAATATTCTATTATATAGTTATACAGTCATGCATCACTTAACAGTGGGGACACATTCTGAGAAATGCATCGCTAGGCAATTTCACCACCATAGGAACATCAGAGTGTACTTATACTAACCTAGATGGGACAGTCTACTACACACCTAAGCTACATGGTATAGCCTATTGTTCCTAGGCTACAAACTGTATAGCATGTTACATTACTGAATACTGTAGGCAATTGTAACAAAATGGTAAATATCCATGTCAGGGTTCTGAGCCTAAGCTAAGCCATCATATTGCCTGTGACCTGCACTTATACATCCAGATGGCCCAAAGTAACTGAAGAATCACAAAAGAAGTGAAAATGGCCAGTTCCTGCCTTAACTGATGACATTCCACCATTGTGATTTGTTTCTGCTCCACCTTAACTGAGCAATTAACCTTGTGAAATTCCTTCTCCTGGCTCAGAAGCTCCCCCACTGAGCACCTTGTGACCCCCACCCCTGCCTACAAGAGAACAACCCCCTTTGACTATAATTTTCCACTACTTACCCAAATTCTATAAAACGGCCCCACCCCATCTCCCTTTGCTGACTCTCTTTTCACACTCAGCCCACCTGCACTCCAGTGAAATAAAAAGCCTTGTTGCTCACACAAAGCCTGTTTGGTGGTCTCTTCACACGGACATGCATGATAATCAGTATATCTAAACATGTTCAAATATAGAAAAGGTGCAGTTAAAATTTGGAATAAAAGATTTAAAAAGGGTACACCTGGGAGATTGCTGGCAAGATGGCCAAATACGAGCAGCTCCAGTCTACAACTCCCAGTGAGATCAATAAAGAAGGCAGGTAATTTCTGCATTTCCAACAGAGGTACCTGGTTCATCTCACTGGAACTGGTTAGACAGCGGGTGCAGCCCACAGAGGGCAAGCCAAAGGAGGGAGGGGCATCACCTCACGCGGGAAGCACAAGGGGTCGGGGAGCTCCCTCCCCTAGCCAAGGGAAGCCATGAGGGACTGTGCCATGAGGAACAGTGGACTCCAGCCCAGATACTACGCTTTTCCCACAGTCTTCTCAACTGCAGACCAGGAGATTCCCTTGGATGCCTACATCACCAGGGCCCTGGATTTCAAGCACAAAACTCGGTGGTCATTTGGGCAGACACGAAGCTAGCTGCAAGAGTTTTTTTTTTCACACCACAGTGGCGCCTGGAACACCAGCAAGACAGAACCGTTCACTCCCCTGAAAGGGGCTGAAGCCATTGAGCCAAGTGGTCTAGCTCAGCGGATCCCACCCCGACAGAGCCCAGCAAGCTAAGATCTGTTGACTTGAAATTCTTGCTGCCAGCACAGCAGTCTGAAGTTGACCTGAGATGCTTGAGCTTAGTTGGGGGAGGGGTGTCCACCATTACTGAGACTTGAGTAGCCAGTTTTCCCATCACAGTGTAAACAAAGCCACCAGGAAGTTCAAACTGGGCGGAGCCCACTGCAACTCAGTAAAGCTGATGTAGCTAGACTGCCTCTCTAGATTCCTCCTCTCCGGGCAGGGCATCTCTGAAAAAAAAGGAGCAGCAGCTCCAGTCAGGGACTTATACCCCCATCTCCCTGGAACAGAGCACCTGGGGGAAGGGGTGGCTGTGGGCGCAGCTTCAGCAGACTTAACGTCCCTTCCTGATGGCTCTGAAGAGAGCAGTAGATCTCTCAGCATAAAGTTCCAGCTCTGCTAATGGTCAGACTGCCTCTTCAAGTGGGTCCCTGACCCCCGTGTCTCCTGACGGAAAGACACATCCCAGCAGGGGGCAACAGACACCTCATATAGAAGAGCTCCAGCTGACATCTGGGGGGTGCACCTCTGAGATGAAGCTTCCAGAGGAAGGAACAGGCAGCAATCTTTGCTGTTCTGCAGCCTCTGCTGGTGATACCCAGGCAAACAGGGTCTGGAGTAGACCTCCAGCAAACCTGCAGCAGATGGCCCTGACTGGTAGAAGGAAAACTAACAAACAGAAAGGAGTAACATCAACAACAACAAAAAAGGACGTCCACTCAGAGACCCCATCCAAACATCACTAACATCAAAGACCAAAGGTAGATAAATCCACAAAGACAGGGAGAAACCAGCACAAAAAGGCAGAAATTCCAAAAACCAGAATGCCTCTTCTCTTCCAAAGGATCACAATTCCATACCAGCAAGGGAACAAAACTGGAAGGGGAATGAGTTTGACAAATTGACAGGAGTAGGCTTCAGAAGGTGGGTAATAACAAACTCTTCTGAGCTAAAGGAGCATGTTCTAACCCAATGCAAGGAAGATAAGAACCTTAAGAAAAGGTTAGAGGAATTGCTAACTAGAAAAGCCAATTTAGAGAAGAACATAAATGACCTGATGGAACTGAAAAATACAACACGAGAACTTCATGAAGCATACACGAGTATAAATAGCCAAATCGATCATGCTGAAGAAACAATATCAGAAATTGAATAACAACTTAATGAAATAAAGCATGAAGACAAGAATAGAGAAAAAAGAGTAAAAATGAATGAACAAAGCCTCTAACAAATATGGGACTATGTGAAAAGACCAAATCCACCTATGACTGGTGTACCTGAAAGTGACGGGGAGAATGGAAACAAGTTGGAAAACACGCTTCAGAATATTATCCAGGAGAACTTCTCCAACCTAGCAAGACAGGCCAACATTCAAATTCAGGAAATACTGAGAACACCATTAAGATACTCCTTGAGAAGAGCAAGCCCAAGACACATAATTATCAGATTCACCGAGGTTGAAATGAAGGAAAAAATGTTAAGGGTAGCAAGAGAGAAAGGTTGGGTTACCCACAAAGGGAAGCCGATCAGACTAACAGCAGATCTCTCTGCAGAAACCCTACAAGCCAGAAGACAGTGGGCCAATATTCAACATTCTTAAGGAAAAGAATTTTCAACCCAGAATTTCATGTCCAGCCAAAATAAGTTTCATAAGTGAAGGAGAAATAACATCCTTTAGAGACAAACAAACGCTGAGGAATTTTTGTCACAACCAAACCTGCCTTATAAGAGCTCCTGAAGGAAGCACTAAATATGAAAAGGAACAACCAGTACCAGCCACTGCAAAAACATACCAAAATGTAAAGACCATTGATACTATGAAGAGACTGAGTCAACTAACAGGCAAAATAACCAGCTAGCATCATAATGACAGGATCAAATTCACACATAACAATATTAACCTTAAATATAAACAAGCTAAATACCCCAATTAAAAAACACAGACTGGCAAATTTGATAGAGTCAAGACCCATTGGTGTGCTATGTTCAGTAGACCCATCTCATGTGCAAAGACACAAATAGGCTCAAAATAAAGGGATGGAGGAATATGTACCAAGAAAATGGAAAGCAAAAAAAAGCAGGGGTTGCAATCCTAGTCTCTGATAAAACAGACTTTAAACCAACAAAGATCAAAGAGACAAAGAAGGGCATTATATAATGGTAAAGGGATCAATGCAACAAGAAGAGCACCCAGATTCATAAAGCAAGTTCTTAGAGACCTACAAAGAGACTTAGATTCCAACACAATAATAGTGGGAGATTTTAACACCCCACTGTCAATATCAGAAACATCAACGGGACAGAAAATTAACAAGGATATTCAGGACTTAAACTCAGCTCTGGACCAAGCAGACCTAATAGACGTCTACAGAACTCTCCACCCCAAATCAACAGAATATACCTTCTTCTCAGCACCACATAGCACTTCTAAAATGGACCACATAATTGGAAGTAAAACACTCCTCAGGAAATGCAAAACAACGGAAATCATAACAGTTTCTCAGACCGCAGTGCAATCAAATGAGAATTCAGGATTATGAAACTCACTCAAAACTGCACAACTACATGGAATCTGAACAACCTGCTCATGAAGGATTACTGGCTAAATAACAAAATTAAGGCAGAAAGAAATAAGTTTTTTGAAACCAATGAGAACAAAGACACAACACACCAGAATCTCTGGGACACAGCTAAAGCAGTGTTTAGAGGAAAATTTATAGCACTAAATGCCCACAAGAGAAAGCAAAAAGATCTAAAATTTACACCCTAACATCACAATTAAAAGAACTAGAGAAGCAAGAGGAAACAAATTCAAAAGCTAGCAGAAGATAAGAAATAACAAAGATCAGAGCAGAACTGAAGGAGATAGAGACATGAAAAACCCTTCAAAAAATCAACAAATCCAGGAGCTATTTTTTTAAAGATCAACAAAATAGATAGACAGCTAGACAGATTAATAAAGAAGAAAAGAGAGAGGAGTCAAATCGATGCAATAAAAAATGATGAAGGGGATATCACCACTGATCCCACAGAAATACAAACTACCATCAGAGAATACTGTAAACAGCTCTACACAAATAAGCTGGAAAACCTAGAAGAAATGGATAAATTCCTGGATCCATACGCCCTCCCAAGTCTAAACCAGGAAGAGGTTGAATCCCTGAATAGACCAATAACAAGTTCTGAAATTGAGGCAGTAAATAATAGCTTACCAACAAAAAAAGCCCAGGACCAGATGGATTCACAGCTGAATTCTACCAGAGGTACAAAGAGGAGCTGGTACCATTTCTTCTGAAACTATTCCAAACAATAAAAAAAGAGGAACTCCTCCCTAATTCATTTTATGAGGCCAGGATCATCCTGATACCAAAACCTGGCAGAGGCACAACAAAAAAAGACATTTACAGGCCAATATCCCTGATTAACATCGATGCAAAAATCCTCAGTAAAATACTGGCAAAATGAATTCAGCAGCACATCAAAAAGCTTATCCACCACAATCAATTTGGCTTCATTTCTGAGATGCAAGGCTGGTTCAACATATATAAATCAATAAACATAATCCATCACATAAACAGAACCAAAGACAAAAACCACATGATTATATCAACATAAAAGGCTTTCCACAAAATTCAACACACCTTAATGCTAAAAACTCTCAATAAGCTAGGTGTTGATGGAACATATGTCAAATAATAACAGCTATTTATGAGAAACCCACAGCCAATATCATACTGAATGGGCAAAAACTGGAAGCCTTCCCTTTGAAAACTGGCACAAGACAACGATGCCCTTTCTCACCACTCCTATTCAACACAGTATTGGAAGTTCTGCCCCAGGCAATCAGGCAAGAGAAAGAAATAAAGCGTATTCAAATAGGAAGAGAGGAAGTCAAATTGTCTCTGTTTGCAGATGACATGATTGTATATTTAGAAAACCCCATCGTCTCAGCCCAAAATCTCCTTAAGCTGATAAGCAACTTCAGCAAAGTCTCAGGATACAAAATCAATGTGCAAAAATCGCAAGCATTCTTATACACCAATAATAGACAAACAGAAAGCCAAATCATGAGTGAACTCCCATTCACAATTGCAACAAAGAGAATAAAACACCTAGGAATACAACTTACAAGGGATGTGAAGGACTTCTTCAAGGAGAACTACAAACCCCTGTTCAAGGAAATAACAGAGGACACAAATAAATGGAAAAACATTCCATGCTCATGGATAGGAAGAATCAATACGTGAAAATGGCCGTAATCCCCAAAGTAATTTATAGATTCCATACTATTCCCATCAAGCTACCATTGACTTTCTTCACAGAATTGGAAAAAACTACTTTGAATTTCTTATGGAACCAAAAAAGAGCCTGCATAGCCAAGATAATGCTAAGCAAAAAGAACAAAGCTAGAGTCCTCCCGCTACCTGGCTTCAAACTATACTACAAGGCTACAGCAATCAAAGCAATATGGTACTGGTACCAAAACAGATATATAGATCAATGGAACAGAACAGAGGCCTCAGAAATAACAGCACACATCTACAACCAAGTGATCTTTGACAAATCTGACAGACCCAAACAATGGGGAAAGGATTCCCTATTTAATGGTGTTGGGAAAACTGGCAAGCCATATGCAGAAAACTGAAACTGGACCCCTTCTTTACACCTTATACAAAAATTAACTCAAGATGGATTAAAGACTTAAACATAAGACCTAAAACCATAAAAACCCTAGAAGAAAAGCTAGGCAATACCATTCAAGACATAGGCATGGGCAAAGACTTCATGACGAAAATACCAAAAGCAATGACAACTAAAGCCAAAATTGACAAATGGGATCTAATTAAACTAAGCAGTTTCTGCACAGCAAAAGAAACTATCATCAGAGTGAACAGGCAACATACAGAATGGGAGAAAATTTTGGCAATCTATCCATCTCACAAAGGGCTAATATCCAGAATCTACAAAGAACTTAAACAAATTTACAAAAAAAAAAAAACCCCATCAAAAAGTGGGCAAAGGATATGAACAGACACTTCTTAAAAGAAGACATTTATGCAGCCAACAAGCATATGAAAAAAACCTCATCATCACTGGTCATTAGAGAAATGCAAATCAAACCACAATGAGATATCATCTCACACCAGTTAGAATGGCGATCATTAAAAAGTCAGGAAACAACAGATGCTGGAGAGGATGTGGAGAAATAGGAGTGCTTTTACATTGTTGGTGGGAGTGTATATTAGTTCAATCATTGTGGAAGACAGTGTGGCAATCCAGCAATCCCATTACTAAGTATATATCCAAAGAATTATAAATCAGTCTACTATAAAGACACATGCATGCATATGTTTTTGTGGCATTGTTCACAATAGCAAAGACTTGGAACCAACAGAAATGCCCATCAATGATAGGCTGGATAAAGAAAATATGGCACATATACACCATGGAACACTATGCAGCCATAAAAAAGGATGAGTTCATGTTCTTTGCAAGGACATGGATGAAGCAGGAAACCATCATTCTCAGCAAACTAACACAAGAACAGAAAACCAAACACCACATGTTCTCACTCATAAGTGGGAGTTGAACAATGAGAACACATAGACACAGGGAGGGGAACATCAGACACCAGGGCCTGTCATGGGGTGGGGGACTAGGGGAGGGATAGCATTAGGAGAAATACCTAATGTAGATGACAGGTTGATGGGTGCAGCAAACTACCATGGCACGTGTATACCTATGTAACACACCTGCACGTTCTGCACATGTACCCCAGAACTTAAAGTATAATAATAAATAAATAAATAAAAATGGTATACCTGTATAGTACAATACAGCTTACTCAATTGGAAATTGCTCTGGGTAAGTCAGTGAGTGAGTGATCAGTGAACGTGAAGACCTAGGATATTACACTATTGTAGTCTGTATAAATACTGTACACCTGGGCTATACTAAATTTATTTTTAAAAATTTTCTTACTTTGATAATAAATTAACCTTGGCTTAATGTAATTTTTTACCTTATAAACATTTTGTTTTTTCTATTTTATGGCTTTTTTTGTGAAAACACTTAGCTTAAAACACAAACGCATTTCACAGCTGCACAAAAATATTTTCTTTCTTTATGTCCTTATGCTAAATATATGTATTTTTCTACTAAAACTATTTTTTTCCTTTTACACATTTTTGTTAAAAAGTAAGACATGAATACACACATTAGCCTAGGCCTACACAGGGTCAGGATAATCAATATTACATCTTCCACCTCCACATCTTGTCACACTAGAAGATCTTCAGGGACAATGACATGCATGGAACTGCCATCTCTTATGATAACAATGTCTTCTGAAACATCTCCTGAAGGACCTGCCTGAAGCTCTTCTCGAGGAAGTGTCATTCTTTTCAGAAATATATTTATGGTGGATTTTTTTTTTCCAATCACAGATATGCTTGTAAGCAGATAGTGTACCATGAACATTCCTCTGTATTAATGCAAACCTTTCAGTGTGGGAGTCCATGTGGCATGATCTCAGCTCACTACAACCTCCACCATCCATGCTGAAGTGATCCTCCTGCTTCAGCCTCCTGAGTAGGTAGGACTATGGCATGCACCCTTGGGCCCAGCTATTTTTTTAATTTTTTTGTAGAGATGAGGTCTCACTATATCACCCAGGCTGTTCTTGACCTCCTGAGCTCAAGCAATCCATCCACCGTGACCTCCCAAAGTGCTGGGATTACATGCGTAAGCCACCACCCCTGGCCCCTCAAACATTTTACAGTCTGCAAAAGCTACTGCTAAACACTTCACTGTTAATTTTTGGGGGGATTCACTAGGTGATAGGAATTTTCCAGGTTCATAATAATCTTATGGAACTACTCTTCTATGTATGATCAGTAATTGACTGAATGTCATTATGTGGTGCATGGCTTTACCACATTTTGTTTATGTATTCATCAATTGATGAACATTGGGGTTGTTTCCACTTTTTGGGTACTACGAATAATGCTGCCATTAACATTTACATAAAAGTTTTTGCATTTACGTATGTTTTCAGTCCTCTTGGGCATATACCAAGTAGTGGAATTGTTGGGTTATATGGTAACTATGTTAAACGCTTTTAGGAATTTTCAACTGTTTTCCAAAGCAGCTGCATCATTTTGATTTCCCACCAACAATGTATGAGGGTTCAAATTTCTCCACATTCTCATCAACATTTGTTATTATTTGTCTTTCTTCTTGTGGCCACTCAAGTAGGCATGAAGTGTATCTCATTTTGGTTTTGGTCTGCATTTCCCTAATCACTAATGATGTTGAGCATCTTTTCACGGGTTTATTGGCCAATAGCTGATATAAAGTCTTTGTCTAGTAATTCCAACATCTAGACTTTGTGAAACTAAGGAATTCAAAGTCCAAGTTGTTGGAACTTTAAAATATTTGAGACCTCAGTCACATAAACAGGCAGCTGTAACCTAGAAAGCTGTAACCTGTCTCTCTGATTATAAACTAGTCTCTTTCCTTGCCTTCTTTGTGTTGTAAAATATTATAAATGGCTAAAGGGTACCAAGAAAGACCCCTTCCCTCTTAACCATTGATGTTCATTATAGATTAACTTTCTCCTTTCCTCTTTCACATGACTTCATGGCTATTACCTTGTCTGGGATAAAATTTTAAATATAGTCTTAAAATAGACAGGAAATGAAAATAATTTATAAAGAAAACAAACTGAAAAGAAAAGAAAAATTGTAACTAAATTGTTATAACTCATAAACCAGCCCTGTATTAAATAATGTTATAATCCTACTGAATGTCTTTGTTTTCTGTGTAATATATAAGCAAGACCTTAACTTATAACTTTGGAATGCTGACCCCATTTCTCTGAAGTCTGTTTCCTGGATGGCATTCTCAACTTTTCACTTGAGCAAAGCTTTTTAAGTTGGATTCCAATTCTTCCAATTATTTCAGGTTGACAGCACCCTCAGATTAGGGTTAGGGTTAGGGACAGATCCTATGGAATGCATCCTCCACCCTCAACTCCCATTCATGGACCTACTTTCTTGTTTCTTTGCATGTCTTGTAATTTTTTATAGAAAACTGGACATTTAAATAAAATATTGTGGCAATTCTGGAAGTTGGATTCTCCTCTCTTCCCAGGGCTTGCTGCTATTGCTATTTGTTTGTTTAGTGACTTTTCTCAAATCCTTTGGTTAAGTCTGTATTCTTTGGCATGTGTGGCCACTGAAGTCTCTGCTCTGTTGGGTTAGTGGTCAGATAATGATTAACAGAGATTTCCCTAATGCCTGGGATTAATAGGCCTCCCAGTCTTTGCCAAGGGCCCCATGTGTGTTGGCACATGCCTTCAACACTCAGCCAGGTAGTTTAAAACTCTGTCTTAGCCTTCATTTCTTGTTTGCACAGATTTTCAAGATCATCTAAAGGTGACAGCTTAGGGCTCTCTAAGGTATTTTCTGAGTATGCAGAGTCCTGTGTATACTTAGTGCTAAGCATGTGCATTACCTTCCAGATTCCTAGGCATATAACAGAACTTTTCAAAATCCCCATGGACATCTTATTCCATATCTTTTCATTGTAAGCTTTTAGTTTTTCTATTGTTTATCCCAATAGTTATCCACCACCTCTGGCAGCCACAAAATTAAATGATTGCCTCTAATTGTTCTGACAAATCTGGAAAAATGGCTTTTTCCACTAGATGAGCTCCATGTTGAATCACATCAAATAAAGAAAAACTTGCAGGTGGGGTCCTCCAGGGAGCAATTAGGCAGGTTAAATAATGTCATTTCTATGGTAATGAGTCTCTGAAAGAGATCTGAGCCTATTTAGTTTCTTCTGGTGGTTACCGGGAGTAGGCGGGGGCTGCTGCTTTTCAGCCATGGTTGAGGCTGTTGGTTTTCAAGCCTACCACCCAGCTAGAGAGGAAGGATATAAACAGGGCAAAGTTAAAATGCTACAAATTTCACTGTTTTTACTGAGATTCAGCCATCTTTCTTGAATAAACACATTCCAGATTACTGAAAGCCTTTGATTAATTTCTAGAGTTCTGAAAAAGTTGACTGAAAATTTTTTCCTGTTTTTATGAAGAATTTTTGGAGATCATTACTCTGCCATTCTCTCTGACATTTCTCCTCTGTAGCTTATTTAAGGCCACATATTTTGCCACTCAAATGGTTGTGTCTTTATCATATTTTTGCACAGTTAACTTCTACTGATCCTTAAGGCTCAACCAAAAGGTCACTTCCTTGAGCAATAAAACACTTTCTGCAAATTAAATTCAGTGCAGAAGCTCATTAAATGAATCAAATGCTATTCCAGCTGTTTTTGTTCAATGAGTGAATACGGAGAACTTGATCCATGCCAGATTGTTATGAACCTTTCCCACTCTTCCCCATCTCCTCCCAACAGTAGCCCTTGAAGCAGGGCCTCTGAGCGCCTGAGGCTCTGCAGATTATAGCAAGAAACTCTGAGCTAGGAGAATGCTTGGTGAGAATTTTAAAAAGCAATATATTCAAGCAATAGGCAGTCAGTTGGGCTGGATAGCATTTATTCTAACCATTCTAACCAGAAATTATATCTTTTCCTGACTAGAGAGGAGAATTACTCTGATGATTTACCAGCAAAGCCATAATGCTTTTTAGAAAATTATAGAACATACGTACATTATTAATACAGCCCCCGTCCCCAAAAGTAGCCACTTCATATTAGAAACATAAATACAAGCAACTTTTCTTAATCGATTGTGAAGATTATTGTGGAGAAATACTGCCTGAAGGAATTTTGAAGACCATTGGCACAGGTATGTTGATACTACTACTGTTTTGGATCACATCTTGGTTTTTCAAATTTAAATAATTTGAAAGAATCAAGCTGAACATCCCCTGGGATATATGAACCCTACTTTGGAGACCACAACATTAAATTTGTTTTAAAAGAAGTAGTCTGCAATGTTAACTCTAGGTGAATGTATAGCATTTTCAATGTCCAGAATTAAGAAAGTCGGGCATTAATTGATTTTATATAACTTATTGAAGTGGCCTCATTGTCTGGGGTGACACCTGAGGTTTGTTGTTTCATGGCCACAGAGATCAAGGGCACCAGACACACAAAGAGTGAGGTTAAGAGTGGAAATT
The DNA here is from genome assembly GCF_000001405.40 of Homo sapiens. NCBI lineage: Eukaryota > Metazoa > Chordata > Mammalia > Primates > Hominidae > Homo > Homo sapiens. Next base: position 112,513,984 of record NC_000005.10, read on the forward strand.
TAATAGGCAAAAGAAAGAGAATAGCTCTCTGCCACAGAGAGGGGTCCCAGAAAAATGGGTTGCCAATCTGTGGTGAAATGCAGGGAATTTCATAGATGAGCTAGTGGGGAGGTGGTGTCTGATCTACATAGGGTGTGAAGAACTGGTTAGGACCAGCTGTGCCATCTGCATAGGGCGCAAATCTCTGGCAGCCTCCACCACAATCTTTTATTATGCAGGTGGGTTTTCTGCCTGAGCTTCTCCATGTTTCCCATTTCTTTCTGAGCACGTGCTAACAAAAAAGGGAAGATGGAGCTTCCATGGTGGATATGCCTAGCCCCAGGTAGCCCTTTTCTGTTGGTGCAGCTGCCAGTATTCCTCTGTGCAAGCTTCCAGCTTCCTTATCTATGTTTGCAGCTTGATCTTTCAGGCTGCTCTTTGTTAAAAAAGAAATGATTTCTAGAACTGCTTTTTGTTAGAAGGAGTTCTCCCAAGGACTCTTTTGCCCTCACTATCTGCCTAAATAATTTCTTTGTATTTCCTGTATCATTATATATAACATAACATTTATAGACTAGCATAACATGTTGTGGAGAGAAAAAAATCATCAGCAAAGTAGTACCAATAAGTAATTGTTGATTATGGTAATATCACTATTTCAAACAATTTTTTTCATACACTGCTCAAAGGAACAAAAAATGTAGACTTATGGGATTAATATAAAAGATATTCATTTATGCCTAGAGTCTAAAGCAAAGCAAAGCAAAATTGAGGTTGACCAATTATCCTGTGAAGTTTATCACTGAAGAAATCTACCCTAGGTAACTCAAGAAATAATTAAATCCTTTCTTCCTAATAGTAGATATTTTTGTCTGAATAACTCAGACAACTGCATCAATATTTCAATCAGCATTATCCATAGAATCACTTGATTTATTTTTTTCATTACTAAAGAAATTTTTGAAAGTTTAATTTTATCCATATCATCACCAATATTTGGTGTTAAGTTTCAGCCATATTAATGGATGGTGCTAACTCAGTTTTAATTTGCATTTATAAGACGGCTAATGATACTGAGTGCCATTTCACCCATTTATTGGCTATATGTTTACCTTTTGTGAAAATTCTAAGTCCTTTGTCCAGTTTTTTTCCCATAAGTTATTGGGGTGCAGGTGGCATTTGGCTGCATGAGTAAATTCTTTAGTGGTGATTGGTGAGATTTTGGTGCACCTATCACCTGAGCAGTATACACTGCACCATATTTGTAGTCTTCTATCCCTCGCCCCCCTCCCACTCTTCCTCACAAGTCCCCAAAGTCTACTTCATCATTCTTCTTTTTTTTTTTTTTTTTTTTTGAGACAGAGTCTCACTCTGTCGCCCAGTCTGGAGTGCAGTGGCGCGATCTCTGCTTACTGCAAGCTCTGCCTCCTGGGTTCATGACACTCTCCTGCCTCAGCCTCCTGAGTAGCTGGGACTACAGGCACCCGCCACCACGCCTGGCTAATTTTTTGTATTTTTAGTAGAGACGGGGTTTCACCATGTTAGCCAGCATGGTCTCGATCTCCTGACTTCGTGATCCACCCGTCTCAGCCTCCCAAAGTGTTGGGATTACAGGCGTGAGCCACCGCGCCTGGCCTATTGCATCATTCTTATGCCTTTGCATCCTCATAGCTTAGCTCCCACATGTCAGTGAGAATATATGATGATTGGTTTTCCGTTCCTGAGTTACTTCACCTAGAATAACAGTCTGCAATCTCATCCAGGTCACTGTAAATGCTGTTAACTCATTCCTTTCTGTGGCTGTGTAGTATTTTATTACATATATATATACACACACACACATGTCAATCACAGTTTCTTTATCCACTCATTCTTTGATGGGCATTTGGGTTGGTTCCACGATTTTGCAATTGTGAATTGTAAATTCACAATTTACAGCAGAGCTTGCAGTGAGCAAAGATCGCGCCACTGCACTCCAGCCTGGGTGACAGAGCGAGACTCTGTCTCAAAAAAAAAAAAAAAAAAAAGAATGATGAAGTAGACTTTGGGGACTTGTGAGGAAGAGTGGGAGGGGGGTGAGGGATAGAAGACTACAAATATGGTGCAGTTGTAAATATGTGTGTGCAAGTATCCTTTTCAAATAATGACTTCTTTTCCTCTGGGTAGATACCCAGTAGTGGGATTGCCGGATGAAATGGTAGTTCTACTTTTAGCTCTTTAAGGAATCTCCATAATGTTTTCCCTAGCAGCTGTACTAGCTTACATTCCCACCAGCAGTGTAGAAGTGTTCCCTGTTTACCACATCCATGCCAGCATCTACAGTTTTTTAATTTTTTTATCATGGCCTTTCTTGCAGGAGTGAAGTGGTATCACACTGTGGTTTTGATTTGCATTTCCCTGATCATTAGTGATGTTGAGCATTTCTTCATATGTTTGTTGGCCATTTCTACATCTTCTTTTGAGAATTATCTATTCATGTCCTTAACCCACTTTTTAATGGGATTGTTTGTTTTTTCTTTTATATGTATATATATTTATTATACTATAAGTTCAAGGGTACATGTGCACAATGTGCAGGTTTGGTACATGTGTATACATGTGCCATGTTGGTGTGCTGCACCCACTAACTCATCTTTTACATTAGGTATATCACCTAATGCTATCCCTCCCCCATCCCCCCACCCCACAAGAGGCCCCATTGTGTGACGTTACCCTTCCTATGTCCAAGTGTTCTCATTGTTCAATTCCCACCTGTGAGTGAGAACATGCAGTGTTTGGTTTTTTGTCCTTGTGATAGTTTGCTGAGAATGATGGTTTCCAGCTTCATCCATGTCCCTACAAAGGACATGAACTCATCATTTTTTATGGCTGCATAGTATTCCATGGTGTATATGTGCCACATTTTCTTAATCCAGTCTATCATTGGGGTTGGTTTCAAGTCTTTGCTATTGTGAATAGTGCCGCAATAAACATATGTGTGCGTGTGTCTTTATAGCAGCATGATTTATAATCCTTTGGGTATATACCCAGTAATGGGATGGCTGGGTCAAATGGTATTTCTAGTTCTAGATCCCTGAGGAATCACCACACTGACTTCCACAATGGTTGAACTAGTTTACAGTCCCACCAACAGTGTAAAAGTGTTCCTATTTCTCCACATCCTCTCCAGCACCTGTAGTTTCCTGACTTTTTAATGATCACCATTCTAACTGGTGTGACATGGTATCTCATTGTGGTTTTGATTTGCATTTGTCTGATGGCCAGTGATGATTAGCATTTTTTCATGTGTCTGTTGGCTGCATAAATGTCTTCTTTTGAGAAGTGTCTATTCATATCCTTCACCCACTTTGTGATGGGGTTTTTTGTTTTTTTCTTGTAAATTTGTTTGTGTTCTTTGTAGATTCTGGATATTAGCCCTTTGTCAGATGAGTAGATTGCAAAAATGTTCTCCCATTCTGTGGGTTGCCTGTTCACTCTGATGGTAGTTTCTTTTGCTGTGCAGAAGCTCTTTAGTTTAATTAGATCCCATTTGTCTATTTTGGCTTTTGTTGCCACTGCTTTTGGTGTTTTAGACATGAAGTTCTTGCCCATGCCTATGTCCTGAATAGTATTGCCTAGGTTTTCTTCTAGAGTTTTTATGGTTTTAGGTCTAACATTTAAGTCTTTAATCCATCTCGAATTAATTTTTATATAAGGTATAAGAAAGGGATCAGTTTCAGCTTTGTACATATGGCTAGCCAGTTTTCCCAGCACCATTTATTAAATAGGGAATCCTTTCCCCATTTCTTGTTTTTGTCAGGTTTGTCAAAGATCAGATGGTTGTAGATGTGTGGTATTATTTTTGAGGGCTCTGTTCTGTTCTATTGATCTATATCTCTGTTTTGGTAGCAGTACCATGCTGTTTTGGTTACTGTAGCCTTGTAGTATAGTTTGAAGTCAGGTAGCATGATGCCTCCAGCTTTGTTCTTTTGGCTTAGGATTGTCTTGGCAATGTGGGCTCTTTTTTGGTTCCGTATGAACTTTAAAGTAGTTTTTTCCAATTCTGTGAAGAAAGTCATTGGTAGCTTGATGGAGATGGCATTTAATCTGTAAATTACCTTGGGCAGTATGGCCATTTTCATGATATTGATTCTTCCTATCCATGAGCATGGAATGTTCTTCCATTTGTGTCCTGTTTCATTTCATTAAGCCGTGGTTTGTAGTTCTCCTTGAAAAGGTCCTTCCCATCCCTTGTAAATTGGATTCCTATGTATTCTATTCTCTTTGAAGCAATTGTGAATGGGAGTTCACTCATGATTTGGCTCTCTGTTTGTCTGTTATTGGTGTATAAGAATGCTTGCGATTTTTGCACATTGATTTTGTATCCTGAGACTTTGTTGAAGTTGCTTATCAGCTTAAGGAGATTTTGGGCTGAGATGATGGGGTTTCCTAGGTATACAATCATGTCATCTGCAAACAGGGACAATTTGACTTCCTCTTTTCCTAATTGAATACCCTTTATTTCTTTCTCCTGCCTGAGTTTTTCTTACTGATTTGTTTGAGTTAGTTGTAGATTCTGGATATTTGTCCTTTGTCAGATGTATAGATTGTGAAGATTTTCTCCCACTCTGTGGGTTGTCTGTTTACTCTGCTGACTGTTCTTTTTGCCATGCAAAAGCTCTTTAGTTTAATTAGGCCCCAGCTATTTATCTTTGTATTTATTGCATTTGCTCTTGGGTTCTTGGTCATGAAATCCTTGCCTAAGCCAATGTCGAGAAGGATTTTTTCAATGTTATCATCTAGAATTTTTATAGCTTCAGGTCTTAGGTTTAAGTCCTTAATCCATCTTGAATTGATTTTTGTATAAGGTGAGAGATGAGGATCCAGTTTCATTCTCCTACATGTGACTACCCAATTATCCCAGCACCATTTGTTGAAAAGGGTGTCCTTTCCCCACTTAATGTTTTTGTTTGCTTTGTCGAAGATCAGTTGGCTATAAGTATTTAGGTTTATTTCTGGATTCTCTATTCTGTTCCATTGGTCTATGTGCCTATTTCTGTACAAGTTCCATGCTGTTCTGGTGACTATGGCCTTATAGCATAGTTTGAAATCAGGTAGTGTAATGTCTCCAGATTTGTTCTTTTTGCTTAGTCTTGCTTTGGCTATGCAGGCTCTTTTTTTGGTTCCATATTAATTTTAGAATTGTTTTTTCTAATTCTGTGAAGAATGATGGTGGTATTTTGATGGGGATTACATTAAATGTGTAGATTACTTTTGGCAGTATGGCCATTTTCACAATATTGATTCTACCCATGCATGAGCATGGGATGTGTTTCCATTTGTTCGTGTTATCTATGATTTCTTTCAGCAGTGTTTTTTAGTTTCCTTGTAGAGGTCTTTCAACTCCTTGGTTGGGTATATTCCTAAGTTGTTTTTTTTTGTTTTTTGTTTTTGCCGCTATTGTAAAAGGCGTTGAATTCTGTCACTGTTGGTGTATAGAAGAGCTACTGATTCGTGTACATTAATCTTGTATCTGGAAACTTTGCTGAATTCTTTTGTCAGTTCTAGGAGGAGTCCTTAGAGTTTTCAAGGTAAACAATTATATCGTCAGCAAACAGTGACAGTTTGACTTCCTCTTTACCAATTTGGATGTCCTTTATTTCTTTCTCTTGTCTGATTGCTCTGGCTAGAACTTCCAGTACTATGTTGAAGAGGAGTGGCTACAGTGGGCATCCTTGTCTTGCTCTCAGAGGGAATACTTTCAACTTTTCCCCATTCAGTGTTATGTTGGTTGTGGGTTTGCCATAGATGGCTTTTATTACATTAAAGTATGTCCCTTATATGCCAATTTTGCTGAGGGTTTTAATGATAAAGGGATGCTGGATTTTGTCAAGTGCTTTTCCTGCATCTATTGAAATGATGTGATTTTTGTTTTTAATTCTGCTTATGTGGTGTATCACATTTATTGACTTGTGTATGTCAAACCATCCCTGCATCTCTGTTATGAAATCCAGTTGATCATGGTGAATTATCTTTTTGGTACGCTGTTGTATTCAGTTAGCAAGTATTTTGTTAAGGATTTTAGCATCTTTGTTCATCAAGGATATCGGTCTGTAGTTTTCTTTTTTGGTTATAGTTTTCTGTTTTGGTTATGTCCTTTCCTGGTTTTGGTATTATGGTGATGATAGCTTCATAGAATGAATTAGGGAGGGTTCTTTCTTCTCTATCTTGTAAGATAGGGTCAAAAGGATTAGTACTAATTCTTTGAATGTCTGGTAGAATTCTGCTGTGAATCTGTCTGGTCCTGGACTTTTTTCTGTTGGTAATTTTTAAATTACCATTTCTATCCCACTGCTTGTCATTGGTCTGTTTAGGGTATCTAATTCTTCCTGATTTAACCTGGGAGGGTTGTATTTTTCCAGGAATTTATACATCTCTTCTAGGTTTTCAAGTTTATGTGTGTAAAGTTGTTCATGGTAGCCTTGAATGATCTTCTGTATTTCAGTGGTGTCAGTTGTAATATCTCCTGTTTCATTTCTTAGTGAGGTTATTTGGATTTTCTCTCTTCTTTTCTTGGTTAATCTTGCCAGTGGTCTATCAATCTGATTTATCTTTTTGAAGAACCAGCTTTTTGTTTCATTTATCTTTTGTATTTTTTGTTTGTTTGTTTCAGTTTCATTTAGTGTTGCTCTCATCTTTGTTATTTCCCTTTTTCTGCTGGGTTTGGGTTTGGTTTGTTCTTGTTTCTCTACTTCCTTGAGGTGTGACCTTAGAGTGTCAGTTTTATGCTCTTTCAGTCTTTTGTTGTAAGCATTTAGGGCTATGAAATTCCCTCTTAGCATCACCTTTGCTGTATTTCAGATGTTTTGATAGGTTGTGTCATTATTGTCATTCAGTTAGAAGAATTTTTTAATTTCCATCTTGATTTCGTTTTTCACTCAGTGCTCATTCAGAAGCAAGTCATTTAATTTCCATGTATTTGCACAGTTTTGAAGGTCCCTTTTGAGGTTGATTTCCAGTTTTATTCCACTGTGGTCTGAGAGAGTGCCTGATATACTTTCAATTTTCTTAAAATTTTTGAGGCTCCTTTTATGTCCTATCATATCATCTATCTTGGAGAAAGTTCCATGTGCTGTTGAATAGAATGTATATTCTGCAGTTGTTAGATGAAATGTTCTGTATATATTTGTTAAGTCCATTTATTCCAAGGTATAGTTTAAAACCATTTTTTCTTTGTTGACTTTCTGTCTCGATGACCTGTCTAGTGCTGTCAGTGGAGTATTGAAGTGCCCCACTATTATTGTGTTGCTGTCTATATCATTTCCTAGGTCTATTAGTAATTGTTTTATAAATTTTGGAGCTCCAGTGTTAGGTGCATTTACGTTTAGAATTGTGATATTTTTCTGTTGGACAAGCCCTTTTATCACTATATAATGTCCTTCTTTGTCTTTAACTGCTGTTGCTTTAAGGTTTGTTTTGCCTGATATAAGAATAGCTACCCCTGCTTGCTGTTGGTGTCCATTTGCATGAAATGCCTTTTTCCACTACTTTAAGTTTATGTGAGACCTTATGTGCTAGAGAGGTCTCCTGAAGGCAGCAGATGGTTGGTAAGTTCTTATCCATTCTGTAGTTCTGTATCTTTTAAGTGGAGCATTTAGGCCATTTACATTCAATGTTTGTATCGAAATGTGAGGTACCATTGCATTCATCGTGGCCTCTGTTGCCTGTGTACTTTGGGGTTTTTTTTCTTTACTTTTGCTTCTTAACATATTTTTGTTTTATAGGTCCTGTGAGATTTATGCTTTAAAGATGTTCTGTTTGGATGTGTTTCCAGGATTTGTTTCAAGATTTAGAGCTCCTTTTAGCAGTTCTTGTAGTGGTGGCTTGGTAATGGCAAATTCTCTCAGCATTTGTTTGTCTGAAAAAGACTGTATCTTTCTTTCATATATGATGCTTAGTTTCACTGGATACAAAGTTCTTGGCTGATAATTGTTTTGTTCGAGAAGGCTGAAGATAGGGCCCCAATCCCTTCTAGCCTGTAGGGTTTATGCTGAGAAATCTGCTGTTAATCTGATAGGTGCTTCCATCTCACAGCTGTTAGGATTCTTTCCTTTGTCTTAACATTGGATAACCTGAGGACACTGTGTCTAGGCAAAGATCTTTTTGCAATGAATTTCCTGGGTGTTCTTTGTGCTTCTCACGTTTGGATATCTAGGTCTCTAGCAAAGCCAGGGAAGTCTTCCTCAATTATTCCCCCAAATATGTTTTCCAAGCTTTTAGAATTCTCTTCTTCCTCAGGAACACCAATTATTCTTAGGTTTGGTCATTTAACATAATCCCAGACTTCTTGGAGGCTTTGTTCATATTTTCTTATTCTTTTTTCTTTGTCATTATTGTATTGGGTTAATTTGAAGACCTTGTCTTCGTGCTCTGAACTTCTTACTTCTACTTGTTCAATTCTATTGCTGAGACTTTCCAGAGCATTTCACATCTCTAAAAGTGTGTCCACAGTTTCCTGAATTTTTTATTGCTTTTTCTTTAAGCTATCTGTTTCCTTGAATATTTCTCCCTTCACTTCTTGTATCACATTTTGGATTTCCTTGTACTGGGCTTTGCATTTCTCTGGTCCCTCCCTAATTAGCTTAATAACTAACCTCCTGAATTCTTTTTCAGGTAAATCAGGGATTTCTTCTTGGCTTGGATCCATTGCTGGTGGACTAGTGTGATTTTGGGGGGCTGTTGAAGAGCCTTGTTTTGTCATATTACCAGGGTTGGTTTTCTGCTTCCTTCTCATTTGAGTAGACTCTGTCAGAGGGAAGGTCTAGAGCTATAGGCTGTTGTTCAGATTCTTTTATCCCATAGGATATTCCCTTGATGTAGTACTCTTCATCTTTTCCTATGGGTGTGGCTTCCTGTGAGCCAAACCACAATGATTGCTGTCTCTCTTCTGGGTCTAGCCACCCATTGAGTCTACCTGGCTCTGGGCTCATACTGGGGATTGTCTGCACAGAGTCCTGTGATGTGAACTGTCTATGAGTCTCTCAGCTGTCGATGCTAGTGGCTGTTCAGGTGGAGGTGGCTGGGGGTGGGGGGTGCAATGGACTCTGTGAGGGTTCTTAGCCTTGGTGGTTTAATGTTCTATTTTTGTGCTGGTTGACCTCCTGCCAGGAGGTGGTGCTTTCCAGAGAGCATCAGCTGTGGTATTATGGGGAGGAACTGGTGGTGGGTGGGGCCTTAGAACTCCCAAGATTATATGCCCTTTGTCTTCCACTACCAGGGTGGGTAGGGAAGGATCATCAGGTGGGGTGGGGCTAGGTGTGTCTGAGCTCAGACTCTCCTCAGGCGGGTCTTGCTACAGCTGCTGTGGGGGATGGGGGTGAGATTCTCAGGTCACTGGAGTTGTGTGCCTAGGAGGATTATGGCTGCCTCTGCTGAGCCATGCAGGTTGTCAGGGAAGTGCAGGAAAGCCAGCAGTCACAGGCCTCACCCAGCTCCCACACAAACTGAAGGGTCAATCTCACTCCCATCGTTCCCCCCATAACAGCCCCCAGACCGTTTCCAGGCAGAGAGTGATAGGGGCTTGAAAACCAGCCCCGGGCTATCCACCTCCCAGCTGTGAAAATAGGGGCTTGGTTCTTCCCCTGCCAGTGGAGTCCGCACACTGGATTTGCGCCCGCCCCTGAGTTCTGGCCAGGAGGCTTCTCACCCCGTTCAAATTGTTACAGAGTTCAACCAGAGATTTCATTCTCTCTGTGGAGTTTTACCCCCTGCTCCTCTGGCCACCCTTCCAATGGATCCCTGTGGTGTCATGCAGGAATGGCCTGCTAGGGGACCCAGCAAGCTCCCAGGGCCTTTCTGCTGCTTTCTCTACCCCTGTATTTCTCTCTACTCTCCAAATTGACTTAGCTCCAGGTAAAGTCAGAAACTTCTCCCACAAACAGACCTTCAGCTTCTCTAGTGATAAGGGAGGAGACCACCCCTCATATTGTCTTATGCCCAATTACTGCCTCCAAAGAAAGAAGAAGTAAAAACTAAAAGGCAGAAGTGAAATCCACAAGCAGACAGCCCGGTGCAACACCCTGGGCCTGGTAGTTAAAGATCAACCCCTGACCTAATCAGTTATTTGCATAAAAAGGCACTGTGAAGATGTGTGTCCTGTTCAGTTCCTTTCTAATTACCGGTGTATGCAGCCCCCAGTCACATACCCCCTGCTTACTCAATTGATCACGACCCTCTCACGTGGACCCCCTTAGAGTTCTGAGCCCTTAAAAGGGACAGGAATTGCTCACTTGGGGAGCTCTGTTGTTGGAGATGTGAGTCTTGCCAAAGCTCCTGGCCAAATAAAGCCCTTCCTTCTTTAACTCGGTGTCTGAGGGGCTATGTCTGCAGCTTGTCCTGCTACATTTCTTGGTTCCCTGACCAGGAAGCAATGTGATTAATGGATGGTTGAGGCAGCCCCTTAGGCGGCTTAGGCCTGCCCTGTGGAGCATCCCTGCAGGGGACTCCAGCCAGCTTGAGTGATGCAGATCCTGAGAGCGCTTCCAGGTAGGCAATTCCCCCAGTGGAACACCTCACCAGAGCAGTGTGTGGCAGGCCCCCATGGAGGATCAACACAGTGACTAACAATGGTAAGAAACTGGCACTTGGAGTCCGGACATCTGAAACTTGGTAAGACTAGTCTTTGGAACTTGCCTACTCCATTTGAGTGGAAGCATGGCCTGATCACCCATGGCATGCCCATACCGGCATTTTGTTTTTTTGTTTTTGACTTGACTTGGATTGCTTGATCCTTTGGTTTTGGTCTTGACCTGGCTTGGATTTCTCAATACTCTGATTTTGGTTCTGATTCTGGTTTGGTGTAAACTGAAAAAGTCTATGTGTGCCCTTTTTACCCATTCTTTGTTTTGTGGTGTGCGTGTGGTGTGAGCGTGGTGTTTTGTCTCGAGGAAACATGGGTCAGGCACAAAGTAAGTCCAACCCACTAGGAACTATGTTGAAAATTTTCAAAAAGGGATTTAAGGGATACTATGGAATTACTATGACACCAGGAAAACTTAGGACTTTGTGTGAGATAGACTGGCCAGCATTAGAGGTGGGTTGGCCATCAGAAGGAAGCCTGCACAGGTCCCTTGTCTCGAAGGTATGGCACAGGGTAACCTGTAAGCCAGGGCACCCAGATCAGTTGCCATATATAGATTCTTGGTTACAGCTAGATTTGAACCCCCCACAGTGGTTAAGAGGACAGGCAGCAACAGTACTAGTAGCAAAGGGACAGTTAGTTAAGGAAGGTTCTCGCTCCACCCGCTGAGGTAAGTCGGTACCAGAAGTCCTGTCCAACCCAACACCAGAAGAATCGTGGCAGGAATTGGTAACAGCAGTACCCGCCCTCCCTTATTGAGAGGGGCTCCCCACTCCTGAGCCCATAGCATGTACACCTCCACCAGATAACCACACTCCTAGACCACCCAGAGTAGACAAAAGAGGAAGTGAAGCCACAGGAGAAAATCCTCCATTGGCAGCTCCATTATGGCCCAAGACTGGAATCCAAATGCCCCTGAGAGAGCAGTGATATACTGGGGTAGATGAGGATGGACACATGGTGGAAAAGCGTGCCTTTGTGTATCAACCTTTCTTCTCTGCTGACCTCATCAATTGGAAAAATAATACACCATCTTATACCGAAAACCCTTAAGCTTTAATTGACTTGCTCCAAACTATTATACAGACTCATAATACTACTTTGGCTGATTGCCACCAGCTGCTCATGTACCTCTTTAATACAGATGAAAGGCAAAGGGTGCTCTGGGTGGCAACTAAGTGGCTAGAGAGGCGCGTCCCAGCTGATTACCAAAACCTCCAAGAATATATAAGAATTCAGCTGCCAGGAGCAGACCCCCACTGGGACCCGAACGAGGGACCAGACATGGAGAGGCTAAGACGGTACTGTGAGGGATTAATAGAAGGTCTAAAGAAAGGGGCTCAAAAGGCTACAAATGTAAATAAGGTTTCTAAGGTCATCCAAGGAAAAGAGGAGAGTCCAGCACAATTCTATGAAAGACTGTGTGAGGCTTACCGTATGTACACTCCCTTTGATCCAGATAGCCCTGAAAATCAGTGCACGATTTACATGGCCTTAGTTAGTCAAAGTGCAGAAGATATCAGGAGAAAATTGCAGAAACAGGTTGGGTTTGCAGGTATGAATACCTCACAGTTACTGGAAATAGCCAATCAAGTGTTTGTAAATAGAGATGCAATAAGCCACAGAGAAAGCCGTAAGGAAGGCGAATGCCAGGCCAGGTGAAATGCCAACTTACTGGCTGTGGCCATTAGGGGAATTCCCTCGAAAGGAGTGGGAAAGGGGGGTTCTGGGAAGAATATCCAGTCTAATCACCCATGCTTGCAATGTAACCAATGCACCTATTGTAAGGAAACAGGATATTGGAAAGATAAGTGTACCCAACTGAAGGAAAAGCAAGGTAATTTGGAACAAAAGACCTCAGATAAAGATGAGGGAACTCTGTTCAATCTGGCTGAAGGGCTATTGGACTGAAGGGGACCAGGCTTAAGTGCCCCCGAGGATCCCATGGTCAGGATTACAATTGGGGGCAAGGACATTAAGTTTTTGGTCGATACTGGTGCTGAACATTCAGTAGTGACCACCCCATTTGCCCCCTTATCCAAGAAAACCATTGATATAACCAGAGCAACAGGAGTTTCCACTAAGCAGGCTTTCTATCTACCATGGACCTGCTCGGTGGGTGGACAAGAAATAGTTCACCAGTTCTTGTACATGCCTGACTGTCCCTTGCCCTTGCTGGGAAGAGACTTGCTTAGCAAGCTGACAGCCACCATCTCCTTTACAAAACAGAGCTCTTTACAGCAAAAGTTACCCAGAACAGGAGTTATCATGGCCCTTACAGTCCCCCAGGAAGAAGAATGGAGACTTTTTTTTAACCGAGCCAGGCCAAGGGATAAAACCAGCTCTAGCTAAGCAATGGCCTTGAATATGGGCAGAGGATAATCCTCCAGGACTGGTGGTCAACCAAGCCCCTGTACTCATAGAAGTTAAGCCTGGGGCCCAACCAATTAGACAAAAGCAGTATCCAGTTCCCAGGGAAGCTCTTGAAGGAATCCAGGCTCAACTCAGGCACTTGAAAGCCTATGGAATTATAGTTCCTTGCCAGTCTCCATGGAACACTCCCCTCCTGCCTGTCCCTAAGCCAGGGACCAAGGACTACTGACCAGTACAAGACTTGCATTTGGTCAACCAAGCTACAGTGACTCTGCACCCAACAGTTCCTAACCCTTACACATTGTTAGGGCTGCTGCTGGCTGAGGATAGCTGCTTTACCTGTCTAGACTTAAAAGATGCCATCTTTAGCATCAGAATATCTCCTGAGAGCCAGAAGCTGTTTGCCTTTCAGTGGGAAGATCCGGAGTCAGGTGTCACTACTCAGTACACTTGGACCCAGCTTACCCAAGGGTTTGAGAACTCCCCTACTATCTTTGGGGAGGCCCTGGCTCGAGACCTGCAAAAGTTTCCTGCTAAAGACCTAGGCTGCATCTTGCTCCTGTACATGGATGACCTTCTGCTGGGACACTCCACGGCAGTCAGGTGCGCAAAAGGGATGGATGCCCTGCTTCAGCACCTGGAGGACTGTGGGTATAAGGTGTCCAAGAAGAAAGCTCAGATCTGCAGACAGCAGGTACGCTACCTGGGATTCACTATTCAGAAAGGGGAGTGCAGCCTGGGGTCATAAAGAAAGCAGGTCACCTGCAGCCTACCAGAACCTAAAACCAGGAGGCAAGTAAGGGAATTCCTAGGAGCTGTAGGGTTTTGCAGATTAGGGATTTCAAACTTTGCAATGCTAGCAAAACCTTTGTACAGGGTTACAAAGTGGGGCGATTGGGAGCGCTTTGAATGGGAACCTCTACAACAGCAAGCCTTTTGTAAGTTAAAGGAAAAATTTATGTCGGCCCCAGCCCTAGGACTACCAGATTTGACAAAGCCCTTTACACTCTATGTGTCAGAAAGAGAAAAAACGGCAGTTGGAGTTTTAATCCAGACTGTGGGGCCCTGGCCTACACCAGTGGCCTATCTCTCAAAACAACTAGATGGGGTTTCCAAAGGCTGGCCACCATGTCTAAGGGCCCTGGCAGCAACAGCCCTGTTAGCACAAGAAGCAGATAAACTAACCCTTGTGCAAAACCTGAATATAAAGGCCCCCCATGCTGTGGTAACTTTGATGAATACCAAAGGACATCATTGGCTACCAAATGCTAGTTTAATCAAGTACCAAAGCTTGCTATGTGAAAATCCCCGCATAACCACTGAAGTCTGTAACACCCTAAATCCCGCCACCTGCTCCCAGTATCAGAGAGCCTGGTCAAGCGTAACTGTGTAGAGGTGTTGGACTCAGTTTATTCTAGCAGACCTGACTTTTGGGACCAGCCATGGGCATCAGTAGACTGGGAGTTATACGTGGATGGGAGTAGCTTCATCAACCCATAAGGAGAAAGATGTGCAGGATATGCAGTGGTAACTTTGGATGCTGCCATTGAAGCCAAACTGTTGCCACAGGGCACTTCAGCCCAGAAGCCTGAGCTCATTGCTTTAACTCGGGCTCTAGAACTCAGTGAAGGTAAGACTAAACATCTACACTGACTCTCGATATGCTTTTCTAACCCTCCAAGTGCATGGAGCATTATATAAGGAAAAGGTCCTGTTAAACTCTGGGGGAAAGGACATAAAATATCAACAAGTAATTCTACAATTACTAGAGGCAGTGTGGAAACCTCAGAAGGCAGCAGTCATGCACTGCAGGGGACACCAGCAAGCCTCCACCTCAGTGGCCTTAGGAAACTCTTGAGCTGATTCAGAAGCTCAAAATGCAGCATCTACCCCTTACTGGGCATCAGTAGCAGCCCCCTTACTCCCTCAAACACCTGACCTGGTACCTACCTATTCTAAGGAAGAAAAAGACTTCTTCCATGCAGAAGGGGGGCAAGTAATAAAAGGAGGATGGATCAGACTGCCAGATGGGAGAGTAGCTATGGCACAATTGCTGGGAGCCACAATCATATTGGCCATGCATGAAACCACTCATCTAGGTCAAGAGTCACATGAAAAATTGTTAAGCTGCTACTTCTACATCTCATACTTGCCAGCCCTTGCCAAAGCTGTAGCACAGCAGTGCATTATTTGCCAACAGCACAATGCGAGGTAAGGCCCCACTGTTCCACCCGGCATACAAGCTTATGGAGCGGCTCCTTTTGAGGATTTTGAGGTGGATTTCACAGAAATGCCGAAATGTGGAGGTAACAAGTATTTGCTGGTTCTTGTGTGTACTTACTCTGAGTGGGTGGAGGCGTATCCAACACAAACTGAAAAGGCCTATGAGGTAACCCATGTGTTTCTCTGAGATTTTATTCCTAGGTTTGGACTGCCTTTATGAATTGGCTCAGATAATGGGCGGGCATTTGTGGCTGACTTGGTACAGAAGACAGCAAAGGCATTAGGAATCACTTGGAAGCTATGTGCCACCTACTGACCTCAGAGTTCTGGAAAAGATGGAGTGAATGAATCGGACTATCAAAAATAGTTTAGGGAAAGTATGTCAGGAAATAGGATTAAAGCAGATACAGTCTCTTCCTATGATATTGTTTAAAATTAGATGCACTCCTTCTAAGAAAACAGGACACTCCCCTTAGGAAATACCGTATCATAGGCCTCCTCCCATACTACTGGGGCTTTCAGGCACTCCCCAAGTGTCAGGTGAAATTGAATTACAGCGACAGCTACAGGCTTTAGGAAAAATTACACAAACAATCTCAACTTGGGTAAATGAGAGGTATCCCATCAGCTTACTCTCCCCAGTTCACCCGTTCTCTCCAGGTGATCGCATGTGGATCAAGGACTGGAACATAGCCCCTTTGTGGCCATGGTGGAAAGGACCTCAGACCATCATCCTGACCACCCCCAAGGCTGTAAAGGTAGAAGGAATCCCATCCTGGGTCCACCACAGCCATGTGAATCCTGCAGCCGCTGAAACCTGGGAGGCAAAACAGAGCCTGGACAACCCCTGCAAAGTGACTCTGAGGAGGATGACAAGCCCTGCTCCAGTCACACCTGGAAGCTGACTGGTCTACGCACAGCCAAAACATGAGGAGGATCATTGTGGGACTCACTTTCCTTATAATTTGGACTTGTATAGTAAAAACTTCCACTGATTTTCCTCACATGTAGGACTGCTCTCAGTGTATACATCAGGTTACCGAGGTAGCACAACAAGTTACAACAATCTTTCTGTTCTATAGTTACTATGAATGCCCAGGAAATTTAAAAGGAATATGTTTATATAACGACACTCAGTATAAGGTATGTAGCCCAGGAAATGACTGGCCAGATGTGTGTTATGACCCCTTTGAGCCTCCCATGTCCACAGTTTTTGAAATAAAATTAAGGACTGAAGACTGGTGGGGACTCATAAATGATACAAGTAAAGTATTAGCCAGAACAGAAGAAAAAGGGGTGCCCAGATGCACAATCTTGAAATTTGATACCTGTGGTGTCATTAATAGCAATAAGTTAGGAAGGGGATATAGCTCTTTTAGTTGGGAAAAAGGCTATGTGACCAAAAATAAGTACATTTGTCATGAATTAGGACTGTGTGGAAATGAATGTGGATACTGGTCTTGTGTCATTTGGGCCACTTGGATAAAAAATGAAAAGGATCCAGTCCACCTTCAGAAAGGAAAAAATGGCCCTTCCTGTACTAAGGGACAAGGTAACACCTTAGAGCTAGTAATAACCAATCCCCTTGATCCACGCTGGAGAAAAGGGGAGCATGTGACCTTAGGAATCAATGGGGCCAGACTGGATCCTCGAGTAAATTTCTTAGTTTGAGGAGAAGTTTACAAACACTCTCCTGAGCCAGTGTTTCAAACTTTCTATGATGAACTAAATGTGCCAGTACCAGAAATTCCAGGAAAAACAAGAAATTTGTTTTTGCAATTAGCCAAGCATGTAGCCCAGTCTCTCAATGTCACTTCATGTTATGTCTGTGGAGGAACTGCAGTGGGAGATCAATGGCCATGGGAAGCCTGAAAATTAGTACATACAGACCCAGCTCCTGATGAATTCCTGGCTCAAAAGAATCACTCTAATAATTTCTGAGTCCTAAAAGCCTCAATTATTGGACAATATTGCATAGCTAGAGAAGGAAAAGAATTCACTTACCCCGTAGAATGACTTAGTTGTCTGGAACAGAAACTGTATAATGGCACCACAAAGACAGTCACTTGGTGGAGTTCAAATCACACAGAGAGGAATCCACTTAGTAAATTCCCAAAGTTGCAAACCGTGTGGACCCACCCGGAGTCCCACCGGGACTGGACAGCCCCCACTGGATTATACTGGATATGTGGGCATAGAGCTTATGCCAAATTATCCGAACAGTGGGCGGGTAGTTGTGTTATTGTCACTATTAAACCATCTTTCTTTCTACTGCCCATAAAGACAGGTGAACTCCTGGGCTTCCCTGTCTATGCTTCCAGTGAAAAGAGAAGCAAAGCTATAGGAAATTGGAAAGATGATGAATGGTCCCCTGAGGGAATCATACAATATTATGGGCCTGCTACTTGGGCACAAGACAGCTCATGGGGACGCCGGACCCCCATTTACATGATGAACCAAATCATACGGTTACAAGCTGTCTTAGAAATAACCACTGATACAACCAGCAGAGCCTTGACTATTCTGGCCTGGCAAGAAACTCAGATGAGAAATGCTATCTATCAAAGTAGATTGGCTCTCGACTACTTGCTAGCAGTTGAAGGAGGGGTCTGTGGGAAATTTAACCTTACTAATTGCTGTCTACACATAGATGATCAAGGGCGAGTGGTTGAAGACATAGTTAGAGATATGACAAAACTGGCACACGTGTCCATGCAAGTGTGGCATGGATTTGATCCTGAAGCCATGTTTGGAAAATGGCTCCCAGTGCTAGGAGGATTTAAAACTCTTATAATAGGAGTTATAATAGTAATAAAAACCTGCTTACTGCTCCCTTGTTTGCTACCTGTACTTCTTCAAATGATAAAAAAGCTTCATCGCTACCTTAGCTCTCCAAAATACTCCAGCACAAGTGTACTATATGAATCACCATCGATCTGTCTTGCAAGAAGACATGGGTAGTGAGGATGAAAGTGAGAACTCCCACTATTGAGTGAGATTCTCAAATGGGGGGAATAAGGGAGGAGACCACCCCTTATATTGTCTTATGCCCAATTTCTGCCTCCAAAGAAAGAAGAAGTAAAAACTAAAAGGCAGAAATGAAATCTACAAACAGACAACCCGGTGCCACACCCTGGGCCTGGTAGTTAAAGATCGACCCCTGACCTAATCAGTTATTTGCATAAAAAAGGCACTGTGAAGATCCGTGTCCTGTTCAGTTTCTTTCTAATTACCGATGTATGCAGCCCCCAGTCATGTACCCCTGCTTGCTCAATTGATCACGACCCTCTCAAGCGGACACCCTTAGAGTTGTGAGCCCTTAAAAGGGACAGGAATTGCTCACTTGGGGAGCTCGGTTGTTGGAGACGTGAGTCTTGCTAAAGCTCTTGCCTAAATAAAGCCCTTCCTTCTTTAACTCAGTGTCTGAGGGGTTTTGACTGCAGCTTGTCCTGCTACAGTGTGGGTGTGTGTTTGGGAGAGGAAGGTCTCCCTTTCTCACTTCCACAGTTGGGGCACTCACAGTTTTGGGAGGGTCTCCTGGATCCTCTAGGAGCAGTCCACTTCCTTCGGAGGGTCTGTGGGTCTTCTTGGGATTGCTGGTTTGTTCTTGCAGTCTATCTGGAGCTAAAATTCACAATGTGAGCTGCCCTCCACTGCTTTGTCCAGAGCTGCAATCTAGTCCTGCCCCCATCCTGTCGGCCATGATCTCACACTACTTAAGATTTTAAATTAGAACTTCTGACATCAAAACACAAAAGAGACAACATTTCAAACTTGATCCACTGAAAACAGGGTAAGTTTAATTCTAAATCCAAATCCAACATTCTAAAACAAGATGTTATCCAAAAATGAAAATTAGTTGCATGACCATTTTTAAAATAACTTTACATATTGAAATAGCTTAAGATTCAGAAGAAGTGACAAAAATAGTACAGAGGTTTTCACACACCCTTCACCCACATTCACCCAACATTAATATCTTGCATAACCATGATGCATGTCAAAACCAGAGTTGCACAGCTCTTAAATCCGTCATCCACGTTGAGCATATAAAAGCATCTGGCTACTGGAAATGAAAATAAGGGATTTTTGAAGAGTGATATGTCTTCTGAAAGCTCTGCATGTGCTGTGGGTTCCTCTACCACCTCATTCGCAAAAGAATAGGATGTGAATTGCTTGTTTTTTCATCTCAACTTAGAAGAAGAAGCATCAAAGGGAATTCTCAGAGAGCTTAATGTGTATTTCCTGAAGTCTGGGGGTGGGGACACACTGCACTTGAGTGTGACTCCCCTCTGAGCACTCAAGGGTGAGAGACAGGCTGGACAGCAGCTGACTGGTAAGCCAAGGGAAAGATGGCTGGGTTGACATAGGCCTGCATACACAGAATTTGTCAGAGCAAGAGATGCATGGATTTTACATAACAGAAATGTGAACCACACACAAGAAAGCTGGCATGAGGTCATCTTATATCCTGTCCAATAGGGCTACCTAGGAGGGCAAAGTCCTCAGTAGAGAGAAGCTGATGGCATAGTCTGACTCATAGGGATTGGAGAGGGAATAAGCAACACACCGAATGAGAGGGCACCATTCACATGAACAGAGTTGCAGAGAGATCCTTGAAGATGGTGTGGAAGTGGAGAGAGGACAAGGAGTGAAATCTCCAAAGAATACATGATGGCATCTATGAAATCATTACCTTTAAACTCACGCCAGTGCCAGAGAATATTTGAAAATTGTTGTGGGTTTTTTTTAAAAAAAAAAAAAAAAAACAATCTCAAACTTACAGAAGCATGCATGTACAATACTAAAAACTTTTTCCAGAATTATTTGAAAGCAAGTTGCCAATATCATGCCTCACTGTGTGGAGTGACAT